>NC_000016.10:26365273-26668304 GCF_000001405.40 Homo sapiens
CACCCATTCAGGGAATTGCATTGCTCCAAGGACGACCCAGAGCAGACAGAGGCCTGGGAGGGAGGGTCTGGGCAGGGGCAGGGAGAGAGGAAAGAATCGCCTCCAAGTACTTGGCTAGCCTTCTGCTTCCCCTCAGGAGAATCATAAATTACCCTCCTTTAGTTGTTCACCACTGCTCCCATGAAAATTAAATTCCCAGCCTGTATTTTAAATCCTATATATTGTTTGGCTTAAGCCAAACAATATCACTCTGATAAATAGGGCATTTTATCACTCTGATAAATAGGGCATTTATCACTCTGATAAATAGGGCATTTTAATAACATTCACAGCATGACCAAGAGTTGGAAGAAAATACACATGGCTCACAGGTGTCGGATTCCCTGGGCACTGCGGAGATGGGATCTTGTCATAGCGCTCTCCTGGAGAATGACTAATGCTTACGTAGGAAGGAGAGGGTGTCTCTGCCCCTCCAGGGACTGAGACAGCAGGGGAGGCTGAGTGCTGGGAACATAGAACTGCTGGAGGAAGGAATGGGAGGTGAGGAGGCAGGCAGAGGCAGGGACCCGAGTTTGCTCCTCCTAGGAGATGCACAGCCCCTAGGAGGATGGCAGCCTGACCCCAGCAGCAGTCCTTGAAGCTCTTCTTTCTCCACTCTGTCAGGGCTCTGTGTCTTCGCTGCCAGAGATAACAGGGTGATGAAATGTTCTGAATCCATCAAATGCCTGCACACCGAGGCAAGGGGCTGCTTTTGCTCTATTCTTTTTTTTTTTTTTTTTCAGTTTTGCCCTCTGATGTCGGCAGAAGTCTTTGACATTAACATGCATGGGTTGGCTCCTACCCTGTGCTGGGTTCTATGGGGGATACAGAGATGAATAAGACATGGCCACTGCCCTTGAAGAGCACACACACCAGTGGGGAAGACAGATATGAGCTCAAGCACTAAGAGTTAAATACTAACGGCTATTGCACATTGAACACTCACCAGGAGCTTGGCACTGTGCTAAACCTCACTCATTCATTTAATAACTATTAACCAAGTGCCCAGAATATGTCAAGAATGTTTTTTTTTCGGTGCCTGGAATCAAATAAGGAACAACGCAGCAGTCCTCTACCTTTGTGGAGTTTATCATCCCTGAGGGTGGTAGCGAGGAGAAAGACAACCAATAAAGAAAGAAAGAAGTCTATAATACACCTGGAGGTGATCACTTACAAGGCAAAGTAAACGGAGAGGAATGGGGAAGCCATTTTATAGCAGGTAGGTCTGGGGAAGCCTCACCAATGAATGAATGGAATAAGAGAGTGAGTCATGGGGATGCCTGAAGAAGAGTGTTCCAGGTTGAGAACACAGCCAGTGAAAAGGCTCTGAGCATGTGGAGGCCAGCAGCCCAAAGCAGAGGGAGAGGGAGGAGGGTGGGAAATTAGATCAGAGAAGTCAAGAAGCCAAGGGAAGAACTTTGGATTTTATTCTAAGGACAGTGAAAATTTACCAGATTATTTTAAAGCAAAGGAGTAACATTAAGTTAAGTTTGCAAAGGATCACTGAGCACACTGTAGGAATGAACAAGGGTGAGAGCTGGGGACCAATCATGAGGTTCTAAGGGCAGCCACAACTATTTCCATTGTGGACATCAGAAAAGCTGAGGCTGGGAGGCCGAGGCAGGCAGATGACCTGAGGTCAGGAGTTTGAGATCAGCCTGGCCAACATAATGAAACCTTGTCTTTACTAAAAATACAAAAAAATTAGCTGGGCATGGTGGCACACACTTGTAATCTCAGCTACTGGGGAGGCTGAGGCATGAGAATCGCTTGCACCCAGGAGGCAGAGGTTTCAGTGAGCCAAGATCATGCTACTGCACTCCAGCCTAGGCAACAGAATGAAAAAAAAAAAAAAAAGAAAACAAAAGAAAAGAAAAGAAAGAGAAAGAAAAGAAGAGCTGAGGCTGGAAGCTGAAAGTTATCTCTGGTTTCAACCCTGGTAAGTAAAAAAGTTAGAGGCCAAAGCCAGAATGGTCTGGGTCCAGACTCTCTGCCATTAATTCCTGTGATCCACCAACTCCCTGCTAACTTGAGTAAAAGGCGCAAAATGATCCTCATTGTATGGTGTGTACAAATCTCAACCTGGAGGTTCAGAGGAGAGAGCAAACCCCTGCTGATGTGTGGCAAATCAGAGAGGACTTCATGCTGGAAGTGATGGCATGCTGGCCCTTGGAGAAGGACCCCATTTGATCAGATAGTGAGAAGATGCACCCTAGACATAAATGATAATGCAGCAAAGGCACAGAGATGGGGAATGGGGAAATTATGCAGTTCAGGAAGACTAGAGTTTGGAATACCTTTCAAAGAAGTGTGGGACAAGAGTCTGAAGAAGTAGCTAGACCACTGTGGAAAGCAGTTTGGTGATTTCTCAAAGAACTTAAAACAGAGCTACTATTCAACCCAGCAATCTCACCATTGGGTATATACCCATTGGAAAATAAATCATTCTACCAAAAAGACACTTGTGCTCATATGTTCATTACAGCACTATTCATAATAGTAAAGGCATAAAATCAAGCCAGGTGGCTGTCAGTGGTAGATTGGATAAAGAAAATGTGGCACATATAAACCACAGAATACTACACAGCCATAAAAAAGAACAAAATCATCTCCTTAAAGCAACATGAATGCAGCTGGAGGCCATAATCCTGAACGAATTAACACAGAAACAGAAAACCAAATACCTCATGCTCTCACAAGTGGGAGCTAAAGATTGAGTACACTGGACGTAAAGACGGGAACAACAGATACTGGGGACTACTAGAGGAGGGGCGGGAGAGATGGGGGCAAGGGCTGAAAAACTACCTATTGGGTACTATGTTTACTACCTGGGTGATGGGACAATTTATACCCCAAACCTCAGTGTCATGCCATGTACCCATGTAACAAACCTGCATGTGTACCCCAAAATCTAAAATAAAAGTTAAAATTTTAAATAAATAAAATTCTAAACTGAAGGATTATTGATAAGGAACCATCAAATGGTTTCAGGCTGCAAGTGGTGAAAAGAAATTGATGGCATTAGAGAGAGAAGCCTTGGGAACCTAGAGGGTGTCTCTCGAGAGCCTGTCAAAGTCTCCCCAAGGCAGTGCCGGGAGAGGCTCAGCATGAGTTCCATGTGAATCTGGTCAACTGGGCAAAGATTGTGTTCGGCCTTTGGGAATAGCCTGGGCAACGTAGCGAGATGCTGTCTCTAAAAATAAAAATAAAATAGCCAGGCATGGTGGCTCATACCTATAGTCCAAGCTACTTGGGAGGCCGAAGCAGTGCCATTCACAGAAGTAGTGGAGTCTGAAAAAAGAAATAGTTATTCATAAAGAGATAATCAACTTGATTTTTGATGGGAATAAAAGCTAGAGGAATTTATTTCACAAGCACTCTTACAGCATTTACAATCGACCAGGTCCAATTCTAAGTACTTCGTAAATATTGACATATTAAATACAATCATAGGAGGAATGTTTTCTCTTATTACCCTTGTTTTGCAGTCAAGAGAAGTGAGGTACACAAAGGTAGAACAACTTGCCCACTGTCACATGTGTCATAAGCATCAGAGCCTGGGTTTGAACCCAGAAATTTCGGCTCCAGAGTTCATTCCTCAACCATGTTAGGACATCATCTTTGTGAACATCAACATCCAAGCAATAATCTACAAATCTGAATTACTCACCTTTCTTGAGTTTGACAAAAGAAAATGACTCCTACCGTCCCACAGGCCTCACATTGTGGGGACATGCCAAGATCTCTAGATTAATTTAGATCTATATGCTACTAATGATCAATAAACTTGACATTTGTTCTAGGACTTCCAGTTGCCAAGTTCCATCATTATGACTAGAGTCCATTGTCACATCCTGTTCACCACTACATTGCTACTGCCTAGAAAAACACTTGAGATGTAATTACTGCTCAATGAATATTTGTGATTGAGTATAATCTCTGGCCAGAGCCAGGCCCAGATTTGCCCCACATTTTAGATCTTGTGTTCTTACAGTGTTGCATGGTGATTTTAAACATAGAGTCTGAAGTCAGACTTCCTGGGTTTGAATCCTAGCTCTGCCACTTACTAGCGGTGGAACTTCAAATAAGTTACTTAATATCTCTGTGCCTAAGCTTTCCTGTACATAAAATGTGGAGGAACCCAGGAGGGTTCATTGCTTGAGGCCAAGTGTTCTGGAATAGCCTGAGCAACATAGTGAGATGCTGTCTCTAAAAATTAAAATTAAAATTAACAATTAGCCAGGCATGGTGACTCATACCTGTATCCCAGCTACTTGGGAGGTCAAAGCAGGAGAATTGCTGAAGCCCAGGAGTTCAAGGCTGCAATGAGCCATGATCGTGCCACTACACTCCAACCTGGGCAACAGAGTTGAGAGCCTGTCTTTAAAAATAATAATAATAATAAATTAATTAACATTTTAAAATGTGATGGTAATGGTAACTACCTCATAACATTGCTGTGAGCATCAAATGAATTAATGTTTGTATAGTACTTAGAACAGTGCTAGAACATAGAACCAAAACTGTTAGCTGTTACTGTTACTACTACTATTACCACCATTACTGTGGAGTATAGCTGGGCTGCCTCATAGTTATAGAACCTTTTTTCCAACCAATTCTTCTCTCTGTTTCTCCCTGTTGAGGTCTCAGCCTGCTTCAAGTCTAAGGTCATCCAAGTTTTCTCTTATTATAATGATTATGGTAAGTGTATTAGTCAGGGTCCTCTAGAGGGACAGAACTAAGAGGATAGATATATATATGAAGGGAGTTTATTAAGGAGTATTGACTCACATGATCACAAGGTCCCACAACAGGCCATCTGCAAGCTGAGGAGCAAGGAAGCCAGTGAGAGTCCCAAAGCTGAAGAACTTGGAGTCCGATGTTCGAGGGTAGGAATCATCCAGCACAGGAGAAAGATGCAGTCTGGAAGGCTAAGCCAGTCTAGTCTTTTCACATTTTTCTACCTGCTTTATATTCTGGCCACTCTGGCAACTGATTAGATGGTACCCACCCAGATTAAGGGTGGGTCTGCCTTTCCCAGCCCACTTACTCAAATGTTATTCTCCTTTGGCAACACCCTCACAGACACACCCAGGATCAATACTTTGCATCCTTCAATCCAATCAAGTTGACACTCAGTATTAACCATCACAGTAAGTGCCCTCTTGATGAAACCCATACCATCATCATTCCCTGTGTCATCTTTATCTCCAGTTATAAGCACCAGCCATCCCTTTGCCTTCTTGCTGACAACATGAATTGGGTTTAAGAAGGAAAATCTCCTTCCAGAGTAGCCTCTTTCCTGCTGATGCAGGAGCCCAGCCTGCAGGACTGGGCTGTGCTTCCATCCTCAGCCCAACTCTACCCTCCAGGAATGCTCTTACAGCCATAGCTTTCTGAACCCTAGAAAGGCTCCTGAGCTGCCCTGAGCTGGATAATCCTTGCTACAGTTATAGCCTCTGCCTTCCAGTCCCTTGTACCAGAGAGAAAGGAGGACTCAGTGAAGACCCAGGTCAGAGTGAATGTACAGAATTTTGATTGAGGCCTGAAGATCTCAAGCACTGTGTATGTGAAAGTGATTGGATGATGTGATGGTAATTTTTTTGTGTTAACTTGGCAAGTCTAGAGTACCCAGTTATTTAATCAAACAATATTCTAGGAGTTGCTTTGGAGGTATTTTGCAGATATGGTTAACACCTATAATCAATAGGCTTTAAATAAAGGAGATTTCCCTCAACAATATAGGTGGGCTTTACTTCATCTGTTGAAAGCCTTAAGAGCAAAACTCAAGGTTTCCAATACAAGAAATTCTGCATCAAGACTTCAATATCAACTCCTGCCTGAGTTTCCAGCCTGCCAGCCTGCCCTACAAATTCAGACTTGCCAGCCCCCACAATCATGTGAGCCAATTTCTTAAAATAAATATCTTAATATAGACATACACACATGTGGTGCACACACACACGCACAGAGACAAATGGTCTCTTTCTCTGGAGAACCCTGATGGATAGTGATGCTATCCAACCTCCCAATAACAATAAGAAATCGAAGACAAGCAGACTCCAGGAGAAAGATGAGGCTGGGTTGCAGTTATCACATAACAGAAAAAGGAAAGATAAAATGAGGAGGGAAGGGAAGGGAAGGGAAGGAGGGAGGAAGGAAGGAGGGAAGGCAGGAAGGAAGGAAGGAAGAAGAAAGGGAGGGAGGGAAGGAAGTGAGTTAAATAAGGGAGAAATGAAGGAAGGGAGTCAAAGGAAGGAAGGAAGTTAAATAGGGAGGGAAGAAAAGAAGAAAGGAAGAAAGGAAGGAAGGAAGGAAGCAAGGAAGGAAGTTAAGAAAGGAAGGAAGGCCAGGAGTTAAATAAGGAAAGAAGTGGGGGAGGGGAGGGAGGAAGGAGACAAAAGACAGGAAGTGGGGAGAGAGAGAGGAGAGGAGAGGAAAGAGGGGAAAAGATGAGGAAAGGAGAGAGAGAGAAAAAATAAATAGCTTTTTTTGTTTGTATAATCTGACATCTTGTAGACAGTTTTTTAGAGAGATCAATTCTGTCCCTTTGAGTTTTATTTTAAAAATTAGAGAAATAGGCTATTTGGCTAGTCTGCAAGACTTGTCATAGCCTCTGGGTTTACTGGGCGATTGGCAGGCCATAGTGTAAATAATGACTTAGAACTACTGGTTCAACTTCTCTTCAAAAATAAGGAACTAGGATCCAAGGTGAGGCCCAGTGACATACAGTGACTTGGTCAATATCGCTCATGGGAAGGCAGTCAAAGCTGTAGGTAGGGCCGGGCGCGGTGGCTCACGCCTGTAATCCCAGCACTTTGGGAGGCCGAGGCGGGCGGATCACGAGGTCAGGAGATCGAGACCATCCCGGCTAAAACGGTGAAACCCCGTCTCTACTAAAAATACAAAAAATTAGCCGGGCGTAGTGGCGGGCGCCTGTAGTCCCAGCTACTTGGGAGGCTGAGGCAGGAGAATGGCGTGAACCCGGGAGGCGGAGCTTGCAGTGAGCCGAGATCCCGCCACTGCACTCCAGCCTGGGCGACAGAGTGAGACTCCGTCTCAAAAAAAAAAAAAAAAAAAAAAAAAAAAAAAAAAAAAAAAAGCTGTAGGTAGGACCAAGTTTTTCCTAACTCCCAGTTCTCTTCATCACATGATAGAATCAGGAGAGAGCTCTTCTCCTCTGTCACCCATCAGTCACCTCTGACCTTGCTATTTATTCCCAAGAGTCAGAGAGGCAGAGTGTACCCTCTGCCTTCGGAGATATCAAAGTCATCAAACCTGGACAAGTGAAAGCTTTGGCTGACCAGGGGCAGGGGAGGTTGGGTGTATCTGGCTGCTTACAATTCAGAAGTTGACATCAGCTCAGCTGCTTGCATGCTGTGCTAAATCTCAACGTGTATAGACTGAAAATCACCCAGTTACTTTGCGAAAACAGCAGTTTAATAAGATTAGGAGGAGTTGAGAACACTTGTTACGTTCAAGGCAATAAAATGAAAAGCAGATCATGAAGCTGAGAATTTGCAATGGAATTCTGAAATCAGCAAGTGGAAGAAATATTGTCTGAGGAGACAGAATTCAAGACATTGGCTTCAGACAGGTCAAGTCAAAACGTACTACCCTTAGAAGAAAATCCAGTTGCCCTTGGTGTAGAAGCAAGCTCCTGCTGCTCTTCTTGGACACCACATTATTATTTATATTGGGAACTCCTACCAATTTACATATCCTATAGATTGACCTGGTCTATTAAGCGCTAAGCCTCAAAGTATTATTGTAACTTAAACTTGCACCAAGTAGTGCTGTGATCTCAATAAATTGTGTCGGGTAGAAGTTCATCAAGTTGGGCAAAGGGGAAGAGAAAAAAATGAAGATTTGTACATGATCAGAATTGAGAATGTTACCCAGCTAAGACATGGCTCACCAAGACATCCCAAGAGGCTGTGCCCAATGCTGGCTTGGTGAGTCGGGAGTTGGCCTTTATAAGTGTCTAACAAGGCCATGTTGCTCAAAGGAAGCAGAAATCTAAGCAGCAAGGGAAATACCTTAGGCAAAAGAGGTCTTGGTGTGATAGAGGTCTTGAGACAATTCTCAAGTGGTTAAGTAGAGTGGGATGGAAAGATTGTGATCTAAAAGAATCTGAGAGGAAAGAAGGGGTCAGATCACTCCGAACGTTGTGTTAAATAAGAAATTTGGGATATAAGCTAAGAGGAGTGGGAGTCATAGAAAGATTTTAGGCAGGAAGTGACAAGAATTGGCTTATATTTTTAAAGGATCATTCTGGCTTTTAGGTAAAACTGATTGCAGGAAGGGCAGGCAAGAATGAAAACAGGGGAACCAATTAGAAGAATATTACAGCAGTGAAGGATAAAAAACGATGCTGGCTTTGACTAGGATGACGGAAGTAAAGACGGAAAGAAGTGAATGCATTGGTAGATATGTGGATGTATGGGTATATGTGTGAATGGATTGATGGGTGAGTGAGTGGGTGAACAGATGGGTGAATGGATGAGTGGATAGATGGGTAGATGAATCGATAGATGGATGAGTGGATAGGTATATGGGTGATGGATGGGTGGATGGTTGAGTAGATGGATGGATGGGAAGATGGGTGGATAGATGGATGGGAGAGTGAGTAGGTGGGTGGATGAGTGTATGAGTGAATGGGTATATGGGTGGGTAAATGGGTGGATGAAGAGATAGGTGGATGACTGAATGGGTGAATGGATGAATGAATGAATAGTTGGATGGATGGGTGAATGGGTGGATGGAAGAATCAGTGGAGGGGTAGATGAATGGATGGATGGATGGATGGATGGATGGATGAGTGTGAGTGGATGGGTGGGTGGATGGGTGGATAGGCAGATGAGTGAGTAGGTGGGTGGATAGGTGGGTAGACAAATGGATGACCGATGAATAAATGGGTGGATAGACGAATGGGTAGATGGGTGAATGGGGGGGGGGTAGATGAGTGAATAGGTGGATGGGTGGATAGATAAGATGGATGGATGATTGGCTGGGTGGGTGGATGGATTTATGAGTGGGCAGGTGGATGGGTGGATGAACGAATGGGTGATGGATGGGTGGATGCTTAGATAGGTGAGTGAATGGATGAATGAATGAAAGGACTGGTGGGGGTGTATGTATGGATGGAAGGGTGAATGTATGGATGATGGGTGAGTGGATGGGTGGATGGATGGAATGGGTAAGTAAGCAGGCAGATGGATGGGTGGATGAATGGGAGAATGGGTGAATGGATAGATGGGTGGATGGGTTGATGGGTGAGCAAGTAGATGGGTGGATACATGGATAAAAGGGTGGATTTGTGAGTGGATGTATGTGCTGATGGGTGAATGTATGGATAAACGGGTATATGGGTGGATTAATGGGTGGATGGGTGAATGGATGGGTAGATGTGTGGATGGATAGATGCGTGAGTGGGTGGGTGGATTTATGGGTGAATGGTGGAGTGGATAATGGGTAGATGGGTAGGTGGTTGTATGAGTGGTAGATGGTTGGATGGATGGATGGATGGATGGATGGATGGATGGATGGATGAATGGATCGATACATGGGTGGGTGGATGGGTGAGTGAATACATTGGTGAAAGTATGGATGGATGGATGGATGGATGGATGGATGGATGGACGCATGGATGGATGGACGCATGGATGGATGGATGGATGGATGGGTGGATGAATGGATAGATGACTACTTAAATGACAAGGTATGCACACTGTTCCCTTTGTCTTGCTGCTTGAACACATAGAGACATTTATTAATTTTCTGTAAGAAGTTCATTGATTATTTAGGATTTTCTCAGTCAGTAGAAAGTAAGTGCAAATGAAAAGTAACCCATTGGTGTACATGAAGAACAAATACTGTGCCATCTCCACCTTGCAGATGAAGAGACTGAGGTCCTTAGAGAAAAGCAGCTGGCCTGTGGATATACAGCCTGGGAAGACGGGGAGTGGAAGTAGAATTTCACTCTTGTACCCTTATTTCTAGGAGTCCTTGCTGCATCCACTTCATGGGGCTCCTGCTGTTGTGTACTCTTTCCAGATAAGGAGAAGATGGTCTAGGAAATAATCCAGGGCATTTATTACTGCCATCAGTCATGGATATATCTTGCAAAGAGGCTGGTGGAAGAAGTCACCACTCTGCGCTGTCCCCCAAGGGATCAGCCATACGGAGTAAAGAATGTGCTAAGCTCTGTTCTGGGGCAAAGTGGAGGCAAGAATGTAAGCACTGCCATTTCACAGGTGTGTGAAGAAGGACCTGCAAGAAAGAAGAAAACAAAATGGGTTGCATGTGTAGATATAGGTATATCTACATCTAAAGACAGAGAGAAACCACAGCATTCAGAAAGAAGATTTTGAGTTTGATTATTTCAGAGGTCTGGGTATGTATCCAGTGAGGATGAGAAACAGGGACAGAAAAAAAGTGAATGAATGACAGAGTGAGAGTTGCTTTATATTTATATGGGCAGAGGAAGGTGTATGAATGTGTGTCTAGGTGTGTAGATGTGTTTGTGTGTATTTGTGTGTGAGTGTGCATCAATGGTTGTGTGCATGTGTATTTACTTGTATTTTTATTCATATGTATGTGGGTGAAAGGGAAAGATTTTGAGACATCTCTGAGGATGCACACTTCAGGATTGTATGTGCACTCAAGGGAAGGAGGTAACATTATTTGTCATTTGACAGTTTAGGGACGTGTGGGCTCGCAATGGGAGGTGGCAGGGGTTAGGAGAAGGAAAAGAGAGACAGAAAAAGAGAAAGGGAGGCAGAGAGAGACAGATAAGGCATAGGGGAAAAGGGAGAGAGAACCACGCCACCCATCACAGAGGCTGCCAGAAGCTCTTGGCCCACCCCCACCCGCCCAGAACATCTCTGCTGTCCTAGAATGGTTTTAATCCCAGTACGCTGTGATCACCCTGCCTATTTTATGGTATGTCAGTCCTCTATACCACTAGAAATTGCTTGGAAAAGGACCTCATTTTTTTTCAGACCACTAAAAGCGGCCCTTCTCTGTTTCTGGTTTCTCTTAAATGCAGTCGTGGAGAGGTAGATGGATTATTTTCAGCCTATCTCAGTACTGTGGCAAGGTGGCAAAGGCCTCCAGGCTATCCTGGGAAGGAGGAATGCATGGTGGAGGGGAAAAGGATTTCATTAGATCATGCCCCAGGTTGTTCAAGTGAAAAATGGAGAAAATAATAATATCTTTCTTGCCCTCACAGATGACTCTGGAAAGGAAGAGTAAATCTCTACTCTCCAGGAGTTCCCTGGAAGGCAGATTTTATAGAAGCTATGGAAGAGGGTGTGGCCATTTTCAGAGAAGAGGAGATATTTAGACTGAGAAGTCAGTGAATGTTTCAAGGAGACGCAGGTGAAAATTCTTCCGTTAGGGTAGCTAGGCTGCAATGTTGTGGATTTGGTCTGTTCTTGGTCAGTATCTTCTAGTGCAGTTGAATTCTAATCAGACTAACCTGTTTGGAGAATGGAGGATCCAGCCCTTATGCTTTTAAGAATCACTTGGCCGGGCGCGGTGGCTCACGCCTGTAATCCCAGCACTTTGGGAGGCCGAGGCGGGCGGATCACAAGGTCAGGAGATCGAGACCATCCCGGCTAAAACGGTGAAACCCCGTCTCTACTAAAAATACAAAAAATTAGCCGGGCGTAGTGGCGGGCGCCTGTAGTCCCAGCTACTTGGGAGGCTGAGGCAGGAGAATGGCGTGAACCCGGGAGGCGGAGCTTGCAGTGAGCCGAGATCCCGCCACTGCACTCCAGCCTGGGCGACAGAGCGAGACTCCGTCTCAAAAAAAAAAAAAAAAAAAAAGAATCACTTACCACAGTCTGGAATTTACTGGAGACATGCAATGGCTTAGCGGCAATCCAAGAGAATAAGCTACAGGGACGTGCAGTTTGGGCTGCACCAGGCTGGATTCCCAGGCTCAGGCAGGTGGACTCAGTAAACATTTATGGAAGGTTTTCAATGTGCCCAGCAATGGGCTGTGTACTCGGGCAATGCAGGGAACACAACACACCAAGTCCCACTTTTGTAGAACTTTACAGATAAGTGGGAGAAGATAGTTCAGAGTCAATGACTTAGATGATACAGATAGTGACAAGAGATGTGAAGAAAATACAGCAATGGATTGGATAAAGAGTGATTGGCTAGGAACATTATTAGAGTGATGGTCAGGAAAGGCCCCCTGAGGAGGCATTACTTGGGCTGAAATATGAATGATAAGAAGGGAGATGTGAAAGCTTGAAGGTCACCCTAAGAGCAGAGATTTATTTCTACATGCAGCCAGGAGCCATTGAAGGGCTTTAGTAGGAAAGTGAAACATTCTGGATATTGGGTGGAAAGTGGATTGAAGGGTGTTTGGCAAGAGCAGAAAGCAAAGGGACCAATTAAGAGTTCACTGCAGCAGTCCAGGCAATAGACAACTAACTGTGCCTTGAAGTAGAGTGAGAGTAGTGGAGATAATAAGGAGTGGTTGTCTCTACACCCACCTGAATAGCTACAATTAAAAAGACTAATGAGACCTAGTGATGGCAAAGATATGAAGAAAATGGGACTCTCAAACACGGCTGGTTGGAGTATAAATTGTTATAAACAGTTTTTTAAATGCTTGGCAGGATCTTCTAAAGCCAAATATACATATATCCTAAGACTCAGCAAGTCCACCCCTGAGAATATGCCCAACAGAAACAAGTGTTCATGCTCACCCAAAGAAATGTAAAATAATTTATATAAACTTTATTCATGGCAGCCCCAAACTGGAAAACCAAATGTCCATCAACAGGAAAATAAAGAAGCGAACAGATGACTGAATCACTTACAACATGCACGAAACTCACATAGACAGTGTTCAACAAAGGAAGTCAGTCACAAAAGAGTACATACCATCTGAGTCCATTAATGTGCAATCAAGAACAGATGATAGAGGTCATCATAGTGGTTACCTTTAGTGATGACCATAGTGATTACCAGAATGAGACACAAGGAGCCTTCTACGATGCTGGAAATGTGTATCTTGTTGTGGACTGAAGCAGAGATGCATTCATATGTACAAATGAATGAAGCTTAATACTTAAGATTTGTGTACAATTTTGTGTGTAGATTCTGCCTAAATGGTAAAGTTAATAGGCATGGTTTAGCAGGAACATGTTTTGAGGTACATTCAAAGATCCAACAGGACTTGCTGACAGATTTGGTATAAGGTATGAGAAGGAAAGAGATGAATCAAGTATTGCTTTTGAGTTCGTGCCCTGTTCCATGTGGAAAAGGCATGTTGCTCAAGGATCCGAACTTCCTCTTGCCATTTTACAAGTAAGGGTGAACACTGATGTCTAGGGTGAGAAAAAAAAAAATCTAGGTCCCTCAGCAATCAGGTGAGCATAATAGTAAGGAAGCCAAACCCACAGCTCTTAGGGAAGCAGAACTTTACAAGTGGTTTGGCATTCAGGGGGAGAGCTGCCACCTGTGGTAAGGTGAACGTGTAGGAATATGGCATGGCCTCTGTATTAGTCTGCTTTGTGTTGCTATAAAGAAATACCTAAGCCTGGGTAATTTACAACGAAAAAGGTTTAATTGGCTCATGGTTCTGCAGGCCATACAGGAAGCATAGCAACATCTGCTTCTGGTGAGGCCTCAGGAAGTGTCCAATCATGGTGGGAGGAGAAAGGGGAGCTAGTGGGTCACATGGTGAAAAAGGTAGCCGTAGAGAGAGGAGGAGGTGCCAGCCTTTTTAAAATAACCGGATATTCCATGAACTAACAGAGTGAGAACTCACTCATCACCAAGGGGCGGGCACCAAGCCATTCATGAGGGATCTGCCCCCATGCCCCAAACACCTCCCACTAGGTGCACCTCCAACACTTGGGGTCACATTTTAACATGAGATTTGGAGGGGAAAAATATCCAAACAATATCAGCCTCCATCTTACAAAAGGCCTGTAGGCAGAAGTGGTCATCAGAGCAGGAAACAGAGCAGACGTTTTATCCTGTGGACCAGGGCACAAGACAGGATATAAGTGAAGCGTGCTGTGGCAGAGAATGAGTAGATGTGCACCAATCCCACTTCCCTGGCCTAAGAGCATGGGGAGACTGCAGTTCCTGCCTCCCCGGCTCTTGAGCTGAGGCCACATGCTGATTCTGGCAAGTGGAATGTGGGTGAGCAAATGTACACCATTTCCAGGCCCAGCCCTGCTTCTCTCTGAGATCCTCGGTTCACTCTCTTTATTCAGAGCATAAGGATCCAGCTTAAGACCACACAACCCTATGCGAAAAGTTGAGCCTCAAGATGGAAGGAAAGTAGATTGCTAAATCATTGCACATAATGCTGCTGGCTCAATGCCTGATCGGGTTGTGACATGAGTAACAAATAGGCCATTGCACCAAGTCTTTGAGATACAGGGGTTGTTACAGCAACTAGAGTTAATTACCCTAGCATGCGTGTGTTCAGAATCTAAGGACTAATCTAAGGAAGATGGGGCCGTTACAATGTGGGAGCTGGGATTCTCTGAGATCCAGTTAGCTCTGAGGAGGGTGCTGGTAGGGTGGGACGTATGAGACTGAGCCCATACGATGGAAGTGCTGAGGAAAGACAGAGCTGTTAAACCTCTGTCTTTGGGAGAAGAGTCTAAGAACTTGGCTGTAACTGTGGACCCCAAGAACACAGCTGTGGGGGCGCTACAACTAGGAGATGTAGAGAAACTCATCCATCTATCCATCCAGCCAGTACTTCCCATCACTCACTATGCACTGAGCATGTTGGATGCATGGAACAATTGAACAGACATGGGTTCTGCCTTCTTGGAGTTCAAAGACTGCACCTGAAATTAAAGGTGGGATAGCTGATGCTTTATTCATGGGTTAACTCTTCATAGAGAGAAATAAGCACCTTACTGCGTCCTTTACCCTGAAAACCCACCTTGGAGAGTCTCTTGGCACGGCCAACCCAAGTTGGTCCAGCCCTGAGCAACTGGAGAAAGAAGCAGATTTAGCTTCAGAAGGTAGGTGGAGACTGTTGGAGCAGCCCAGGCTTGGGGCAGTGGGATAGTCTGAGGCGTTGTTCCTACTTGAGGTTTCCCCAGTTGCCTTACGGGTAGTCACTTATCACACTCCTGGGGATAGGTAACATTCTATGGTGTGTGTGAGCTTGCTGTGCTTGTGTGGGATGCCATTGCAAAGTCCATCTAAGCCCAGGTCAAGGAAGGTGCAGGGGTCCTCGATGGAAACAATTGTCAGCTCATTATGGAAACTACTCTGGGGACAAGGGCCAAATGGAAATGATGAGGATTCTCTGTGCCAGGCCAGCTTTCTCTCTAGCAGTCCCTCCCTGAGCTGTCTGAGATACAGGCTTACCAGTGCTCAGATCTCTATTGGTGAGAATCAGGGGCTTGCCTCCCCTCCAAATTTGTCACCAGCATTGTCTTCACTCTATGATGAATAATTACAGCAATGATAAATAGTATTAATGATAGTAATAAACTCTGTTTATTGACGCCCTTCTACCGCTAGTCACTTTGTATTACTTCCTTGAATCTCAAGCTTGGCACTGCCTCTTCTTGCAGGTGACACCATGGAGCATCAGGAATGAGAATGTGCAGGAAACAATATGATGAATTAATTGAGTGCTTGCTACATGTCAGGCACCACGCTTACTGCTTTAGATTGCTAGATCTTTCAACAAACCTATCACTTAGGCAGCATTAGTAGCCCCATTGTGTCAAAGGACTGAGTTTTAGAAAGGTTGAGTAGCACAGCGAAGGTCACACAGACAAGGACACGGCAGAGCAGACATTGAATGCAGCAGCCTGGCCTCAGAGCCTATCCACACAATAACTACACTACACCGCCAGTAACATGCCAGTCTAGAACGTTCTGCAGGAGGACTAAGCTAAGGCCATCAACAGCTTTGACATTTTGTGCAGAAAGTCAGTGCCATGGCAGGGCCCAGAATTCCACTGAGAAAGGAAAGTCTGCCTTACATAGAAGCAGTGATTCTTTGGGGCTTCTAAAGGATGCCTGGGCTCCAGTTCTCTGCCTTTCTGGGAGACACAAGGACATGGATCACATACAAAGTGAGTTTGGTCATCCAGACCACCTTCCTGTTCCCTGCATTCCTCCAGGAAATGATGCTGATTGGCAGTTAGGGCAGAGAGTGGGCTAAGCAACTGAGCACTGGCTAGTAGGTCAGCACCTAGGAGGGGCTGCCCTTGACAATGCTGTGAGCGTGGTGTAAATCCTGAGAAAGCTAGACCTGGTGAACTTCTTTTTCAAAACTGAAGGCTGCACGTTCATTTCTATTTTGTGGCATGCAAAGCAGGTTCACATTCATTAGCTCATTGAATTTGAACCTCAAAAAATAAGTCCTGGTAAGCAAGCAAAGCAGAAACTATTATCCCCAACTCCAGTGGGCAGATATTGTCATTCCCATGCTATAGATAAAGAGAGTGGATTTTGATGTGCTGAGGTCATTGGTCCAAGGTCACACAGTTCTGTAGTGATGGACCAGCAGTCTCTGTAGTCCAAAGTTTACATTGCAAAGCATTAGACCCCACTGGCTCCCTACAACAAATACCTTCCCATTGTTGGCTCCATGCGCTGCACCTGCTTCCTCCTGTGTCCTCAGTAGCTGTCACCATATAAGTAAGACACATAGTAGTTGCTCAGTGTGTTCATTCAATGTATTGATGGATGGATGAGTGGGTGGATTTTCTGCCTCAAGATACAATCATGACTTAGATGACATAATAATGGAGTGAGTCTGCCTCTACCTACTAAGATCTAGTAAAAATCCATCAGCTGCTGCCCTGAAGTTTGTACAGGTACCATAGCAGTCTAAATGCATTGACTTCTCTGTACTCACCCTAAAATTCTCTCTCCTTCATTATTAATATTTTTTCTTTTTTTGAAAAATAACTACGCACTATGTAATTTAATTTCAGTAAACCCATAGGAAGCGCCTATTATCATCCCTATTTCATAGATGAGAAAATTGAGGCCCAGAGAGGTGAAGTAACTTTCCCAGGTTCACACTGTTGCTCAGTGGCAGAGCTGAGATCCTAATTATGATCTGTCTGTTGCTGAAGATCACAGTCCTAGTCAGGTTATACTGATTTTCTGCCAACAGTGGTTCTATCGAGATTGTTCAGAGGAGCATAGGGTGTTTGCAGCTTCAGGGAGCCTGACCATACAAAGCTCACCTTGTAAAATCAACCCTTGCAACTTCCACCTTCCCCCACACCAATAAAGGAGGAGGAAGCCAGCAGAGAGATCTTGCTTTGCTTGTCAAGAAGCTTCGGATTAGAAAGCTAGTTAACAATTCATCTAAAATGAGCAGAGGATTCCAAGCATATCCAAATTAATATTTATAGAGGGAATGCTTGCTCAGACCCAATTATTCTGAGGGCCTAGAAGCTGAGCACAAGTGGTGCATAAAGGGAGGGAGTACGGATGCCAGGGGAAGCTAGCCCTGGGGACTGTTGCCAGGATGCTGTTAGGTGCCAAACATGGGGCATCAGTGAGGCCTGGGGAGTGAACAAGCAGGTGTCTCACCCCACAACTGTTTATTTACAGCTAAGCACTAGGCTTCACCATAGCTTTAATTCTCCTCTTCAGCACAGGATATGGGCAGAGCTCACCTTTGCAGAGGCCTACAGTGATTGGGCAATAAGGAAATTTGTAGATGGGCCAGATGGAGACTCTGGAATCTGGGGATAAGGCACCACCACTTCTGGCCTCCTGTTCATAACTGCCAGGGGGAACAGAGGCCTGGCCTGGTTTGCCAGATTTCTTTGTATAGAAAATTCAAATGTTAATATAAAATCTCCATAGCAGCAAATTGTCATTTTCAAATAGTGAGAGGGTCCAACAAAGCATGCCCACGTCAGTTTTGGCCCCCACACTGCCGCAGGTCAGAACCTCTGGTCTAGAGGCTGGAGTCTGAAATTATTTCCACTGGCTTTGACGAAGTCCTGCCATTTTTGCCGTATAGAATTCTTCCAGCACTGGCTTAATATCAATCCATCTTTGATGGTATTTCTCCAGGTTCTAGCCTACTCAGCCCATTACAATCATAGAACCTGGAGTTCCCTTTAAAACTCTCTACCCACCACTGAAAGGAAGAAAAAATAGTCTCAGTTATTATTCCCAAGACTTTAATGTCACCATGAGAATATTCTCCCTCCAGCCGCCTACTCAATGACACTCATTTATAGGTCTCTGATCTCTAAATCTCTCTCCTATTCCTCTTCCACATAACACCAGTGGGAACTTTAGAAAATTCAAATCTGATTGTATGATTCTTCTGTTCAAAACCCTTCAAAGACTCCCCATTGCCTTCCTGAAAAAGATCAGCCTCCTTAGAATGGTGGTTAAAGTCCTACACGATCTGGCCGTAGGATGTCTCTTCCACTTTATCTCCTACCACCTCTAGCCTTGCAGTCTATAACAATGAGAAATGTTTATTTGAAAGCAACAGAAAATGTCTCTGAGTAACCGAAGCAGAGTAGGAAACCACTGTCTTCCAGCTCTAACCATCACCATCGTCAGTTGCCTGGATCTTAGCTTCTCCAATTGCCCAATTCAGTCTGTTTTCAATATAATAGAGAGATCATTTTAACCTTGAACCAATCTATGTTTCTCTCCTGCTTAAAACCTTCCAAGGACTTCCTATTTCACCAAGAATAAAAATGAAATCTTTATCACGATTTACAATAACTAACATTTATTGAGTACTTACATACCAGACACTTTTCTAAGCACTTGAGCTTGACATATCTTAATATGTCAAACCACTTTGTGGGGTAGGTTTTGTAAGTAGCCTCATTCAATGGATGAAAACACTGAGGCATCGAGAGGTCTGTTACTTTGACCAGCGGCTCATAGCTGGAAGGTAGTGAATTTGAAAAGATAGGCTGACTCCAGAGCCCAAGATTTCATCCACTAAACTGCACTCATATGCTGCCTGTTGTTTTCTGACATCATGCCCTTTCACTCTGCTCCAGACTAACTAATCTCATTACTGTTCTTCAAATGTGTTGTGTTCATTTCAACCTCAGCGTCTTTGATCCTCCTATTTCTCTACCTAGAAATCCTTCCAGGCAACTCTATATGGCTCCTCCCTGGACTTTCTGTCTTGACTAGCACCTCTCCTCCTCTAAGAGGTTATCTCCCTAAACCACATCCGTTTTCTCCAAAGCACTAAGTCAATGGAAAGGTGGGGAGGGGAGTAGTTTGAAAAGGGCAGGAACCAAAGAGCTTTGGGAGATCCTTGTGGTAGGTGCCAATGGAGTTACTCCAGGTTGCTCACTAGAATGAATTAGCTCTTTTAAGGTTTCCATCTTTAATAAGCGAAGTCCAAGGAGAGATAAATTCCTGTTGGCATACTCTTGATCATGTATCTCATTCTTGGCTAAGGTAGAGTGAGGCATCTTTTTTGACAACCAGGGCAACTGATACCTTGGTTCAAGTTGGAGAAAAATGCCCTTTCCCTGAAATAGGCACAGCTCTCCACCAGGATGCATGGTTGGTGAACAGAACCAGGGCAGGATTTCAGCCCTCAAATCAGCCTTGGTCAGTCATGTTTGTGCAGTGCTCAACCTGCACAACCACATGTGGCCACTTAGCTAGGACTGCTCACAGATGAGAAAGAGGTAATTCCCCTAATGGGAGCCAGGGATATCACTAAAATAATAATAATAATAATAAAGATATATACTGAGTAGCAAAAAAAAAAGTCACTAATGAACAACAGATATTCTCAACCAGTAGTTCTCAATTCAGATTACTCACTAGAATCGCCTGATGAAATTTACATATATTCGGATTCTAAAGTCCTACCCAAAACCAAAGTAAATTAGTTCTGGAGGTGGCACCTAAGAATTAACACTTTAAAAAGCATTGCTAATGATTCCAATTTGCTGCCAAGTTTGAAAACCAACGCTCTAAACTCTACCTCCACTGAATGCTGTAGTTTCTTAACTGGATTTTAGTATGTATTGTTTTCATGCCATTGTTCCGGCCATCATCATTCCCTAGAATGCTTACAAATGCTACACATACACACAAACACACACACACACACACACACACACACTCACACACCACACCTTTGTTGCGATAACTCCTGCTGACATCCTGAAGGAAGCTTACCTGACCTGCACTGCTCCACTCCCACTCTTCTTGATCACTGCACACTCCACAACTTACTGTCTGTCAAAATACCCATATATCCCTCCCTCTAAACTAGGAACTCTCTGAAAACAGGCTCTGGGCCAGATTCACAATAGACCTAAAGATCTCACCCTAGAGACCTAATCCTGAAACCCATGGACTTGTGATTGTTGCCCTAACATCTCTCCATTTCCTGCCAACACCACACCCCAGCCTGAGCTGATTCAAGGTTTTAGGTGTCCCATCAGCACCATGGTTTCTTCAATCCAGAATCCACATTTCTACTTGATTGTGAAAATCTGTGTTTCTCAGAAATCTTGATAGTTCAGACTCCCTGGATTTGTGTTCTGGGCTGCATTGGACTGCCTTTTGAACTTTATTTTTATTTTTTGCTTTTTTAAAATATCTTTTGCCCTTTGAATTAGTAAATGTGGACTAGTGCTTCTTTTTGCCTGCAATAAAGCCATCCACCCACTCTGTCTCAGTTAAAATTCCTGGGTCACCTCTTCACTTCACTCCTTTCTCTCCAGTGTTTTTCAACTTTCCCTGCAGCCTAAGCTATATCCTTAAAGAAAGAAAACAAAACCCTTTTACATTCTTCCTGCCTTTCATCTCCCTAAGACTCGGACTTCTGCTATCTGCCAGCCTCACTCTGCTTTCCCTGAGAAAAGCAGCCAGGACTTGAATTAGAAGGATGGTCCAAAGAAAGGATTTTGCCTGATGTATGCATGCAGTTTTTCCTTGATGTGCTAGAGACAAATGAGGGAAGGATTTCATACAGAGCTTCTGTCTCTGCTGGGTGTCAACAGCTGCTCCTGAGTCAACAGAGCAATGGTGTGTATCTGGACTGAAGAGAACAAAGGTTGCTTAAATTGTTTTCCATCCCCTCTGAAACCAATAAGTGCTACTCCACTGCTTAGCGCAATTGAGTTCCTGAACGGTGGTGCAGCAGGGTGTCAAATCAAATCTTAATTCTGTCAAATGCTGGCTTGATGAGCTTACAGAAGCAGGTGCAAGGCCAATAGGGGAGAGGTCAGGGGGTCCTATTCCAACTGGCTATGCCAGGGGCCCCAGTGAGACACTCTTCTCCAGGAGAAAGGACAGCCATTCCACTAAATATTTGAGATCTTAGAGATACTTTCCAGTGGGTTTAATATGGCCGTGAGCCAAAGCACATGCCACATCTGACTTTATGATAAAGTTCAACAAGACAGGTAGGAATCAAAACACATGGGGTTGATGAAATGTTAAAAGGAGGGAGGGATGGATGGTCATGAAATGGTTACTGAGGGTTACACCCTAGAGAGATATCAGTGAATAAGATCAAAGATCCCTGCATTTAAGGGGCTGGCGTTCTAGGCGTCGTCTCCCTCCAATTCACTCTAGAGAAGCACAACTCTTGAAAGATGAAAAGCTTTCAAGAGATACCAAAGGACAAAAGATAAAAGGACAGATCCCATTCTCTCAGAGGTATTGAAAAATCCAGCCTTTCTGGCAGACTGATTTTTTTTTTTTGTTGTTTGAGACAGGGTCTCAGTCTGTTGCCCAGGCTGGATTGCAGTACAATCTCCATCTCCCAGGCTCAAGCGATTATCCTGTTTCAGCCTCCTGAGTAGCTGGGGTTACAGGCGTGTGCCACCATTCTCAGCTAATTTGTGTATCTTTAGTAGAGTTGGGGTTTTGCCATGTTGGCCAGGATGGTCTTGAACTCCTGACCTCAAATGATCAAAACCCCACATGACACTGGGCATCTATCCCTCCCTCCTTTTATCATTTCATCAACTCCATGTGCATTGATTCCTACCTGCCCTGTTGAACTTTATCATAAAGTCAGATGTGGCACGTGCTTTGGCTCATGGCCATATTAAACCTACTGGAAAGTATCACATGTCCATCTCTGAAACATGTTTTGTTGGAGCTATTAAGAAAGAAAAATTATCCACTGGGGTTGTTAAACAGAGAGAATGGGAACTTGAAACTGCTGGGCCCATCCTTCTGGCTCATAAGAAAAGCCTGCTTCAGGGGAAAGCCCAGGCAAGAGATGAAAGAGTGACATTGTTTGTATCTCTGTATTCTTTTGTTGTTGTTTTTGAGATGGAGTCTCCTCTGTCACCCAGGCTGGAGTGCAGTGGCACTATCTCAGCTCACTGCAACCTCCACCTCCCAGGTTCAAGTGATTTTCCTGCCTCAGTCTCCCTTGTAGCTGGGATTATAGGCACACACCACCATGCCTGGCTAATTTTTGTATTTTTATTAGAGACAGGGTTTTACCATGTTGGCCAGGCAGGTCTCGAACTCCTGACCTCAAGTGATTCACCCACCTTGGCTCCCAAAGTGCTGGAATTACAGGCATGAGCCACTGCTCCCGGACCGTATTCTTTTTACAGATTTATTAAATTAGAATAGACATACTATAGCTGTGTTATTTAAAATGTATTATTGGCCCGGAGTGGTGGGTAATGCCTGTAATCCCAGCACTTTGGGAGGCCAAGGCAGGTGGATTATTTGAGGTCAGGAGTTGGAGACCAGCCTGGCCAACATGATGAAACCCAGTCTGTACTAAAAATACAAAATTTAACTGGCATGGTGGCGCACACTGTAATTTCAGCTACTCGGAAGGCTGAGGCAGGAGAATCGCATGACCCAGGAGGTGGAGGTTGCAGTGAGCTGAGATTGTGCCACTGCACTCCAGCCTGGGTGACAGAGTGAGACTCCATCTCAAAAAATAAATAAATATAAATAAAGTGTATAATGACGTGACTTTGAATATATGCATATACCAGTAAAACCATCACCGTAATCAAGTTAATGAACATAAACATCATCTTTGAAGGTTTTCTTGAGTCATTTTGTAATCCCTACCATTCCCGAGCAGCCTGTTTTGTCACTATAGTATAATCTGCATTTTCTATAATTTTATAGCATGCACTCTTTTTTTTATTTTTGATCTGGCATCTTTAGCGCAGGATAAGTATTTTAAGTGTTCTCCATGTTGTTGTGTGTTTCACAGGTTCATGCCTTGATCACGGTCAAGTCTTTTTGTGGCATTGGCCTTTATTTATCTTGGGGAAATACCTGGGGATGGAATAATTGGGTCATATGATAAATGTACATTTATCTTTTAATGGAACTGGCAAATTGTTTTTCATAAGCATTGCATGTCATATGACTTTATATCCTTACCCTTCGTGTATGAATTCTGCTTGCTCCACATCACCTGATATGGCTAGTCTTTTTATTTTAATTTTAGCTATTCCAGCGGTTGTATCTCATTACAGTTTTGATTTTAGTTTCCATAATGACTAACGATGAGGATATTTTCATGTGTTTATTTGGCATCCACATATCTTCTTCGGTGAACTATCTGCCAAATCTTTTGCCCATTACTTTACCGGATTGTTTGTTTTTTTTGGTATTGAATTCTGAGACTTCTTTATCAGAGCTAGATACAGGTCTTTTGTCAAATATATGCTTTGCAAATATTTCCTGCCAGTTTGTCATTTGCCTTTTGATTTTTGTTTTTGAAGAACAAAAAATTTTAATTTTAATAAAATCCAATTTATTGGTATTGCTTCTTTTATACTTTTTGGTGTTTGTGTTTTATTTAGGAAGTCTTTGCCAAACTTAAGGTCACTGAGATTTTCTTCCATGATTTATTCTAGAAGTTTTAGATTTTATCTCTTACATTTAAATCCATAACCCATTTTGAGTTATGTTTTATATATTGTATGATGTAAGTGTTGAGGTTCTTTCTTTCTTACTTTTTCTCCCCATTTCTTCCTTCTTTCCTAATCAATTACTATTGAAAATATGATTCTTTCCCCCACTGAATTGCACTGGCACTTTTGTGAAAATCTGCTGACCTTATATGCGTGGATCTATTTATTTCTGGACTCTACAGTCCATTCTGTTGATCAATGTATCTGTCTTTACACCAATGCCAGTATTTTGTTTCCTCTAGTTCCTCCAGCTTTTTTTTTTTTTTTTTTTTTTTTTAACATGGAGTCTCAATCTGTCACCCAGGCTGGAGTGTGGTCACATGATCTCGGCTCACTGCAACCTCCGCCTCCTGCGTTCAAGCGATTCTCCTGCCTCAGCCACCAGAGTAGCTGGGACTACAGGTGCGTGCCACCATGCCCGGCTAATTTTTTATATTTTTAGTAGAGATGGGATTTCACCATGTTAGCCAGGATGGTCTCGATCTCCTGACCTCGTGATCCTCCTCCTGCCTCGGCCTCCCAGAGTGCTGGGATTACAGGCATAAGCCACCCCGCCCGGCCAGATTCCTCTAGCTTAAAACTAAGTCTTGAAATCAGATATTATAAGCTATCCAACTCTGTTCCTCAAACTTGTTTTGGCTATTGTAAGCCCTTTGCATTTCCATATAAATTTTAGAATCAGCTTGTAAAGTACCACAAAAAATAGCCTGCTGGAATTTTTATTTGAGTTTGAGGCGAATAGGCAACTTCTTAATAATACTGAATTTTCTGCTCTACGAACACAGTATATCTTTCTAATTTTGTAGGTCTCTTTAATTTATACTGTCTATCTATATAATCTTCAGTGTACAGGCATTGTATATTTTTATCAAAATTATCCCTATGTATTTCTGTCTTTAAATTTTCAGTAACTTATAGCATATAAAAATAACATAAATCTTATATCTGTACATTTACAACACTCCTTTGAATCCATCTATTGATGTGGGTCCTTTGTAAGTCTTCATTTTCTGGTTTTGCTCAATTGCTCTGTTGAGCATTCTCATCTCTGTCTCTACTTGCCATGGTCTCAGTCCTTTTACTGGCCCTTTGCATGGCATTCTTATTCCCATTTTTCATGGCCTCATCATAAAAGCCCAGCTCATCCTGAACTTGTCACTTGGAACTTGCTCTGACCACTGATTTATAAACACCTAGTGCTGACTCCCACCCAAAGCACATAGAAATTTACTTTGCTCTTTCAAGAGGGACAAGCTCATCTGCAGCAGATACATTGGTTTAGCTCAACCTCTGCCCATACCTGATCATTCATCTATTCCCTAGACATTTGCAGTCCAACAGTTTTTTTTTAACCTGGTTCCCAGATTATCCCAGGTATGAAGCATAGTTTGTGACGCCCTGGATTTTGTCAGAATAAAAAAAAAATTGGAATTCTTCCACATTCTCTATGACAATGATTGTGGGGAGGGCTTCCTGGTGTAATATAAGTCATAGAAGCGACAAATCAAAGACCATTCAATATTACAAATATCCAGTTAGAAATAAGTGGGAGGAGGGAGGCCCATTCACAATAGTCATAAAACCTATAAAATATCTATGAATAAATTTAGCAAGCATGGTACTTATCTGAATAAAACTATAAAATTTTATTAAAGAGCATAAAACGTGATCTGAATTAATGGAGAGACATAGCATGCTACCGAATGGGATGACTTTGTATCATAAATTATCTACTCTTTCCAGTCTAATAAAACTATTTACCAACATTTCTATCAGAATTCTTACATTTTATACTTTTAATATTTTCTTTTTCTCTTGAATAATTTTTAGAGAAATGGAACAAAATAAGATCATTAAAGAACAAATTTGGAATGATTTCCATACAATTTTTGGAAAAGAAGAATGATGGGGAAGGAATTGTCCTACCACCCATATAAAAACATACTCTGAAGATGCTCTAGTCAAAACAGTATTGTTATTAAAATAGAGAGATAACAGATATTACAGTAAAAAGCAATAGAGTATGCAGAAATACATCCTTGTATATAAATAAACATATGACAAATGTAACATTTCAATTTAAATTAGAAATGAAAGGTTCATTTAATAAAAGTTTCTAGCATAATAGGCCACCCATCTGGGAAGACACAAAGCTAAATTCTTCCTATAAAAAACACAAAGAATGAACTCAAAGTGCTGAAAATTTTAAAATTAAAATAATACATAATAAAGTATGAATACACACTTACTGACAATATTTATCAGATTTCAGATTGAAGAAGCACTTCTTAAATAACAAAGAGCACTTCAGAAACCACCAACGTGACTATTAGAAAATAAATGAAGGTAAAGGATAGTAGTATAAAATCAAAAGACAAATAAGAGACTGGAAAAATAGAAATTTGAGGCATTGCAAATAAAAGTTAATGTTTATATCAGATGATTCAGAAATGTTAAGGAAAAAGTTAAGCACCTCTTTGAGAAATCACGAACAAAGAATATCAACAGAGTATTTGTAAAGATGCTGGTAACTGCTCTATAACATCTGAATATCCATAGCTGAATACATTAAGTTTCTGTATCCCTTCTAGGAAGACTAAAATAGATCTTCTTATGTAGTAGGTGATCATTAATATACATTCCCATACTCTTTCCTATTTTAGCTCTGCCCTTCTCCAGGAGTTCAGAGTCCTCTGAATTAAGTTGGCACTTGGGAGACAGAAATAAAAATCACAGATGGGAGGATTTGAGGGGATAGGTCTGAGAGTAAAGAAGCCCATGACTTTTGTTTGCATTACATTGGACAGAAATCAGTCACATGATCATACTCTCCTGAAAAGGAGGCTGGGAAGTGTAGTTCTGTTAACATGCTCAAGAAGAGGAAATGGGATTTGATGACCCACTGGAAGACTCTGCTATAATTTGGCAATTCAGAGGAGCAGATATCAGTGACCAATAAACATACAGTAGGAGGCTCAAAATTAGTATTCAGGAAAAGAAAATTAAAATGTCACCTCTTATTCAACAAACTGGAAAAAAATTAAAAGTGATAACACAAATTTGGCAAGGAGATAAAGGAAAGGGATACTTTATGTATTTCTAGTAGAAATAAGAAATGCTATAGCCTTTTAGGAAAGCAGTCTGATAATATTGATTGCATTTTTTAAAATCACATATATCTTCAAACTTGGAAATCCTACTTCAGGTATCTATCCATAAAAACAAATGCACAAGTAAATAAAAATATGTAGGCAGAGATATCCTTGCAGCATGTTTAAAATGACAAAAAACAAAAGCCAGAAACATCCTGAATGCTCATAAATAAATAAGGAGTTGAACAAATCACAGTATGTTCACTCCTCGAAATACTATGCAGTTGTAACAAAAGACTGAATTAGATTTACACATGTTATCCTAGAGATATGCTTACAAGGTATTGTTAAGTGAGAAAAGCAAGGTACAAGAACTAGTTTTGGTATGGCGTAATTTTGCATAGCAAATTTTGCACAACAAATTCTGCACAGCAAAAAATAACTATCAACAAAGTAAACAGACAACCTACAGAATGACAGGAAATTTCTGCAATGTATTCACCTGACAAGGGTCTAATATCCAGCATCTATAAGGAACTTAAAGAAATTTACAAGAGAAAAACAACCCCATTAAAAGTGGGCAAAGGATATGAACAGACACTTTTCAAATGAAGACATACATGCTGCCAACAAGCATATAAAAATGGTCAACATTTTTAATCATTAGAGAAATGCAAATCAAAACCACAATGAGATATCATCTCATACCGGTCATGATGGTTATTAAGACGTCAAACAATAATAGATGCTGGCAAGGCTGTGGAGAAAAGGGAATGCTTCTACACTGCTGGTGGAAATGTAAATTAGTTCAGCCATTTTGGAAAGCATTCGCAGTGATTACTCAAAGAACTTAAAACAGAACTACATTAGCTCCAGCAATCCTGCTATTGGGTATATAACCAAAGAAATATAAATCACTCTGCCATAAAGCCATATGCACATTGTTCATGTATGAACAATATATGTTCATTGCAGCACTATTCACCATAGCAAAGACATGCAATCAACCTAAATGCCAGTCAATGACAGACCAGATAAAGGAAATGTGTACACATATGCCATGGAATACTACACAGCCATAAAAAAGAAAGAGATCATATCCTTTGAAGCAACATGAATGGAGCTGGAGTCCATTATCCTCAGCAAACTAATGCAGGAACTGAAAACCAAATAACACATGTTGTCACTTAAGAGAGTATCTCTTTCCTTTATGTCCTTAAGTGGGAGGTAAACACTGAATACACGTGGACACAAAGAAGGGAACAATAGACACCAGGGTGGAGGGAGGGTGAGGATTGAAAAATTGCTGTCAGGTACTATGCCTATTACCTGGGTGACAAAATAATTTGTATAACAACCAAAACCCCACAACACACAATTTACGTATAAAACAAACCTGCACATGTACCCAGAAAATAAATTAAAACTTAAAAATAAATAAATGAAATGAAAAACCAGAAAATGCTAAGAATTCTGGGGTTAGACAGATTTGGATTGGACTCAAATCCTGGCTCTTAACATATGTAAATCACCTGTGGTTGTGGTAAGAATTAAGTGAAGTATGTTTCCGAATGATTTATCACAAAAATACGTTATTTGTTTATGGATTTATATGTGATTGTCAGAGTATGGGTTGTGAACAACGGGTTCTAGGGGTAGAGGTGACAAAGGTGCTGCAAACAAATTGTAGGATAAAATAAATATCATGACTTTTTAAAGCATGAAGTAAATAATTCATCCATGTATTAACTCATGCTATTTATTGAGACAAATATCTAGCTGGGCCCTGGTGATAGAGTAGTGATCTGGACAGATAAAATTTGTATTTCAGGGAGCTTGCAGTCTGTCCAATGTGATCTTAGGTGTGGATAAATAGGCAAATGTAAATGCTTTAGTGGGAAAATAAGAGAA
This sequence comes from Homo sapiens, assembly GCF_000001405.40. NCBI lineage: Eukaryota > Metazoa > Chordata > Mammalia > Primates > Hominidae > Homo > Homo sapiens. The sequence continues at coordinate 26,394,219 of NC_000016.10, forward strand.
GAGGAGCAGAAATGGGGAATCAACATCTATGTTCACTATCAGTACCTAGATATATTGGCTTGTCCAAGGTGCATAGCCACTTCTTGTCTTAATTCTTCCATCTTTAACTAATGATCCCTAACTTACAGGGATGTTGTAAGGAATGAATAAAATAGTACATATAAATTGAACTTCACAGTGCTGAAAATAGGATCTTGGTAAAATAAAGTACCTTTGACTTTCTCTCCTTAAATCAGTATCCCGTGTCCTCACTCCAATGTGAGTCAGGCTGGAATGGCTAGAAGAGAAGCATTTTCCCAAGTCTGCAACCATTTTCTTCTCATGCTTTACTCACTGAGAATAAATAAGATACCCTCAGCTACTGAAAAGTACTAATCAATACGTGCTTCCTAATGGGTTCTGTGCTCTCAGGGATGCAGAAAGCCTTTGTGTCTGGGACTTGGAAAACGCTGAGTGGTGCTGAGGTGCCTGGATAGCACTTACCGTGAACGAGATCTCAGCAGGTCATTAAGTCACATCTAAAGATCTCCAAGATCAAGCCTGTCATGGCTCTTGTTTTAGTGTCCACTTTAATTTATTAATTATGAAAAATTAACGGCAGAATCCTGAGGTAGTTTACTAAGAATTATAGTGAAAGTCTGATTTTATAGTGATCATTTTCCCTCTTATTGGGACAGCATCTTGGTCTAATTTTGGGAAGCCACTTCCTCCCCCTTCTTCCATCCGGTGGTTTTAGTGGCGATGACTGCAACCCCAACCACAGGGCTGGTGAACTGAGGCCTGGCAAGACAGAGTGCTAGATCTACAGGGAAGTATTTGTTGGTTGTGACTGAACAGAAATTAACTTCTTGACTTTCATTGCTCCTATTATGAAAGAGAAGGATTCTCTTAATTAGAATGTCCTGGAGTTTCCAGGGTCTACCCTGTAAAGAGAAAGTTATCTGGGCTTTTATGCCAAAATCTCTCAATTTTTTTTAACAGTTGCAGTTAATTCAGTTTTTAAAAACAACACTACAGGATTCTTACAACCAAGTGGGGTGAGAGGGGTGAGGCAGGGATGCTTCTAGACTAGCCCTCACATGAAGTCTTCATCCATAGTTGTCTGAGCAGGACATACAGAGACAACTGCCGAACATTTTGATCCATCCATCCTCAAAGGTTGAAGCATCTCCCCAAGTCTGCATCCATGCCCTTCTCATGGTTTACCCTCTAAGAGTGAATGAGATAGCCTCTGCTACTGAACACTGCTAGCCAATAGGTGCATCATAATGGGAAGATAATTTTCTTTCCGCTCATTCAACAAGTAAAACAGCAGTGTTTACAACTTCAAATCGGATTTGAATCCTCTCTCAGTTGCTTACTAGCTGTGCAATGGTGATAATAATGGTCTCTACTTCCCAGGGATGTTTCTTAAGAAGTTTAGGTGAGATAGTTGGCCATAAGGACTCCCCTGGTAGTCTCCTTCAGGAGGAAAGGCCAATACAGAAAGAAGCCCTCCAGCATCCGCATCCAGCATCCGCATCCAGCATCCATAACCAGCATCCACATCCACCATCCGCATCTAGCATCCGCATCTATCATTCGCATCCAGCATCCAACATCCGCATCCAGCATCCAGCATCCAGCATCCGCATCCAGCATCCAGCATCCGCATCCAGCATCCAGCATCCAGCGTCTGCATCCAATATCCAGCATCCAGCATCCACGTCCAGCATCCGCATCCAGCATCCAGCATCTGCATCCAGCAGCCAGCAGCCAGCATCCAGCAGCCAGCAGCCAGCATACGCATCCAGCAACCGCATCCAGCATCCAACATCCAGCATCTGCATCCAGCATCCAGGACAATGCTGCAGGTCCATTGTTATACTTTTCCTGGAGCAGATTTCAAATCTCTGGCTCCCTTCCCAACCAGAACACAGTGTGTGTTCTTCCTCCTGTGTCCTCTGTATGGGCAAGAATTGGAACAATTGTTCTCTGCCCATGGAACCCTTCTTGGAAAAAAAAAAAAAAAGAGCTCAATTTGTCCTGTGTTTAGGGTCACTGGGGTTTAGATTGTGTTGATTTTCCCCTTCCTCTCTTTGTTTTTTATTTGTATCTCTATAAGAACACTATTTCCTCTCCCTTCTCTTTTTTTGACCTCTCAATTTTTATGGTGGTCCTTTGCTTCTCCTTTCTCTTCCCTCCTTCCCCATCCCACCTTGCTTTCCACTTTCCTTCTTTCCACAGCTCACCCTTTCTTTCTTGCCATTCCTACATCTGTAAAATGAGAAAAACTATAACTATATTATCTTGACTGTTTGAAGGCTTAAAAAAATACACTTAAGACTCCTAATGTTCAGATACTGTAGGCTCTTAATAAATGGAAGATGTTCTTCTTGCCTGTTCTGTTTCTCTGAGTCTGTCTTCTTCTTTTCTCTCTCATTTCCTTACTTAGATCCTTGGCATCTCGTTCTGCTTTCCACCCCCGTCTTTTGCTGTCAGGTTGGCATCAGCACCTTCTTCACCCCCACAGCTCAGGGAGGCAGCGCCCTTCATTCACACCAATAACACTCTCTCCTCAGCTCTGTATACTTCCTTCATTTGATAGGCACAATGGTAACTTGTTAAGGTGATTCACTATACATCACAAAAAAGTCACATTTCATGAACTTCAGGAATTTCCTCAATAAAGACATATTTGCTCTATGTACATTTTAATTATCTTTGTCAGAGGATTATTTTAGATGCCAGAAGCAGGACTGCTTGGAAGCCACCAGCTAGAATTTGGCTTACACTTAAAGTTCTCTCCAAGGTGCTGAAACTTGAAGCCATCAGGTGTCTTCACTTAATTCCCTTTGTTAGGGTGGACAGGAGAGACTCTTTCAGACATGCTTGATAGACACTGTTACAATAGCATCTTGCTTTGAAGTTTCTGAATTATGTTACTTCAAATTTATACCTCACTCCTATAATGTCATTTCCTGGCTTAGAAACCTTTCATGATTATTTTCCAATGCATCTAGCTCTTACAGCTCTGTTCTTGTAAAAGCTTAAAGTTCTGGCAAAGAGCATGGCTTCTGGGGTCATCCTCTCCCCATGACTAACTGGCTGTGTGACCTTGGAAAAATTACTTAACCTCTGTATGTCTCTGAAAAATGAGAAGAAATGAGAATAATAACATGCTTACTCCATAGGTTTTATAAGGGTTAAATAAATTAATGTATGTAAAATCCTCTTTGTAAGGGTTTTGTAAGGGTTAAATGAACTAATGTATTTCAAATACTTAGAAAAATACCTGTCATATATTAAGTGCTATGTAAGAGTTAATCAGTGAAACCCTTCGAGAACAAATCATATGGAACCAACTTATATCTTCACTTTAGATAAGATAGCATAGTGGAATTCATTCTGAACTCAATAATAATAGCTTCCATGAACACCCTCAGTATGTGCCAGACATTGTACTGCATTGTACTAGATATGTAAGATATATCTAGATAGATAGATAGATAGATAGATAGATAGATAGATAGATAGATAGATCTGTATCTATCTATCTATATATACATAGAGAGAGAGTAATACAGATACAAATATAGATAGAAATATATCCCACATAACCTCCTCATGAGATGGGTATAATTATTATCCTCATGCTTCAGGTGAGGAAATAAGACACTGAAAGCTTAAAATGTTATTTTAGATTCTTGACTTTTGTTTTTTTTGTTTTTTTTGTTGTTGTTGTTTTGTTTTCTTGAGACGGAGTCTGGCTCTGTCGCCCAGGCTGGAGTGCAGTGGTGTGATCTTGGCTCACTGCAACCTCCACCTCCCAGCTTCAAGCGATTTTCCTGCCTCAGCCTCCTGAGTAGCTGGGATTATGGGCATGCGCCACCACACCCGGCTAATTTTGTAGTTTTAGTAGAGATGGGGTTTCTCCATGTTGGTCAGGCTGGTCTCAAACTCCCGACCTCAGGTTATCCACCTGCCTCAACCTCCCAAAGTGCTGGGATTACAGGTGTGAGCCACCATGCCAGGCCCCGATTCTTGACTGTTTTAAGCTCTAATTATTGTATTAAGAAGGTTGATTTTAGCTGCAAGTGAAAAAATCTAACTAAAATTGTCTTATGCAAAGAAGTGGAGAATTTCTTGCTTAGCTAACTGGAAGGTCCAAAGGGGGAAATTCTAGCTTCAGGCACAGTTGAAGCAAGTGATTAAGTGATATTGTACGGAATCTGTCTCTATCTCTTGGCCTTCCATCATTTTCTTTTGGGCTTGTATGAAAACAAGCTCTCACCATATGGTGGCAAAATAAGACAAACCATACTTACGATCTTCCTTTTTAAGTTTTTATAATCTGATGTATTTTCATCTTCATTTATAAGGTTTTGCAGAGATGTTTTTCTGTGCAGTTATTTTACTTGTAGGTGAGCATATTTTATTCTTATGATATCTATTAAATTCATTAATTTTATAATAATGTTGTTTTGGTTCTTAGTTTATTCTCTAAAATCTACAACACCCCTTTCATCCCATTCCATTGTTCTATTGACTCAACTTTATGTCTAACATTACTGAAATTTCATTCTAATTAGTATTTTTTTCTATAGCTTGAGGTACTCTTCATGCATTTCTGTAAGCTATCTTTTCTTGCCAACAAGTTTCTTCATTATCTTTTGTGAGCTATGTGACATGGTTCTCTATATCTTGCCTTTTTGTTGCATTAGTAGATTTTCAGGTTGCAAGACTTTTATAAGCTTCTTATTAATACTAACTCTTTTCACACCTTTTATTTGAAGTCAAAAATATATACGCGTGGGTATATTTGTTTGGTTCTTATTTGGTCTTTATTTGGAAACTGTTTGTCTTTCTGAAGAGTGAGAGCTTGAGTGTAGGTTGCTTACATATCCTTTTCCATGTACAGAATGGGAGATGTGAGATAGGATGGGGAGAAAACCTAGTTGTGGAAGTTGTTGGTTTATCTAGGTTTTGTCTTTCTCTCTTCCCCTCCCCACCCCTCTCATGTTAAATTCCCAAGATCTAGACTTTCTCCCTTTATTTGAAGGGGTAATTTAATAACTGATAAAGTGAATTTACATGTTGAATGTTATGCCTAATTAGGTCTAGGGGCTTCAAAAAGGCAGGTAGAACTTGGTGGCTCCAACTGTCTCAATAAAAATAATTTTTTTCATCAGTAGCCAAGACTGAAGGCTGTTCTATGACTTCCAACGGGCAACACCTTGGGCCACATCTCAAAGTGGGAAGTACTGATAAGTATTTTACTGTCTTTCCTCCTTACCCTGCCCCCATGCCCAGCACTGTGCCAGTGAATACAGATAGGATTCAAAGCTCTGCTGCACTTTGATAGAGTATTCTGTTCCTTTTCTTTACTCTCATCTTAAAGTTTAGACCACTAAGTTGAATCTCTTTCATTATATGGTTGTTGCTAGAAATGGTGTTTACAATTCCTTATTAATTTCATGAGTAATGAGGAAATGTAGATCTGTAATTCAACTTGAGCATGTTACCTTTACCCAGAAACACCATTAACTCCCTTATCAAAAAGAAAACTGACGTTCTGAGAGCCTGTGTTTCTCTAAAATGTCCAGTAATTAGGTAGCGAAGATAAGACAGAATGAGTTCTTTTAATTCCAGTTCTAACAAGCCTTTCCTCTTGCCTACACTCTTCCAGTGAATATTTTCCACTTCTACGAGAAACTGAGAAAATGGGTTTAAGTCACAGCATGAAGAAGACAGTCTGAATAACTGATGAAGTGACTTAATAATGCATTTGAGCATCCATTCATTCAAAAATATGTTGTTAAATTGAGTGTTTACTACAAACTGAACACACTGTTGTGTGTTAGGACATAAGTGGAAAAGGGAGAAATAGAAACGAGGCCCTTGTTCTTACAGGAATTCTGGTCTAACAGGGAAGACAGTTAATAAAAGGTAAACACATAAAAAGAGCACACGTCAATGACTATACGTTCTATTAAGACAGCAAGCAAGTGATGTGATGGAGTCTGGAGTTGACAGGGAACAAGGATGCTACTTTACATGATGTAGACAGGGAAGGTCTTTAGGGGGATTGGTGACATTTTGAGATCTGACAGATGAGAGAGGGTCCATCTCGGGAAAGTGGAAGGGAGAAATGATCCAGGAAGAAGCAGCAGCATTTTCAAAGTCCTGAGGTGGAAAAGGCTTTGGAGAAGAAGATGTAAACACAAGCCAAGATGGTTGAAATGCAGAGATAAAAAATCGGGAGGCTGGTAACAGATGATGTCAGAGCAGTGGAAGACAGACAGATCTGGTAAGACCAATCTACCATGGCAAAGGGTTTGACCGATTGTCAGGCAGGCGAGTGACTTCTTGAAGAAGAGAGGATTTTAAAAGGGGAAATTTTAGATGCTGGAGGTAGTGGCGCGGGTGCTAAACGACTGTTACATTCTGTCTCAGAGGTGGCAACTTTGCAGCACTAAGTGAAAGGAGCTTGGTGTATTTATGTGTTGTAAAAAGCTCAGAGATGAAAGGCGCTAGAGAAAGCAAGCCTATGGCTATTCTTACATTTCGAGATGCCCGCCCAGGCCCGTAATAGATTCCTCTGGCATTTTCTGCTTTCTGTCTGAACATAGGGTAAGAATCTTTTTTTCATTTCCCCAGTTACATCTCACTTGCCTGTGTCTTCCCACTTTGCAGGATGGATGTAAAGGTTAATTCCACATCTGTAACTTCAGGAAGGGTTTTCTTCCAGGCTGCCAACCAACCTCTTTGACGATTTGTCTTGGTTGTTGTGCAATGGTATGTCACCTCTTTCCACTCACCCTTTGAAAACAGCCTATTTAAAGAAAGATGATTTGGGGTTAGAGTCAATAAAATCAGGTGGTAAGCCATTCTTCAGTATGTTTGGTCTTCAGCAGGTGGGCTGGGTGGCCAGGGAGACATTTTTTACTGACCACTGTCTCCTTGTCAGCAGTGCAAGCCTGAGAGATGCTCTGTGGCTGTGCATGCAAAAGGCTCCAAGTGACTTAAAGGTATGCCTAAATGAAAGTCAAATCTGGGCCATAAAAGCTTCTTAAATTACTCTTCTGGGAATTCTCCCGGGAGGCTCTCCTGGAGAAAATGCAGGCTCCATCCAACATGAACTCTGTCTCTTTAAGCAAATAAATCCGTTTTTTGAGGCTCAATTTTCTCATCTATAAGTTGGGACAAATATTTCTACCATTCAGTATTCTTTGGAAACTTAAATAAGATATGTAAAGTGACTGGCAGAGTGCCAGTACATCTTTGTAGCCTCCTCCATTCCTCCTGTCATTGCACCTTCATTCCCTCTTTTTTTTCTGTCCTCTTTAGCAGCCATTTTCATCTGGTGTTAGGGTCTTATCAAAAAGTTTGGTGTCAGTGTTAGAGCACAAACTCTGGAGCCAGACCATGTGGGTTTGAAGCCTGGTTCTGCCATTTTACTTACTACACAATCTTGAGAAAATCATTCAACCTCTTTGTGTTTCTGTCTTCCCATCAAGTGGTGACAACAACCGAATGTGTCTCACAGGATTGTGATTATTAAATCAGTGAATATACAAAGTGTTTAGGATAATGCCTGGCATATGGTATGTGCTTTATAAGTGTCCATAGTTATTATTATTGCTATTGTGTTATGATGATGATGATTCTACTTTCTCTGCTTCTGTAGTTTATCATGTTGGAAGTCAGTTACCACCAGAGAGGTACTTTTCAAGCAGTTCATCGCAGAGTACAGAGCAAAGTTGCTGGCACCTGGGGGGTTGGTGGGGGGTAGTTGTCTCATGGACCCTTGATTCATGTGCTTGTCCACAGCTTAGATTTTGAGGTAAGAACAATAAATTCATATTGGCTAGATTTTGGCTGAAGAGTTGACCGCATATAAATATATTTGGTCACAGCCTCATTTATTTTTTATTTATTTGTTATTATTTTTTATCACACTTTAAGTTCTAGGGTACATGTGCACAACGTGCAGGTTTGTTACATATGTATACATGTGCCATATTAGTGTGCTGCACCCATTAATCATTTATATTAGGTATATCTCCAATGCTATCCCTCCCCCAGGCCCCCACCCCACGACAGGCCCCAGTGTGTGATGTTCTCGTCCCTGTGTCCAAGTGTTCTCACTGTTCAATTCCCACCTATGAGTGAGAACATGCAGTGTTTGGTTTTTTGTCCTTGCGATAGTTTGCTGAGAATGATGGTTTCCAGCTTCATCCATGTCCCTACAAAGGAAATGAACTCTTCCTTTTTTATGGGTGCATAGTGTTCCATGGTGTATATGTGCCACATTTTCTTAATCCAGTCTATCATTGATGGACATTTGGGTTGGTTCCAAGTCTTTGCTATTGTGTAGAGTGCCACAATAAACATATGTGTGCATGTGTCTTTATAGCAGCAAGATTTATAATCCTTTGGGTATATATCCAGTAATGGGATGGCTGGGTCAAATGGTATTTCTAGTTCTAGATCCTTGAGGAATCGCCACACTGTCTTCCACAATGTTTGAACTAGTTTACAGTCCCACCAACAGTGTAAAAGTGTTCCAATTTCTCCACATCCTCTCCAGCATCTGTTCTTTCCTGATTTTTTAATGATCGCCATTCTAACTGGTGTGAGATGGTATCTCATTGTGGTTTTGATTTTCATTTCTCTGATGGCCAGTGATGATGAGCATTTTTTCATGTGTCTGTTGGGGGCATAAATGTCTTCTTTTGAGAAGCGTCTGTTCACATCCTTTGCCCACTTTTTGATGGGGTTGTTTGATTTTTTTTCTTGTAAATTTAAGTTCTTCGTAGATTCTGAATATTAGCCCTTTGTCAGACGGGTAGATTGTAAATATTTTCTCCCATTCTGTGTGTTGCCTGTTCACTCTGATGGTAGTTTCTTTTGCTATGCAGAAGCTCTTTAGTTTCATTAGATCCCATTTGTCAATTTTGGCTTTTGTTGCCATTGCTTTTGGTGTTTTAGTCCTGAATGGTATTGCCTAGGTTTTCTTCTAGGGTTTTTATGGTTTTAGGTCTAACATTTAAGTCTTTAATCCATCTTGAATTACTTTTTGTATAAGGTGTAAGGAAGGGATCCAGTTTCAGCTTTCTACATATGGCTAGCCAGTTTTCCCAGCACCATTTCTTCAATAGGGAATCCTTTCCCCATTTCTTGTTTTTGTCAGGTTTGTCAAAGATCAGATGGTTGTAGATGTGTGGTATTATTTCTGAGGGTTCTGTTCTGTTCCATTGTTCTATATATCTGTTTTGGTACCAGTACCATGCTGTTTTGGTTACTGTAGACTTGTAGTATAGTTTGATGTCAGGTAGCGTGATGCCTCCAGCTTTGTTCTTTTGGCTTAGGATTGTCTTGGCAATGCGGGCTCTTTTTTGGTTCCATATGAACTTTAAAGTAGTTTTTTCCAACTCTGCGAAGAAAGTCATTGGTAGCTTGATGGGGATGGCGTTGAATCTACAGCCTCATTTTTAATAATAAAACTATCCCACATAAGAAAAGTGAGTAAAAAAATATGACATATTAAGGTAGTGTGCTACACACCTATAGAAGGAATAGCTTGAAACATTTTTTGGTGATAGGAAGTGCATTATTATCTCAAAATTAAAATGAGCTGCAGAATAATAGCAATACAAAGACACACAGAGACATTGATAATAGGCAGGAGGAAAAATGTACTGAAATATTAACAGTAGCTACTTCTCTCTAAGAGCTTTATACACTGAAGTTTCCCTAAATGCTGAAAGGCTGAACCCACTTCCTCAAGCAGTAAGAAAGCATAGCCTGAAGTGCCCCACCAAGTGAAGAAATGTCTTTGAAGTTCCATATTTTAACTTGAAAATTTATGTGAATTTTATTTTCTGCTCAACAGTATGCCATTTTTAAATGTAAAATTATTTTTAAAATTATTGATCAGACAAAAAGTAGAAGCCAAAGAAAGCTAGTTTTCTATCTATTCTTAGGTAGTGACATATCATAAGAATTAATCTATTAATGCTGGAATAACTGAGCTGCCTGCAACAGCAGTAACTCCACATATCATATTCCATATGTAGTCATATTTTCTTTTATGTGTTGTTTTTGCAAAGATTTCAGAGCCCAGGCCGCATAAATATGTGGATATGAATTTGAAAATAAAATCCTTTCACATATTTCCAGTAAAATTGACTATCCAGGAAATTTTACCATTTTTATTTTAAAGCTTCCCACCTCCTTCAGACTGACTCATACCCCTAGTGGTACAAATACTATAAAAAAGGGACAAAATCTAACTTTACCAAACATCTTATAATGAAATATGTCCCAATCAGTTCTTATCTTCTGCTTGCCTGGAGCCTCAACTTAAAGATCATCTCCTCCATCCACTCTGCCTTTATCAACACAAGTAAGATGTGTTTCTTCTCCCAGGCTTTCTGTGCTGAAATAGATAGGAGTCATTGTATGTATGTGGCACAGGGAGGGATTTAGAAAGGGAAGTGACTTGACTGGCTGGTTTTGAAGTCAGTACCTAAACAAATGGAGGAGGAGTGACTACTTGTACTTTGACTTTCATTACTTAAGACTCAAAGGTCCAGGTATAGACCTGGAAATAACCATGCATAGACAGTGGGTGCATGTTCCAACCTTCCCTGGGAAAGACTGACCTATTAAGTCCAATTCAATCCATCTCTCTTAACCACATGATACAGCATTGCGATTCAGAATGCAGATGTTTGTTTCGGACAGACATGGATATGAATACAGACTCTGATACTTTCCAATGATGTAGTGCAAAAATAATAACACCTAGACTGGGCGTGGTGGCTCACACCTGTAATCTCAACAATTTGGGAGGCTGAGGCAGACGGATCACATGAAGTCAGGAGTTTGAGACCAGCCTGGCCAGGATGGTGAAACCCTGTCTATACCAAAAATACAGTAATTAGCTGGGCATGGTGGTGGGGGCCTGTAATCCCAGCTGCTCAGGAGGCTGAGGCAGGAGAATCACTTGAACCCAGAAAGCAAAGGTTACAGTGAGCCAAGATCAGCCCACTGCACTCCAGCCTGGGTGACAGAGTGAGACCCTGTCCCCCACCCCCCAAAAAAGGAATAATAACACCTGACTTCCAGGGAACTTATGAGGATCTTCTAAATATGAAACTCAAGAAAGATTAAAGCTTTTCTATGGGAAATGATTCCATTTGCCTAGAAACAAATTTTTAAAAAATTATCTGCACGCTATACATGAAGGAAATGTTTAAAGACAGTAGAGGACAAAAATATGGCATGAACAAATGGAAAACCATATTCTTTTCTTGGATTATAAGACAAATATTATAAATTATGAACTCTTCCTCAGTTAATTTATATATTCAATATGATTTTATTAAAATGTACCAACAGGCTTGTTTTTGAACCAAATAAGATAATATCAAAGTTCACATTAAAAAATGAAAACATCCAAGACAGATTTAAAAAAATAAGAGTTTTGAAGATTAATGCTATCAGATATAAAGAAATATTATAAGGCTAAAATAACTAAAATAGTGTGGTTATAGCAAATGAATAAAGAGAGATCAATAGAAGAAAACAGAGAATGTAAAATTTGAAGCAAAAAGCAAAAACAAAAGTTGTAAAGAAAGTGCATATTAGTGGGAAGAAAGGTAAATTAATACATTTTGTTAAAAATTTTGAAAGTCATATGGAAATAACCTGGGTCCCTACATGACTCTTTATAATAAGCACATTACAGATAAAGCAAATATTTTAATTCAAAAGTAACTCAATCAGACAACAGAATATTATTCAATGACAAAAGAAAATAAACTACATCATACTCAATGGTAAAATACAATAAGCTTCTTACCTAACATCGGAAACATGAAAAAGACATCTGCTTTCACCATTGCTATTAAAAACTGTACTAGAAGTTCTAGCTAAAGAGATTAGGCAAGAAAAAGAAGTAAATTGTAAAGGAAGAAGTAAAACTATCCCAATTTACAAATGACAAGATCCTATATATAGAGAATACCTCAACATCCACAAATACACAAAAGTAATACAGCTAATAAATGAATTCAGTAGTTTCAGGGTACTATGTCAACACATAAAAAGAAGTTAATTATGTTTCTATATACCAGCAATGAACAATTCAAAAAAGAAAATAATAAAACAATCTCAATTACAATAGATTCCAGAAGAATAAAATTCTAAGAATAAATTTAATCAAGCAGGTGAAAAGCTCATATATGGAAAACTATAAAACATTGCTGAAATAAAGAAGATATAAATAAATGAAAAGACATCTCATTTCTTGGATTTGGAAGACTTAATAGTTTTAAGATGGCAATACTAACCAAAGTGACCTACAAAATCAATGCAATCCCTATCAGAACTCTAACAGTCCAACAATCTTTTTGGTAGAAATAAAAAAGCTAATTTTCAAATTCATAGAGAATTGCAAAGGACAATGAATATCTAAAATGATACTGAAAAATAACAAAGTAGGAGGACTCAGAGTTCTCAGCAACTTCAAACTTACTTAAAAACATGAAGTAATCCAAACGTCATGGTACAAGCACAAGGGTGTCAAATCCATTCAGCTGGGAAAGAATATCCTCTTCAACAAATGGTGCTGAGGCAACTTGATATCCACATTTAAACAAAAACACTATAAAGTTGCACGTGTATACTTATGTAACAAACCTGCACTTTCTGCACATGTACCCCAGAAGTTAAAGTATAATAAAAAAATTTTTTAAGTTATACCTCTATCTCATAATATACAAAAAATTAATTCAAAATGGACTAATAACCTAAATATAGGGGCTAAAACTATAAAATGTTATAAGAAAACAGACGGGTAAGACCTCATGTTATTGGATTTGGCAATTGTTAGATATGACACCAAAAGCGTGGGCAACAAAAGAAAAGATAGATAACTGAGCTTCATCAAAATTAAAAACTTGTGCATCAAAGGACATCATCAATAAAATGAAAAAGCACTTGTAGAAAAGGAGATGATATTTACAAATCACATATTTGAAAGGGGTTCAGTGTCTAGAATATATTTTTAAAAACTCTTACAACAATTAACCAAAGACAAATAATCCAATCCAAAAAATGGCAAAAGACTTGAAGAAACATTTCTCCAAAAACAATATACAAATGGACAACAAGTACATGAGAAGATTCTCAACATAATTAGTCATTAATGGAATGCAAATAAAAACTACAATATGTTATCACTTCACACCCACTAGGATAGCTATAATAAGTAAAAATGGGGAAATATCAAATATTGGCAAGGAAGTAGAGAAATTGGAACATTTATACATTGCTGATGGGAATGTAAATGGAGCAGTCACTATGGAAAACAGCTTGATGGTTTCTCAAAAAGTGAAAAATAAAATTATCATGGGACCCAGCAATTCCACTACTAGGTATATACTCAAATAATGAAAAGCAGATACTAAAACAAATACTTGTGCACAAATGGTATAGCATCATATTCACAATAGCCAAAGGTAGTATTAACCCAAACTTCCATCAACCAATGAATTAACAAATAAAATGTGATATATACATGAAGTGGAATATTATTTAGCTATAAAAAGGAATGAAATACTGATATATGCTACAACAAAAATGAACCCTGAAAATGTGCTAAATGAAAGAAGCAAAACACAAAAAGATTACATAGTGTATGATTCCATTTATATGAAGTATCAAGAATAGGTAAATTCGTAAGTACAGAAAATAGATCAGTGGTTTTCAGGGGCAGGGAGTAGGGGGGTTTTGGAGTGAATGCTTAGGAGTATGAGATTTTCTTTTGGGGCAAAGAAAATGTTTTGGAACTTGATGGAGGAGATAGCTGCACGACAACCTGAATGCACTACATTCCTCTGAGTTATACACTTAAGGAGTTTTAATTTTATGCTAAGTGAATTTTACCTCAACTGATTTTTTAATAAATAAAATGAGCTATGAAGCCACAAAATATCATGGAGAAAACAAAGCAAATTGCTAAGTGGAAGAAGCCAGTCTAAAAAGGCCACATATTGTATGATTCCAAGTATATGACATTCCAGAAAAGGCAAAACTATAAAAACACTTTAAAGATCAATAGTTGCCAGAGATTTGAGGGAATCAATAGGTATAACATGGAAACATTTTAGGGTGGTCTCACTATTTTGTATGATATTATAATGATAGATACATGGCATTGTGAATTTGTGAAACCTTATAGAACTTTACAACACAAAGAGTGAACCTCAATGTATGCAAATAAAACATAATCTTTTTTGGTTTGTTTTGTTTTTGTTTTTTTTAAATTATACTTTAAGTTCTAGGGTACATGTGCACAACGTGCAGGTTTGTTACATATGTATACATGTGCCATGATGGTCTGCTGCACCGATTAACTTGTCATTTACATTAGGTATATCTCTTAATGCTATCCTTCTCCCAGGCCCCCACCCCATGACAAGCCCCCATGTGTGATATTCCCCACCCTGTGTCCAAGTGTTCTCATTTTTCAATTCCCACCTATGAGTGAGAACATGCGGTGTTTGGTTTTCTGTCCTTGTGACAATTTGCTGAGAATGATGGTTTCCAGCTTCATCCATGTCCCTACAAAGGACATGAACTCATCCTTTTTTATGGGTGCATAGTGTTCCATGGTGTATATGTGCCACATTTTCTTAATCCAGTCTATCATTGATGGACATCTGGGTTGGTTCCAAGTCTTTGCTATCGTGTAGAGTGCCACAATAAACATATGTGTGCATGTGTCTTTATAGCAGCATGATTTATAATCCTTTGGGTATATACCCAGTAATGAGATGGCTGGGTCAAATGGTATTTCTGGTTCTAGATCCTTGAGGAATCGCCACATTGTCTTCCACAATGTTTGAACTAGTTTACAGTCCCACCAACAGTGTAAAAGTGTTCCTATTTCTCCACATCCTCTCCAGCATCTGTTCTTTCCTGATTTTTTAATGATCGCCATTCTAACTGGTGTGAGATGGTATCTCATTGTGGTTTTGACTTGCATTTCTCTGATGGCCAGTGATGATGAGCAATTTTTCATGTGTCTGTTGGGGACATAAATGTCTTCTTTTGAGAAGTGTCTGTTCATATCCTTTGCCCACTTTTTGATGGGGTTGTTTGATTTTTTTTCTTGTAAATTTAAGCTCTTCGTAGATTCTGAATATTAGCCCTTTGTCAGATGGGTAGATTGTAAATATTTTCTCCCATTCTGTAGGTTGCCTGTTCACTCTGATGGTAGTTTCTTTTGCTATGCAGAAGCTCTTTAGTTTAATTAGATCCCATTTGTCAATTTTGGCTTTTGTTGCCATTGTTTTTGGTGTTTTAGTCATGAAGTCCTTGCCCATGCCTATGTCCTGAATGGTATTGCCTAGGTTTTCTTCTAGGGTTTTTATGGTTTTAGGTGTTATATTTAAGTCTTTAATCCATCTTGAATTAATTTTTGTATAAGGTGTAAGGAAAGGAATCCAGTTTCTGCTTTCTACATATGGCTAGCCATTTTTCCCAGCACCATTTCTTAAATAGAGAATCTTTTCCCCATTTCTTGTTTTTGTCAGGTTTGTCAAAAATCAGATGGTTGTAGATATGTAGATTATATCTGAGGGCTCTGTTCTGTTCCATTGGTCTATATCTCTGCTTTGGTACCAGTGTCATGCTGTTTTGGTTACTGTAGCCTTGTAGTATAGTTTGAAGTCAGGTAGTGTGATGCCTCCAGCTTTGTTCTTTTGGCTTAGGATTGACTTGGCGATGCGGGCTCTTTTTTGGTTCCATATGAACTTTAAAGTAGTTTTTTCCACTTCTGTGAAGAAAGTCTTTGGTAGCTTGATGGGGATGGCATTGAATCTATAAATTACCTTGGGCAGTATGGTCATTTTCATGATATTGATTCTTCCTATCCATGAGCATGGAATGTTCTTCCATTTGTTTGTGTCGTCTTTTATTTCGTTGAGCAGTGGTTTGTAGTTCTCCTTGAAGAGGTCCTTCACATCCCTTGTAAGTTGGATTCCTAGGTATTTTATTTGCTTTGAAGCAATTGTGAATGGAATTTCACTCATGATTTGGCTCTTTGTCTGTTATTGGTGTATAGGAATGCTTGTGATTTTTGCACATTGATTTTGTATCCTGAGACTTTGCTGAAGTTGCTTATCAGCTTAAGGAGATTTTGAGCTGAGACAATGGGGTTTTCTAAATATACAATCATGTCATCTGCAAACAGGGACAATTTGACTTCCTCTTTTCCTAATTGAATACACTTTATTCCTTTTTTTTATTGCCCTTGCCAGAATTTCCAACACTATGTTGAATAGGAGTGGTGAGAGAGGGAAACCCTGTCTTGTGCCAGTTTTCAAAGGCAATGCTTCTAGTTTTGCCCATTCAATACAACATTGGCTGTGGGTTTGTCATAAATACCTCTTATTATTTTGAGATATGTTCCATCAATACCTAGTTTACTGAGAGCTTTTAGCATGAAGGGCTGTTGAATTTTGTTGAAGGCCTTTTCTGCATCTATTGAGATAATCATGTGGTTTTCGTCTTTGGTTCTGTTTATATAATGGATTATGTTTATTGATTTGTGTATGTTGAACCAGCCTTGCATCCTAGGGATGAAACCAACTTGATCGTGGTGGATAAGCTTTTTGATGTGCTGCTGGATTCGGTTTGCCAGTATTTTGTTGAGGATTTTTGCATTGATGTTTATCAGGGATATTGGTCTAAAATTCTCTTTTTTTGTTGTGTCTCTGCCAGGCTTTGGTATCAGGATGATGCTGGCCTCATAAAATGAGTTAGGGAGAATTCACTCTTTTTCTATTGATTGGAATAGTTTCAGAAGGAATGGTACCAGCTCCTCCTTGTACCTCTGGTAGAATTTGGCTGTGAATCCGTCTGGTCCTGGACTTTTTTTGGTTGGTAGGCTATTAACTATTGCCTCAATTTCAGAGCCTGTTATTGGTCTATTCAGGGATTCAACTTCTCCCTGCTTTAGTCTTGGGAGGTTGTATGTGTCCAGGAACTTATCCATTTCTTCTAGATTTTCCAGTTTATTTGCATAGAGGTGTTTATAGTATTCTCTGATGGTAGTTTGTTTTAAGAGGTTAGGGGATCCCAGAAAGAATGGAGACTGTCACAGAAAAATCGAATTATATTAGAAATGTATGAAACAACCTCACTGAACATGGTGGGAAAAAAATGTGCAGACTAATAAACTGGACACAGAAAGAAATATACTGCATGATCTCACTCACATGTGAAATCCCAAAAAACCTATACCTAGAAACAGAGGAAAATGGTAGTTACCAGGGGCTGTGGTGGGTTTAGGGGTGGGGATGGGGAGATGTAGGTCAAAGTATACAAAGTTTCAGTAATATAGGATGAATATGTCTAGGGATGTAATATTTAGGATGAGGACTACAGCTAATAATATTGTATTGTGTACTGAAAATTTGCTACAAGAGTAGATTTTAGGTGATCTTACCACACGCACAAATAACTATGTGAGATGATGTATATGTTAATTTGCTTGACCACAGTAATAATAATGTTACTATATACCTATATCTGTATCAAAACATCATGCTTTATACCCTAAATATATACGATAAAAAAGAATTTCAAACTTACAGATATATAAACATAAACAAAAATTCTTTAAAAAAGAAAATATGTTGACCTCAGTAACTTTGGAAATTAATGGAGTCTGTAAGATGAAAGAACTGCACTTGGTATTATATACACTAGTTGATACAGTTGTTTCACATGCACATAAGGATTCACAATTCTGTTAGTAGTATGCAGGTATACTGGAATTGAACAATTAAATAGATGGACGATGGATAGTGGAAACCAGATTTTTCACGTTGGAATGGGAATTTACAGATCAACAAAGGGGAAGAAGCTAGAATAATTCATGTGGCAATAGATTAGAGTTAAAAACGTATGTTCTCACTCATAGATGGGAATTGAAAAATGAGAACACATGGACACAGGAATGGGAATATCACACACCAGGGACTGTTGTGGGGTGGGGGGAGCGGGGAGGGATAGCATTAGGAGATATACCTAATGCTAAATGATGAGGTAATGGGTGCAGCACACCAACATGGCACATGTATACATATGTAACAAACCTGCACGTTGTGCACTTGTACCCTAAAAATTAAAGTATAATAATAATAAAATAAACTAATAAAAAACATAATCACAAGCTCAATTTTAACTTAATATAGATACAAACGGTTACAAATAAAAATATGTATAGATATGTATACATACACGGGCTATTGTACACACATATATTTTGCTCTTCTGCTGAAAGGTTCTAAAAGAAATAGCATCCAAATAGCACCAAGCACACCTAGTGTTCAGCTCTTAGTTTCAAATGCCATTCACCGTGAGAAGAAACCAGGGCTCCTCAGAGAAATGAATTATTCTAGGACAGGGGTACAAAAAATAGAAGATGAGCCTGGGACATCTTGTATTGCCAGGAAAGAAGAAAGTGCTAAAAAAAAAAAAAGGGGGGAGTATATCAAAAAGGCACTGAAAGAGCTCCTAATGGCAAAAATGGAATAATTTAAGCAGCAAAATAAGTAGTATTGGATTTTAATCCAAAGTGTAAAATAAGCATCCATAAGCCTATGCCAATATAAATAAATGGTTGAATGAATTAATAAATGGGAGAAAAGAGACAAATCTCCCATGCCAAAGAATTCCAAATGAATTATGTAGATAGTCCACCCCAAAGGAGAGGGAGCATAACTCCTATGTACAGACCCTTCACAGTAACTTCCTTTCAAAGCCTAAGTACAGTATAAAGCGGGGGCCAAAAGAATAATTTACAATGGAGATACCTGACTAACATTACTTCAGTCAGATGATTAAGGTCAACCTCAGCCATAAAGCATGGTAAACCATTGATGTGATGAGATAAAAATGGCACTTTACCTCTGTAATGTTTCTCCCCCACAACCTATAATCCCAGTCTAATCATGAGACTAGCATCAAACACACTCAAAAAAAAAGGGCTAACCAAATATCTGACCAATACCCTTCAAAACTTTTAAGATCTTGAAAAATAAGCAAAGACTGAGAAACTATCACAAACCAAAGGAGGCCAGGGAGTCATGACAACTAAATGCAATGTGATATCCTAAGTTGGACCCTGAAACAAACAAAAAAAGAGGATGCTAGGTAAAATCTAAGGGCATCTGAATAAACTATGGATGTTAGTTAATATTAACATATCAATATGGGTTCATTGATTGTAACATATAGTAATATTTGTAGAATGTATTTGGGAACTTTCTGTACTAACCTTCCATTTTTTCTTTAAATCAAAAACTGTTCTAAAAAAAGTCTAATAATTTTAAAAAATCATTAAAAGGAAAAACAGAGATAGAATAAGTTTTAAAACATCTCACTAAACGTGGTGGAGCTTTTTTAAGTCTATGAAAAGCATAGAAAATTTATAAATTAATAAAAATCTTAATGCTCAAAATAAAAAGCAAAAATGAAAGCAAACTATGGCAGTGTATAAAGACACACAAAAACCTTGGGAAACATTTACAGTATATAGCTCTTTATAGAGCAACTATTTTTAAAACAGAAAATTACCATGAATCAGTAAGAAAAATGCCAGCAACACGACCAAGAAATAAAGACATGAGCAGATAGCTCACATGGAAACATCATTAGTGTGACAGTCAATCTCTATGCTAAGCAGCAAAGGTGGCAGTGCTTTCTTTGCCAGAGCAGCCACCGGGTTGTGATTTGAATGCTCTTGCAGGTGCATAGCTCACATGCCTAACTTGCAGGCATTGCAGAAGATTCTGTGATATTACGGATATCCTTGGAAAAATTACTTTACTACTTGAATGAGCTGAAGTAGATTCACTGGCTTGCAAAGCTTGCAATTGTTGCAAGAAGGAGAGGATGGTTGGAGAAGGGAAGGTTGATATTTGTGTCAGTCTGGGTGGGTAAGATTGCATCACAGTAAGAAATAAACCTGGCCGGACGCGGTGGCTCACACTTGTAATTCCAGGACTTTGGGAGGCCAAGGCGAGCGGATCACCTGAGGTCAGGAGTTTGAGACCAGCCTGGCCATAATGGTGAAATCCTGTCTCTACTAAAAATTCAAAAATTAGCCGGGCGTGGTGGCACATGCCTGTAATTCCAGCTACTCGGGAGGCTGAGCAGGAGAATCGCTTGAAGCTGGGTGGCGGAGGTTGCAGTGGGCCCAGATGGGACCACTCCACTCCAGCCTGGGCAACAGAGTGAGATTCTGTTTCAAAAAAGAAAAGAAAAGAAACCCAAAATCTCAAGGACTTTATTTATACAATGAAGTCCTTCTGACTTTATTTATCAGTCACAAGATTCTTTGGAGGGTCCAGGTGACTCTCAGGAGTAACTGTTCTCCAATTAGTGTATCAGTCTCCAGGCTACTTTAATTCTGAAAAACATATAGCCTCCTCTATGATCATTGCAGCAGGGCAAAAGCAATGAGTTTCTCACTGCTAAATGAATGCTTCAGGTCAGTATTGACACATTTATTTCTGTTCATAGTCAATTGGTTAGAACTAGTCATTTTGTCCAAACTGGAAGAAGGTAAAAAAGAGATATGACAAATACTAATCATTTCTACGACACACCCACATTTACTTGGTTCTTTTCCAAAATTTATGATTTGTTCTTGAAACTATTATGTGTGTGTTTTGTGTCCTTCTATTCAAACATTATTAGTACCAGAGTTGTATTTAATATTCTAGTAGACTCATGCCAGACACTTTCTGGGGGATTCTTCAAGTTTTTGGTTTCAAATACCATTGTATTCAGTTAGCTGTATAATTAGGAATTTTTATACCCAGCTTCTTTCCTGAGCTCCATATCCAGACTTCTTATTTTCTACCCATTTTGGCCAAATTTCCCATGAGCACCATAAGGTACATAAAATTTCAAACAAAATTATCATCTTCAATGAACCTTCTTGTCCTTGACTTCTATTTAATGGAAGAATCCTTCTGGGGCACCCAGATTTTTTTCTAAAATATTCCTCACATTTGTGCCATGATAGGTTATCAAAACAACTTCAAAGCAACCTCATTATCTCAATATTACATTCATTCTTTCAACAAGTTTTTAAACAAATACTATGTGTTTGAAACTGTGCTGGGCTACACAGGCAACTCAATTGCCCACTAGAAAGGTGACCAGCTCTACTTAAAGTAAAGCAAAGCAAACAAACAAGCAAATTTGAAATTGAAAATTTGGATTTTCAATAATGTAATACCCACACAGTCCTGCATCCAACAAAAGATTACCATTACCAAACATGACAAAAATCAGGAAAATGTGATCCTTGACTAAAAGAAATATCAGTCTATATATATGCAAACGGAATAAACACTTCAACAAAAAGCAGAAAGTCGTAAAACACAATTATAGGCTGAGTACAATTGATGTACTTTAAGTATAAATTCAAACAAAGCTTTTAAAAAGAGATGACTCATGAAAGAATGCTACTGCTTTAAGTAGTAACAATGGATTAATGGGTTGCTTGCCTGGAGGTGTTGGAAAATACAGCTGTGTGGGTTGGAAATGACAGAAAGCAGAATTTGGGGCTTGGAATGGCAAAACAGTAGGAAATATATGGAGGAATTTAGGGAAGTAAGTTATACCTAGTAGGACCTAGAGCTAAAATCTAATAATAAACTCTACCCAAATCACTAGCTGACTGCTCAACTACGCATAAGACAAACAGAAAACAAATATTAAAATGACAGACAACGCATGAGAAAGGAGATGTGTCTTTGAAGGTAGAAATACTCACGAGACTTGCTCATTGCTGGTCTTTTTGACTAAAAGTTGTTCTCCAACTTTCACATAGTTCGGGCTGAGCATACTTTCTGTGAAAATATTTGGCTGACTATTAAACTATGCATGTAAAGTGAGAGTCCTAGAGGGCCAAGCTAAAAAGTAACAGCTGTAATAAAAATGATTTTTAGAAAACTAAAATTGATTCAAGAAATCAGTGGCTGCATTTATGGGGAAGACAGATCTCACAGTTTGAATCCACGCAAGTTAATTGCCAATAGCAATAAAATAATAATGATAATCGTAATAAAAACACCAATAACAATTATGCAAAGAAGAAAACAGAATCCAAAGTTATTCCAATATTTCTTGTCAAGAAAATTACTAGATATCCAAAGAAATAGGAAAATGTGACCCATACTCAGGAAAAATATCAATCAATTAAAACTGATTCTGGGTGGGCCATAATTTTGTATTTAGCAGACAAAGACTTTAAAGCAGCTATTACAAATATAGGCAAGGAATTAAAGAAAATATGTTCAAACAATTAAAGAACAGCATGTTAACAGTCAATGACCAGAAAAGGATATTTCAACAGATAAATGCAAACCATAAAAATGAGTTGTTAGGAATTTTTATTTTATTTTATTTTATTTTTAGATGGAGTCTTGCTCTGTCACCCAGGTTGGAGTGCAGTGGCCCAATCTTGGCTCACTGCAAGCTCCATCTCCTGGGTTCACACCATTCTCCTGCCTCAGCCTCCTGAGTAGCTGGGATTACAGGCATCTGCCACCATGCCCAGCTAATTTTTTGTATTTTTAGTAGAGATGGGGTTTCACTGTGTTAGCCAGGATGGTCTCAATCTCCTGACCTCGTGATCCGCTTGCCTCAGCCTCCCAAAGTGCTGGCATTACAGGCATGAGCCACCGCGCCCGGCCAATTGTTAGGAATTTTAAAGGTGAAGATTGTAATAACTAAAATAAAAAATTCTCTAGAGGGGCATAGTAGAATTTTGGGGTGTCAGAGGAAAGAATCAGTGAATCTCAGTACATGTGATAGAAATTAGAGTTCTTTTATAAGGGGGGACAGGGAGACAAAGAGAGATTGAAGAAAAGTTATCAGAGCCATTGGTATCTATCCAACAAGATCAAGTATGCTAGCACAAGTGTCATTGAACTTCCGAAAGAAAAAAAGAGAGAGAGAAAATGGCAAAAAAAAAAACCAAAAAAAAAAAAACAAAAAAAAAAACATTAACTCACAGATCTGAGATGCACAATAAACCCTAAAATACACAAACACAGAGGATACCACATTAGACCTGGAACAAACTGCTGAAAGCCAAAAATAAAGAGGAAATCCTGAAAAAGCAAGAGAAAAACGACAAATTACCTTCAGGTGAAGAATAAATGATTGATGACTGACTTCTCAAATAAAACAGCAAAGAATTAAAAGTAATTGAAATAAAATATTCAAAGTGCTTTAAAAAGAAAACCAAAGAAATGAAAATTGTAAACCAAGAATTCTATACATAACAAAACTATGTCTCAAGAAAGAAAAGAAAGGCATTTTCAGATTGTTAGCACAAAGTTAATAACTAGATTAACTTTAAGGTTAATTCTATATCGATAGGTTTACATATATATATATATATATATACATCATATAGATTAAAAACAATAACACAAAGCAGGAAGAAATTGAATTATACCAATGTAAGGCTCTTCTATTTCACCATAAGTAATTCAGCATGACCTTTAAGTAGACTGTGATAATTAAAAATGCTTGTTAAAATCTATAGAGCAATGACTAAAAATAATGTGACGGAATAAAGATAAAATGTGAAATAAGTGATGAAAATACTTTGTTAAAAATGCTTGTTTTACATGAAGAAGGGAGAAAATTGGCAAAAGAAGTACAAAAAAAAGGCAAACAGAAAACAAAGAGTAAAATGACAGACAAGTCAAAATATATCAATAGTTATGTTAAATGTAAACAGATTAAACATTAGAATCAAATGGCATAAGTTGCAAGAGTCAACTTTAAAAAGTAAGATACAACTGACAGATTCCAACAAGAGATGCACTTTAAATTCAAATGTGTAATTAGTTGTGATAAAATGATGAAAAGTGATATACTGTGTAAACGGTATGCATACAAGAGCTGGACTTACTATAATATAATAATATCAGATAAAATGAACTTTAGGAGAAGGAGTTTACTAAAGCCCTAGAGGGATATGTCATAATGATAAAAGGGGCAAGCCAGTAGGAGAAGGAGTTTACTAAAGCCCTAGAGGGATATGTCATAATGATAAAAGGGGCAAGCCAGTATGAGTAATAATTACAAATATATATTCATATAATAGGAGGGCCACAAAATACATGAAGCAAAAACTTATGAAATTAAAAGGGGAAATAGACAAATCAACACTGATAGTTGAAGGTATTAATACTCTTTTCTCAATATTTGAGAGAACAAATATACAGATAATCAGTAAGCGTAAAATATGAGAAAAACAGGCCAGGCACGGTGGCTCACGCCTGTAATCCGAGCACTTTGGGAGGCCGAGGTGGGTGCATCACGAGTTCAAGAGATCGAGACCATCCTGGCCAACATGGTGAAACCCTGTCTCTACTAAAAATACAAAAAATTAGCTGGGCGTGGTGGTGCATGACTGTAGTCCCAGCTACTTGGGAGGCTGAGGCAGGAAAATCGCTTGAACTTGGGAGGTGGAGGTTGCAGTGAGCCGAGATCGCGCCACTGCATTCCAGCCTGGTGACAGAGCAAGACTCCGTCCCACCCCCCCGCAAAAAGGGGAAAAACAATATTAACCAATTAACCTTATTAACAATTATAGAACCCTCTACCCAATGATAAGAGAATAACATCAAGTAAAATATATATGGAACATTCACAAAGTTAGACCATTTAAAAAAATATATGGAACATTCACAAAGTTAGACAATTTTCTGGACCACAAAGCTAGACTCAATAAAATTTTAAAAATTCAAATCATTCATGGTATATTTTCCAAACACTACAAATTAAATTATAAATCAATTACAGAAATAGATCTTGGAAATCTTTAAATTTCAGAAATTAAACAATACACTTCTAATAATATTCCTTAGACATAAAAAGAAAGCAAAAGGGAAATTAGAAAATATAAATGAATTTAAAATAAAAATACCAGAAGATGGCTGAATATGAACAGCTCCAGTCTGCAGCTCCCAGTGTGATCAATGCAGAAGACAGGTGATTTCTGCATTTCCAACTGAGGTACCTGGCTCATCTCACTGGGACTGGTTGGACAGTGGGTGCAGCCCATGGAGGGCAAGCTGAAGCAGGGTGGGATGTCGCCTCAACTGGGAAGTGCAAAGTGTCGGGGGATTTCCCTTTCATAGCCAAGGCAAGCCAAGACAGACTGTACCAGAAAAAACGGGACACTTCTGCCCAAATACTGTGCTTTTCCCGTAGTCTTAGCAATGAGCAGACCAGGAGATTCTCTCCTGTGCCTGGCTCTGTGGGTCCCATGCCCATGGAGCCTTGCTCACTGCTAGCGCAGCAGTCTGAGATCGACCTGCGAAGCTGCAGCCCAGCAGGGGGAAGGGTCGTCTGCCATTGCTGAGGCTTGAGTAGGTAAACAAAGTGGCCAGGAAGCTTGAACTGGGCGGAGCCAACTGCAGCTCAGCAAGGCCTACTGCCTCTATAGTTCCACCTCTGTGAGCAGGGCATAGGTGAACAAAAGGCAGCAGAAACATCTGCAGACTTAAACGTCCCTGTCTGACAGCTCTGAAGAGAGCAGTGGTTCTCCCAGCATGGCATCTGAGCTCTAAGAACGGACAGACTACCTCCTCAAGTGGGTCCCTGACCCCTGTGTAGCCTAACTGGGACACACCTCTCAGCAGGGGCTGAAAGACACCTCATATAAGTGGGTGCCCCTCTGGGACGAAGCTTCCAGAGGAAGTATCAGGCAGCAATATTTGCTGTCCTGCGATATTTACTGTTCTGCAGCCTCCGCTGGTGATACCCAGGCAAACAGGGTCTGGAGTGGACCTCCAGCAAACTCCATCAGACCTGCAGCTGGGGGACCTGACTGTTAGAAGGAAAACTAACAAACAGAAAGGAATAGCATCAACATCAACAAAAAGAACAACCACACCAAAACCCCATCTGTAGGTCACCAACATCAAAGACCAAATGTAGATTAAACCACAAAGATGGGGAGAAACCAGAGCAGAAAAGCTGAAAATTCTAAAAACCAGAGCACCTCTTCTCCTGCAAAGTATTGCAGCTCCTCGCCAGCAACGGAACAAAGCTGAATGGAGAATGACTTTGACAAGTTGACGGAAGTAGGCTTCAGAAGGCCAGTAATAACAAACTTCTCCAAGATAAAGGATTATGTTCTAATCCATCACAAGAAGCTAAAAACTTTGAAAAAAGGTTAGATGAATGGCTAAATAGAATACACAGTGTAGAGAAGACTTTAAATGACTTGATGGAGCTGAAAACCACAGAACGAGAACTTCATAACACATGCATAGCTTCAATAGCTGATTCCCTCAAGTGGAAGAAAGGATATCAGTGATTGAAAATCAAATTAATGAAATAAAGAGAGAAGACAAGTTTAGAGAAAAAAGAGTAAAAAGAAATGAACAAAGCCTCCAAGAAATATGGGACTATGTGAAAAGACCAAATCTACGTTTGATTGGTGTACCTGAAAGTGACTGGGAGAACGGAACCAAGTTGGAAAACACTCTTCAGGATATTATCCAGGTGAACTTCCCCAACCTAGCAAGGCAGGCCAACATTCAAATTCAGGAAATACAGAGAACACCACAAAGATAATCCTCGAGAAGAGCAACCCCAACACACATAATTGTCAGATTCACCAAGGTTGAAATGAAGGAAAAAGAATTAAGGGTAGGCAGAGAGAAAGGTCAGGTTACCCACAAAGGGAAGCCCATCAGACTAACAGTGGATCTCTTGGCAGAAACCCTACAAACCAGAAGAGAGTGGGGGCCAATATTCAACATTCTTAAAGGAAAGAATTTTCAACCCGGAATTTCATATCCAGCCAAACTAAGCTTCATAAGTGCGGTAGAAATAAAATCCTTCACATAGAAGCAAATGCTGAGACATTTTGTCACCACCAGGTCTGCCTTACAAGAGCTCCTGAAGGAAGCACTAAACATGGAAAGGAACAACCAGTACCAGCCACTGCAAAAACATGCCAAATGGTAAAGACCATCTATTCTATGAAGAAACTGCATCAATTAATGGGAAAAATAACCAGCTAACATCATAATGACAGGGTCAAATTCACACATAACAATATTAACCTTAACTGTAAATGGGATAAATGCTCCAATTAAAAGACACAGACTTGCAAATTGGATAAAAAGTCAAGACCCATCAGTGTGCTGTATTCAGGAGACCCATCTCACATGCAGAGACACACATAGGCTCAAAATAAAAGGATGGACGAAGATCTACCAAGCAAATGCAAAGCAAAAAATGCAGAGGTTGCAATCCTAGTCTCTGATAAAACAGACTTTAAACCAACAAAGATCAAAAGAGACAAAGAAGACCATTACATAATGGTAAAGGGAACAATTCAACAAGAAAAGCTAACAATCCTAAATATATATGCACCCAATATAGGAGCACCCAGATTCATAAAACAAGTCCTTAGAGACCCACAAAGAGACTTAGACTCCCACACAATAATGGGAGACTTTAACACCCCACTGTCAATATTAGACAGATCAATGAGACAGAAGGTTAACAAAGATATCCAGGACGTGAACTCAGCTCTGCACCAAGCAGACCTAATAGACATCTACAGAACTCTCCACCCCAAATCAACAGAATATACAGTCTTCTCAGCACCACATCACACTTATTCTAAAATTGGCCACATAATTGGAAGTAAAGCACTCCTCAGCAAATGTAAAATAACAGAAATCACAACAAACTGTCTCTCAGACCACAGTGCAATCAAATTAGAACTCAGGATTAAGAAACTCACTCAAAACTGCACAACTACATGTAAATTGAACAACCTGCTCCTGAATGACTACTTGGTAAATAATGAAATGAAGGCAGAAATAAAGATGTTCTTTGAAACCAATGCGAACAAAGAAACAACATACCAGAATCTCTGGGACACATTTAAAGCAGTGTGTAGAGGGAAATTTATAGCACTAAATGCCCACAAGGGAAAGCGGGAAAGATCTAAAACTGACACCCTAGCATCACAATTAAAAGAACTAGAGAAGCAAGAGGAAAGAAATTCAAAAGCTAGCAAAGGCAAGAAATAACTAAGATCAGAGCAGAACTGAAGGAGATAGACACACAAAAAACCCTTCAAAGAATCGATGAATCCAAGAGATGTTTTCTTAAAAAAGATCAACAAAATTGATAGACCACTAGCAAGACTAATAAAGAAGAAAAGAGAGAAGAATCAAATAGACACAATAAAAGATGATGAAGGGGATATCACGACCGATCCCACAGAAATACAAACTACCATCAGAGAATAATATAAACACCTGCATGCAAATAAATTAGAAAATCTAGAAGAAATGGATAAATTCCTGGGCACATACACCCTCCCAAGACTAAACCAGGAAGAAGTTGAATCTCTGAATAGACCAATAACAGGCTCTGAAATTGAGGCAATAATTAACATCCTACCAACCAAAAAAAGTCCAGGACCAGACGGATTCACAGCCAAATTCTACCAGAGGTACAAAGAGGAGCTGGTACCATTCCTTCTGAAAATATTCCAATCAATAGAAAAAGAGATAATCCTCCCTAACTCATTTTATGAGGCCAGCATCATCCTGATACCAAAGCCTGGCAGAGACACAAGAAAAAAAAGAATTTTAGACCAATATCCCTGATGAACAGTGATGCAAAAATTCTCAATAAAATACTGGCAAATCGAATCCAGCAGCACATCAAAAAGCTTATCCACCACGATCAGGTTGGGTTCATCCCTGGGATGCAAGGCTGATTCAACATATGCAAGTCAATAAATATAATCCATCATGTAAACAAATCCAATGATAAAAACCACATGATTATCTCAATAGATGCAGAAAAGGCCTTTGACAAAATTCAACAGCCCTTCATGCTACAAACACTCAATAAACTAAGTATTGATAAAATGTATCTCAAAATAATAAGAGCTATTTATGACAAATCCACAGCCATTATCATACTGTATGGGCAAAACCTGGAAACTTTCCCTTGGAAAACTAGCACAAGACAAGGACGTCCTTTCTCACCACTCGTATTCATCATAGTGTTGGAAGTTCTGGCCAGGGCAATCAGGCAGGAGAAAGAAATAAAAAGTATTCAATTAGGAAAAGAGGAAGTCAAATTGTCCCTGTTTGCAGATGACATGATTGTATATTTAGAAAACCCCATCATCTCAGCCGAAAACCTCCTTAAGCTTATAAGCAACTTAGCAAAGCCTCAGGATACAAAATCAATGTGCAAAAATTGCAAGCATTCCTATTCACCAATAACAGACAAACAGAGAGCCAAATCATGGGTGAGCTCCCATTCACAATTGCTACAAGGAGAATAAAATACCTAGGAATCCAACCTACAAGGGATGTGAAAGACCTCTTCAAGGAGAACTACAAACCACTGCTCAACGAAATAAAGGAGGACACAAACAAATGGAAGAACATTCCATGCTCATGGATAAGAAGAACCAATGTCTTGAAAATGGCCATACTGCCCAAGGTAATTTATAGATTCAATGCCATCCCCATCAAGCTACCAATGACTTTCTTCACAGAAGTGGAAAAAACTACTTTAAAGTTCATATGGAATCAAAAAAGAGCCCACATTGTGAAGACAATCCTAAGCCAAAAGAACAAAGCTGGAGGCATCACGCTACCTGACTTCAAACTATACTACAAGGCTACAGTAACCAAAACAGCATGGTACTGGTACCAAAACAGATATATAGAACAATGGAACAAAACAGAGGCCTCAGAAATAATACCACACATTGACAACCACCAGATCTTCGACAAACCTGACAAAAACAAGAAATGGGGAAAGGATTCCCTATTTAATAAATGGTGCTGGGAAAACTGGCTAGCCATATGTAGAAAGCTGAAACTGGATTCCTTTCTTACACCTTATACAAAAATTAATTCAAGATGGATTAAAGACTTAAATGTTAGACCTAAAACCATAAAAGCCCTAGAAGAAAACCTAGGCAATACCATTCAGGACATAGGCATGGGCAAGGACTTCATGACTATAACACAAAAAGCAATGGCAACAAAAGCCAAAATAGACAAATGGGATCTAATTAAACTAAAGAGTTTCTGCATAGCAAAATAAACTACCATCAGAGTGAACAGGCAACGTACAGAATGGGAGAAAACTTTTATAATCTACCTATCTGACAAAGGGCTAATATCCAGAATCTACAAAGAACTTAAACAAATTTACAAGAAAAAAATAAACAATCCCATTAAAATTGGGCAAAGGATATGAACGGACACTTCTCAAAAGAAGGCATTTATGCAGCCAACAGACACATGAAAAATGCTCATCATCACTGATCATCAGAAAAATGCTAATCAAAATCACAATGAGATTCCATCTCACACCAGTTAGAATGGCGATCATTAAAAAATCAGGAAAGAACAGATGCTGGAGAGGATGTGGAGAAATAGGAACACTTTTACACTGCTGGTGGGAGTGTAAATTAGTTCAACCATTGTGGACAACAGTGTGGCAATTCCTCAAGGATCTAGAACTAGATATACCATTTGAGCCAGCAATCCCATTACTGGGAATATACTGAAAGGATTATAAAACATGCTACTATAAAGGTACATTTACACGTATGTTTTCTGTAGCACTGTTCACAATAGCAAAGAGCTGAAAACAACCTAAATGTCCATCAGTGATAGACTGGATTAAGAAAATGTGGCACATATACACCATGGAATACTATGCAGCCATAAAAAGGGTGAGTTCATGTCCTTTGTACTGACATGGATGAAGCTAGAAACCATCACTCTCAGCATACCATCACAAGGACAAAACCAAACACCGCATGTTCTCACTCATAGGTGGGAACTGAACAATGAAAACACTTGGACACAGGGTGGGGAACATCACACACTGGGGCCTGTCAGGGGGTGGGGGGCTTGGGGAGAGATAGCATTAGGAGAAATACCTAATGTAAATGATGAGTTGATGGGTACAGCAAACCAGCATAGCACATGTATACCTGTGTAACAAACCTGCACATTGTGCACATGTACCTTAGAACTTAAAGTATAATAAAGATAAAATAAAATATAATATAATACCAAAATATATTAGACGAAACCAAAGCAGTGCATAAAAGGAAATGTATAGCATTAAATTCTTATATTAGAAAAAGAATAAAGATGTAAAACCAGACATCTAAGTTGCACCCAAAGAAAATTAAATTAAACCCAAAGTTAGTTAAGAAATTTTTCATTAATGAAAAAGAAAAAACAAACAGAAAAGCAGTAGAAAAAATTGGTGATACAGAAGCTGGTTCTTTGAATAGGTTGACAAAGTTGATAAATCACTAGCCAGCTTAATTTAAAAAAATAAGAGAAGAAGCAATTTAACGGTATTAGGAATGGAAAAGGATATAACTATAGTTCCTACAGACTTTACAGAAAAATAAGGAAATAGATGAGCTACTTTGTGTCAATATCTTGAAAATCTAGATGAAATGGGCCAATACTTTGAAAGTCATAGATTTCAAAAAGTGAAATTAACACCATAAATGGCAACTACACACACACTTAAATGGCTAAAAATTTACAAAGCTGACAATATCAAGTTTTAGCATGGATGTGGAACAGCTGCGACAATGACACTACCGGTGGGGATATACAATGTTACAACCACTTTGAGGAAACTGGTAGTTGTTCTGTGAAGCTAAGCATCCATTTACTATGTTGTCCTGCAATTGTACTCCTAGATATTTATCAAAAAAAAAAAAGTAAAACACATGTCCACACAAAGACTTATAAACAAATGTTCACAGACGTTTTATTCATAACAGCCCAAAAGTAAAAACAAAATTTCATTACCAAGTGCCGGCATTAAAAATTTGTGGCATACAACGGATACTTCTTGGAAATAAAAAGGAACAAATATCTTATACGTGATGTGGATGAATCTCAAAACACACACTAAAAAAAGAGCCAGAACCAGATACAAAATAATACATACTATTTGATTCCATCCATATGAGGCTGGAGGAAACAATTATAATTCCTAGCGACCAAAAGCAACTTAGTGGTTAGCGAGAGTTGATGTAAAATTAATGGAGAAATGGCACAAGCAAACTTTTTATGGGGACAAAAATGTCCAAATTTTATTGTAGTTGTTATTGTTTCAGAGATGATGTTTGCCCAAAGCCATCCATCTGTGCATTTAAAATGCATGCATTTTATTGTATATAAATTATTCCTCAATAAAGCTGATTTTTAAAATAAATAACATTTTCCTAATGAATGAGATTTAGCATCCTTTCTATTTTTTAAAACTTTTTGAAATTTCTCTACTGTGGGCTCTCTATGTATGTTTTGCCTATTTTTTCCTACGAGAACGTAGAGCTTTTTTCTTATCCATATATAGGAGTGCTTGATATATTTAGAACTTTTTTTCTGTTATCTGCTGTATTTTTGTTGTTATTTTCTAGACTTGTCATTAATCTTTTCACTCAATATAGTGGTTTTTAAAACATTTTAGATTATGACATGCTTCTGATTCAAATAGTCAATGGCTGCTCTTTGCCCACAGATTAAACTTGGAAAACAGTACGTCATAACAGTTATGAGTGTAAGCTTTGGTATAAGAAGCACCTGACTTCAAAGCCCAATCTCTCCACTTTCCTGTACTCTCTCTTTTGGAAAGTTATTTGACTTCTCTAAGCCTCCACTTTATTACTTGTTTATTCAGAATAATATCATTGGAATTATTTTGAAATAATGTTGATCGGTCTAAAAGAAACTTTCATGTTTGAATGTCATTGTTAAATATTAACAATGTTATGTAGTTTAATCATATATATGTGCATCTGTGTTCAAATCATATATATATGTGTATGTGCATATATATGGGAATGTGTATATATATATATACACATATATATACATACACCCACACAAGTATATATATTATATAATGATGGCACACAATACTAGGAATATTATAACTTTTTTTAAGTGGTAACTTTGTTATTTATAAAAACCTGCTACTGATGTTGTCAGTTAAGACCCTCCATGATCTGAATAAAATTATCTTTTAAATCAGTATTTTCAGCCAGGCATAGTGCTTAATGCCTGTAGTCCCAGTACTTTGGGAGGCTGAGGCAGAAGGATTACTTGAGGCCAGGAGTTTGAGACCAGCCTGGGCAACATAATGAGACCCCATATTTACAACAATACTATAAGAACTAGCTGGGTGTGGTGCCACCCACCTGTAGACCCAACTATTCTTGAGGCTGAGTTGGGAGGATCACCTGAGCTGAGAGTTTCTGGCTGCTATGAGCTATGATCTCAGCCATGCACTCCAGCCTGGATGACAGAGTCAGATCATGTCTCATTAAAAAAAAAAAATCAGTATTTTTACTACTTCACACATCCCAGTTTTGGTCACCATATATTGCATCTGCTTTCTATCTCTGTATCTTTGTGTATACCTTCTTATGCATAATGCCCATCTTTACTTCTCTGCAGTCCCAAATTGCTTGACATCCTTCACAGCCCAGCTCAGATGCTACCTTCTCCAAAAACTACCCTGATATGAGTATCTTCCCATTTGTAGTCTCATAACATTTATTTCTTTCTTCTTACAAATTCTTTCTTTCACTGTAGTACATTCTGCATATCTATCGCTTTCTTTTTGATGCAATCATCAATTTTCTAGATACAGAGACTGTGTGTTGCTCTTTTCTGTTGTTTTTGAAATGCTCAGTAAATATTTTCTGTGTTTATTTGTGTTCCATTGCGTTAAGTCAAGTTTATTTATTCATTCAACAAATACATATTTGAGATCTGGTGTGAATCAAATGGCGAAATAAGACACCATTCGTATTATATGTACAAATCATAATAAATGTTATGAAGGCAAAAAAAGAAAAACTAATGTAAGGGAGTTTAGTAGGCAGCCAGTAAGATGGGCTTCGATGATTCTCACCTCCTGACATGCATGAAATTGTGGCAAAACACTTCTAACAAATAAAATTTGGCAGAAGAGATGGGACATCTCTTTTGAGACTAGGTTATAAAAAGATGGCATCATCTATATGTAAATAGCCAACAGGTATATGAAATCCTTAGAGAAGCGCAAATGAAAACCATGATGCTATATCCTCTCACCCCAGTTAAAATGGCTTTTACAAAAAAGACAGGCAGTAACAGATACTGATGAGGATGGAAAGAAAGGGGAATGCTGTACACGGTTGATGGGAATGTGAATTGCTACAGCCACTATGAACAACAGTATGGAGTTTCCTCAAAAAGACCTAAAAATAGAACTTTGCATGCTTCGGCAATTCTACTAGTGAATTTATATCCAAAAGAAAGAAAATCAATATATCAAAGAGATACCTGCATGGCCATGTTTATTGCAGCACTATTCACAATAGCCAAAATATCGAATCAACCTAAGTGACCATCAACAGATGAATGGATAAAGAAATGTGGTATATATACACAATGGGATATTATTCAGCCATAGCAAAGAATGAAATTCTGTCCTTTGCAGCAACATAGATGGAACTGGGGGCCATTCCATTAAATGAAATAAGCTAAGCACAGAAAGAAAAGTATCGCATGTTCTCACTCACATGTGGGAGCTAAAAAATGTGAATCTCATGAAGATAGGGTAGATTGGCAGTTACCAGGGATGGAGGTAAGAGGAGGGAGGAATAAAGAGAGAAAAATAAATATAAATGTTTTTATTACCACTGAACTGTACACTTAAAAATGGTAAATTATCGGCCAGATGCGGCGGCTCACGCCTGTAATCCCAGCACTTTGGGAGGCCAAGGTGGGTGGATCACAAGGTCAGGAGTTCGAGACCAGCCTGGCCAACATGGTGAAACCCCATCTCTACTAAATATGCAAAAATTAGCCAGGCGTGGTGGCAGGCACCTGTAATCCCAGCTATTCGGGAGGCTGAGGCAGGAAAATCGCTTGAGCCTGGGAGGCAGAGGTTGCAGTGAGCCCAGATCATGCCACTGCACCCCAGCCTGGGCAACAGAGCGAGACTCCGTCTCAAAAAGAGAAAAATTGTATATTATCTGTGTATATTTTATTTCAAAATTTTTTTTTTAAGTTTGCACTTTCTATCTTGAGTAAAGAAAAGGGAACACTCACAAACTATTGGTGGAAATGTCAATTAGTTTACCCCCTATGGAAAGGAGTTTAGTAATTTCTCAAAGAACCAAAAACAGAACTGCTATTTGACCCAGAAATCCAGTTACTGGGTGTATACCCAAAGGAATATAAATTGTTCAACCAAAAAGACACATGCACACATATGTTCATCACAGCAATATTCACAGTAGCAAAGACACAGAATCAACCTAGATGCTCATCAACAGTGGAGTCGATAATGTGGTACATGTATACCATGGAATACTACACAGCCATCAAAAAGAGAAGGATCATGTTCTTTGCAGCAACTTGGATGCAACTGGAGGCCATTATCCTAATCAAATTAATGCAAAAACAGAAAACCAAATACCACATGTTCTCACTTATAAGCAGGAACTAAACATTGGGTACACATGGACGTAAGGATAGGAAAAATAGACTCTGGAACTCCAAAATGGGGGAGGGAGGGAGGGAGGGAAGAGGCAAGTGTTGAAAAACTATTCATTGGGTATTATGCTTACTATTTGGGTGATGGGTTCCATAGAAGCCTAAACTTCAATATCATGAAATGTGTACCTATGTAACTAACCTGCACGTATACCTTCTGAATGTAAAATTCAATAATCAAATAGATAAGAAACAAATCAGAATGAGGATAGATTTCTGAAAAGGATTTTTTGTTCACCTTCTAAGGTTTGGTAATTTGTAATGCAGCAATAGGTGGTTAATACAAAACATCAACATATTTTAAAGATGGTAGTTACAAAAAGCTTCTTGGAAGAAAGTGACATTTCAACGGAACCCTGAATGATAAGAAGAATATTCTCTGGGAAGAATATTCCAACCAGTGGTGATATCTGAAAGAAAGGTTACTTGAAAGCAGAAGCAAGGCCAGAGTCTGTGGGTGTGGGATCAAGGGTGAGGGCAGCATGCTGGGAGGTTTTCGCATCGGTCAAAGTCAGAGAAACTGTGGTATATCTGTATGATGGAATACTACTCAGCCACAAAAAGGAATGAATTAACAGCATTTTCAGTGACCTGGATGGGACTGGATAATATTATTCTAAGTGAAGTAACTCAGGAATGGAAACCTAAACATCATATGTCCTCACCGATCTGTGGGAGCTAAGCTATGACGCAAAAGCATAAGAGGGATATAATGAACTTTGGGGACTTGGGGGGAAGGGTGGGGAGTGGCGAGAGATAAAAGACTACAAATAGGGTGCAGTGTATATTGCTCGGGTAATGGGTGCACCAAAATCTCACAAATCACCCCTAAAGAACTTACTCATGTAACCAAATACCTCCTGTACCCAATAACCTATGGAAAAATTAAATAAATAAATAAATAAATAAATAAATAAATAAATAAATAAATAAATAAATAAATAAAATAGCAAAAAAAGGGTCAGATCCCTCCAAGAGCTTCCAGGCTATCATCCTAAAAGTTTGGACCTTATTAAATGTTCACCCATAAGCCATCACATGATTTATTATAAGTGAATAATGAATAATGTAGAATTTAAGGTTTCTTTTGTTTTGTTTTGTTCTGTTTGTTTGTTTGTTTGTTTGTTTGAGACAGAGTCTTGCTCTGTTGCCCAGGCTGGAATGCAGTGGCTGAATCTTGGCTCACCACTACCCCTGCCCCCAGGGTTCCAGAGGTTCCCCTGCCTCCGCCTGCCGAGTAGCTGGGATTACAGGCACCTGCCACCATGCCTGGCTAATTTTTGTATTTTTAGTAGAGACAGGGTTTTGCCATGTTAGCCAGGCTGGTCTTAAATGCCTGACCTCAGGTGATCCACCTGCCTCGGCCTCCCAAAGTGCTGGGATTACAGCCATGAGCCACCGTGCCCAGCCAGAATTTAAGAGCTTTTTCCTGGAAAATGGTTGTGAGTGGGCCAGATTAAAAACAGGGTGAACCATCGGCGGAGTACTACACTGGCTTAGGCAAAAGATATCATGGCGTGGGCCAAGATCATTTGTGTAAGAAGGAAAGAAAATAAGTTTTAAATTTATTTTGTAGGTAGAATCCATAACCATCAAGCATATTTATTGGCCATTGAGTTGAACTGAATTCAAAATAATTGAAGTTTTTAATGTAGTGGCTAAAACTCAACAAAAGGCTGATAGCTCGGACTTCAGAATTTTGTCCTTGAGTTTTCAATGTAGGGAAGAAGAAGTAAAAACCAGGAACAGTGGGTAGAGCCTCATCAACTGATATTTGTCAACTGATCTTAAGCAGTGAAATTTCATGCTTTCCTTCCTACTTTTTGTTGATCTGAGCTTTCCCGTCAATTCTTCTTCTCTGTTTGTCGCATGTCCTTAATTCCTAGACACTTGTAATCTTCATTTCCTAATCTCAAAAAAAGAATCTAATTAGATGTAACTTCACAGCCTAGATACTTGTAGTATCTAGACACCATGTAGTCTTTACTAACCTGTGCCTACTAAGGTGAAACTGAAAATATTTAATAACCAATATGGCATGGGCATAAAAGAATGATAAAAACTGGTGTGGCTGCTCAACTAGTGTGCAATGAAAAATCAGCCTTAATTCTCATATTGACCAATTGATAAAAAATCTCTTTCTCTAACCAGAATCTTTTTTTTCATCTACCAAAATTTGCTCAAATATCTCTTCCATATACCCTTCTTTGACCTCTAGGTTCTTCATAACTACTGGAACAAACTCTTGCATTAGGTATTACTTTGTATCTACATTATCTGTGTACATGACCATGGACCAAAGTCTTTCCCACAGATTTCCAGTACCTAAGCCCAGTGTAAATAGGCCTCCATGATACCGATCTCAATCTCTCTCTCCAGTCTCCACCTTTACAATGTTTATCCACACACCAGAACCTCCTTTCCATCCTCATCAACTTGATGGGTTCTTCTCAATCTAGCCACCTGAGCTGACAATCTATTCACCTTTATGCCTCTATATCTGTTTCTTTCACAGAAGGTTTTCTTTGCCAACCCGACCTCCATATTCAACTTCTACTCATCCTTAAAAGCCCGACTCCAATGTTAAGCTCTGGGAAGACTTTTTTGATTACTACCTCTAACAAAGTCACTAGCCTCTTCAGCTTATATTCAACTTTTTCTTGAGCATAACTGTACTCATTTTATATACAATTTTGTGCACACACACACACAGAAAACACATATATACATGTGTGTATGTATGTGTGTGTATATATATATATTTTTTTTCTGTTGTGTGGTTATAAAATAGTTATCAACATATGTATTTGTCTCCCACACTACAGTGCTACAGTGTGAGCCTCCAAAGGAAGAAATTATGACTAATATCTTTATCCTCCATACATCAATAGTTACCTAAAGCAGTGTTTGTTGAATGAATGAATGAATGGAAGGAGGAAAGAAGAGGGAGGAGAAGAGAAGGAGGGAGGCAGCATTTAAAGGAGAGACATGGGAAAACTTGGAACAAAAGTTATATTTCTGCAGTTGTTGCCTGCATGAGAGTTTCCTAAGAAAATCTTTGTGTCCATGTCTACGTGGCTATCAAGGCTTTCCTCTAGCATCCTGTTGTGATTGGCTGCACCATTTCATCCCAACCTTTAGCTGAAGCGCAGGTCAGGACTGACTGTGGCCTGGACCTGCAGGACAGATGAGTGGGCTCCTCAGCACATCAGACTGAATGTCTTAGGAGAAAAAGGGCTCGTTAGGGAGTATAGAGGAATATCCAGGTGGCTCAGTGCTATTCCTCCTCCTCCACATATTGTGTCATTTCCTAGGAGTGGTACTGGCATGGGGACTGGAGGAAGAAGAGGGATCTCTTTTCAGCACCAGAGGTAGTGATGTTCTTGCCCTGCCTGTCCTATCTAGAGAACTAGGTCAAGAAAAGACCCTCCTTTGAAAGAAAATGAGAGGTTTGCACAAGCACTGAAATCCTCTTAGAAGTTAGGAGCTGCTAAGTCACCATGTGAGCATGGGAGGTGCTTCTGACAAAGAAAACAATATCTGCATCTATATTTGGGGCAGTGATTGCAAGATAAAGCAATGAAGGTACAAAAATGACCTGTGATTGACTCTGGGGAAAAGAGAGCAGTTGGTGGTGGTGGGGTGGGCAGTGGACTGCTCCTTTGAAACAGACATCTGCAATAAAAAAGGAACTCTATTTTTTCACCAAAATAGGCTGCTACCTGTCCTGCCACAATTTTGTGAAAAATCCAGAGCAAATCTCTACTCCAGTGGGAAATCAGGTGATGTACACTCAGTTTTTGTTTTTATATTTTGTCAAATATTTCAGATTTTGTTTCAGAAAAATTCTAATGTCAGTAGGTTTTTAGATCACAGGCATATAGGATGGCCTGGAATTGGGCATTGAAGTGTATCCCAAGCTGCTGAGTGTTCTAGACGTTTCTCAAAAATTGCTGTATGTTCCCATTAGTGACATTAAACATTTTTTTCATATACCTGTTGGCCAATTATGTCTTCTTTTGACCATTTGCCAATGTTTTCATGTCCAAAGAGTCAACAAGCCAGAGAACATTTAAATTTGTGCTTATCTTGCATAAATAACTACCATATGCCAGACACAGTACTAGGTCTTTTATGCACTATGTATTTCAATTTACATTTTCAGTCACCCTATGATGTGGATATCATCTTGCATTATTAACAAATAAACTAAAGCTCGGGGTATTCAGGAGATTTGTTCAAGTTACCTTTTTCCCTTTTTCTTTTCCTTTTTCTTTTTTTTTCTGTTTTTTTTTTTTGTTTTTTTTTTTTTGTTGTTTTTTTTTTTGATGGAGTTTCGCTCTTGTTGCCCAGGCTGGAGTGCAGCAGCGCAATCTCGGCTCACCACAACCTCTGCCTCTTGGGTTCAAGCGATTCTCCTGCCTCAGCCTCCCGAGTAGCTGGGATTACAGGCATGGGCCACCATGCCCAGCTACTTTTTGTATTTTTTCTTTTTTAGTAGAGACAGGGTTTCTCCATGTTGGTCAGACTGATCTCAAACTCCTGACCTCAGGTGATCCACCCACCTTGGCCTCCCGAAGTGCTGGGATTACAGGTGTGAGCCACCGTGCCCAGCCCCCAAAGTTACCTTTTTCTAAATGCACTTCTCCTCAGAGTCAGTACCCAGTCTCTGAAGGCAAAACATGCCGTGGACTTTGTTCTTCAGTTGTATAGCAACAAGTGACAGAGAAGACTGAGGTGTACTGAACATATATAGAATTCTTTACCTAGTCCAGGCAACGTGATCTACACAGGTACACACACCCCCACATACATATACATGCATACACACACTTACAAATATAATGGATACATATCCATCCCAATCCACTCCTTAAAGATGAGAACACAGACCTTCATAGAGAACACTGAAACTACCATGCTCATGCAGCCAGTAGGAGGTGAGCTGAGTTCTATTCCAGAATCATCTGGTGCCAGTGTTTTTTGCAAGGCATACCTTCCAAAGATGGTGACTGAGCAGGGTCAGGCTCTGATATTTGTTTATTCAATGTGTCTTTTCCTATTGTTTCTTATAAACAGAACCCCAGCAATGGACCAGTTATTTTCTGTTCAATTTGTCAGACTCCTTAGCACCTTGAATGCCCAATTGAGAGTTCTTGCCAATAAGGTGTAGGTAAAAATCCCTGTTGAGGGCTTCTTTCCCAATAAAAATGAATGATTCCCCCGCTAAAGAAAATGTTATTCCTTCATCTTTTCCCCTTTTCCCCC
The DNA here is from genome assembly GCF_000001405.40 of Homo sapiens. NCBI lineage: Eukaryota > Metazoa > Chordata > Mammalia > Primates > Hominidae > Homo > Homo sapiens. The sequence goes on from NC_000016.10 coordinate 26,435,186, forward strand.
TGATGCCTGGAGATCAAAAACTGTCTTGCAATTCTAAGGATGGGAGCCAGAGGCTGAGAATCATGGCACAGAAAGATAGGAGGAGTCCTAGTACTTTATAACTTCCAAGAACATTTTTACCAGCTTTATAATGCTGATTTCCAGACTTGTTATATGAAGAAAATTTAGATTAGTCAGGTTTTCTAACTGATGCATTACCATAGGGATACGATCCAGATTCTTAACTGTGGCTGTTACTTATCAATTCAGCTGCTTTATTTCCGACCACCGTTCTTGCTAAATCCAGCACCAGTCCCAGTACTTGCCACTATATTCTCCTCCTTCCATATTTTTTTTCTTTAAACAGCTTTATCAACGTATGATGGACACACAATCCATAACTCCCCGAAGATTCCCCATGTTCCTTTGCAATCCCTCCCTCTGTTCCTTTCCACCCTCTCCTCCATTCTCAGCTAACTCCTGATTTGCTTTCTGTCACTATAAATGAGTTTTTATTTTCTAGGAATTTCTATAAATGGAGTACATATGGTCTTTTTTTTTTAGTCTTCTTTCCTTCAGCATAACAATTTTGAGAATCATTCATTTGTTTAATTTTAAATTTTCTTATAGATATATAATATTTGAACATATTTATAGGGTACATGTGGTCTTTTGATGAAAGCGTACAATGTGTAATGATCAAATTTGGGCAGCTGGGATATCTGTAACCTCAAACATTTATTATTTCTTTGTGTTGGGAACATTTCAAATCTATTCTTCTATCTATTTTGAAATATACAAGAATGTTAGCTATAATCAACCTATTGTGCTACTGAGCACTAGATCTTTTATCTAACTGTTTTTTGTACCCATTAAAAGACCTCACTTTATTCCTTCTCCCCTCTAGCCTTCCCAGACTCTGGTAACCACCATTCTATTCATTAATCCATGAGATGAATTTTTTCAGTTCCCACATTTGAGTGAGAACCAGTAATATTTGTCTATGTGTGCCTGGCTTATTTCATTTAACATAATATCCTCTAGTTCCATCCATGTTGTAGCAAATGACAGAATTTTGTTACTTTTCATGCCTGAATAATATTCCATTGTGTGTGTGTGTGTGTGTGTGTGTGTGTGTGTGTGTGTGTATCTCACATATTCTGTACCCATTCATCTGTTGAACATTTTGATGCCATATCTTGGCTACTGTGAATAGTGCTGCAACAAACACGAAGGGTGCAGATATCTCCTCAGTATACTGACACCTTTTCATTTGGATAAATTCCTAGCAGTGTGAACACTGGATCATATAGTAGTTCAATTTTTAGTTTTTTGAGAAACTTCCATGCTATTTTCCATAGTGGCTGTACTAATTTGTATTCCAAGAATAGTCTATGAGTGTTCTCTTTTTTTCTGTATCTTTGCCAGCATTTGTTATTCTCCGTCTTTTTTATAATAGCCGTTTTAACTGGAGTGAGATGATATCTCATTGTGGGTTTGATTTGCATTTTCCTGATGATTAGTAACGTTGAACATTTTTTCATATACCTGTTGGCCATTTATATGTCTTCTTTTGAGAAATGTCTATTCAGATATTTGCCCATTTTTTATTCAGCTTATTATCATTTTTGCTGCTGAGTTTTTTGAGTTCTTTATATATTCTGGTTATTAATACTTTGTCAGCTGAATAGTTTGAAAATATTTTTTCTTACTGTGTAGGTTGTTTCTTCACTTTGTTAATTGTTTCCTTTGCTATGCTAAAGCTTTTTAGGTTGATGCAATCCCATTTGCCAATTTTTGCTTTCGTTGCCTGTACCTTTAACTCCCTACTCAAGAAATATAAGTCCTACCCAGAGCAATTAGACAAGAGAAAGAAAGGGCATCTAATTTGGAAAGAAAGAAGTCAAATTGTCCTTGTTTATAGGCAATATAATCTTATATATAGCAAAACCTAAAGACTCCACTAAAAACTATTAGAACTAATGAACAAATACAGTAACATTGCAGGATAAAAAAATCAACATACAAAATCAGTAGGGTTTCTATCTGCCAACTGTGAACAACTTGAAAAAGAAAATAAGAAAGCAATCCCATTTATAATATCTAGAAAAAAATACCTAGGAATAAGCTTAGCCAAGGAAGTGAAAGATCTCTATAATAAAAAATATAAAAGATTGATGAAAGAAATTGAAGAGAACATCAAAAAATGGAAAGATATCTTATGTTCATCGACTGAAAAAACTGATATTGCTAAAATGTCCATATTACTCAAAGCAATATACAGATTCAATGCAATTTCTATTAAAATATCAATGACTTTCTTCACAGAAATAGAAAAACAATACTATAATTTCTATAGAACCACAAAAGACTCAGAATAGTCAAAGCAATCCTGAGTAAAAAGAACAAAGTGAGAGATATCACATCGACTTACAAAGTACGCTACAAAACTATAGTAACCAAAACAGCATGGTACTGGCATAAAAATAGACAGCCAGACCAATGGAACAGAATAGAGGATCCAGAAATAAATTCACACATTTACAATCAACCCATTTTTGACAAAGCTACTCCCTGTATTTTCATGATCCATCCCTTGCTTCATTTAAGTTCTGATTCTATGTCACCTTATAAAGTCATCACTTGATCATTTTATTTCAGTAGTCTCTACTACACTATACCCCTTACTCTACCTTTATTCTTCATTGAAGTTATCATTACAAAAATAATGTTATAAATGTATACATTTATTTATTGTTTATCTCTTCCACTAGAAGTCGAATTCTTTTTTGTCCAGAAACCCCTGGTACATAGTGGCTAACCAACAACTACTTGTTGTACCTGTAAGTGAATGTTCAACCCAATTCCATATGCTTTGCATAGAAAGAATGTAGCAGAAAGTATTCTGAATAAAGAATACCTGATTGAAGTCTTTGCTTTGCCACTTACTGGCTGTGTGGCCATTAGCAAGTTACATTATCTCTCACTGCCTATTTTTTTTATCTGTAAAATAGAATAAATAATATTAAATTATCTCATGATTTGAAATTGTTAGATGAGTGCCTGGTATATACTAACCCAGAAAATGATGACTATTATGATGATTAGAACCATTGTTATTATAACAATTATCATTTCTAAACATTTATTTTCTCAACAATCATATTAAGATAGTAATATGCTTTTTCCCCTCAAAAGTTATGGCAATCAAAAGAGGATATGTACATGTTGTTTCTATATTTTAAAATGCTGAACTATTATTAGGTGTCTTTACTGCATTAGTTTCCCAGGGCTGCTATAACAAAGTGTGACAAACTGAATGGCTTAAACAGTAAAAATTTATTGTCTCACAGTTCTGGTGAGAAGGAGTCCCAAATTAAGGTGTCAGTAAAGTTGATTCCTTCTGAGGGTCAGAAGAGAATAATCTGTATCAGGTGTCTTTCCTTGGCTTATAGATGGCCATCTTTTCATTACGTCTCTTCATATCATTTTCCATCTGTGGGTGTCCATGTCAAAATTTCTCCTTTTTATAAGGACACTAATTATATTGGATTAGGTCCTATTTTAATGACTTCATTTTAACATGATTACCTCTGTAAAGACCCTAGTTCCAAGTAAGACCATATACTGAGGTACTGCGGGTTAGGACTTCAACATGTAAATTTGAGGGCACTAGAAAATTCACCTCATAACATGTACCTACACTGAGGTACTTCTCACAAATAAAGTTCATTATCTTTAATTATATAAACTCTGTACTCAATAACTATTTCATTTATTTTTTATGAATTTATACATGTATTGAACTCTATAGAGGAACTGGACCACAAAATACTGTTTCATTTAGAACCACGGAGGAGATCTGGAGCTTTCCAGTCCCTCAGTGTACCACCCCACAAAGCTTGAAAGACACCGATCTAACAGCATCAGATGATATAGATTGACTTGAAGATAAAGAGTGACTTGGCTACGGGAGTACTTGAGTGGTGGTGAAATGACTGAGCCTGTATCTCTACCCAGCTTCCCCTTCTATCTGCAGATGTCCCTGAGGAACAGAGGCAAAGATGCAGTGGGATCTTCTCTAAGTCATTCGTTAATGACAGTGAGAGAGAGACAGGTAACTCATTGTCAGGAATGACCCTAGATTCCAAAGCAACATTGGAAGGTCAGGTAGGTTTAGTGATGATCAACAGAAAACTGTTCTGAAAGATGAGAGGAGACATGAGGGGACTTAATAGGAGATGCCCATAGTTAGATCAGCACCCACTATAATCTTCCACTTCTCCTCTGTCTCATCTCAACGTCTCATCAGTCACTGTATTAGTCTGTTTTCATGCTGCTGATAAAGACATACCTGAGACATACCTGTAATTTACGAAGAAAAAGAGGTTTAATGGACTCCCTGTTCCACATGACTGGGGAGGCCTCACAGTCATGGCAGAAGGTGAAGGGCATGTCTTACATGGTGGCAGGCAAGACAGAATGAGAGCCAAGCAAAAGGGGTTTCCTTTTATGAAATTATTGGATCTCATGAGACTTACTACCATGAAAACCATATGTGGAAAACTGCCCCGATGATTCAATTATCATCTCCCACTGTGTCCCTCCCACAACACATGAGATTACGGGAGCTACAATCCAAGATGAGATTTGGGTGGGGACACAGTCAAACCATGTCAGTCACTAATATGAGCCATGTCTGCCTTTTTAACCGATTTTCTTGGACCTCATCACCTCTTGTTTGGGTTATTCCAAGTGTGTCTTATTTAAAATTCCAAACTTCAATCATGCCAGTCTCTGGGTCTATTCAGGTATGTCACAGCCAGTGGAAATGTTTTAACACCAACTGGTTAAAGTCCACACTCCACAGTCTTTTGCAATAATGTTTCAAATTCCCTTTTCAGTCTCATTCCTTTTTTTCACCTAAATAGCATTCTCTGTCTTGGCCAAGCTGACCTGTCCCTGTCTTCCACATGCATCTTGCACTTTTTGATGTCCTGTTATTCACTGATGCCACAACACCCACCACATTCCTTAGTTCTTCAAGGTCCAGATCTCAAGATGCTTCAAATATTTTCTCTCCTTTCTCTGAACACTAGCACTGATGTGATAGAAGCATGAGCTCGAACATAGACCAGATTCCATAAAATTTCTGGGATATTATATGCCAGACATTCATCTAATCTGGTATTTTCATCCATTGATTAATGAGTTGATTGATTGATTAAATATATGATATTTAGTGAGCATCTACTTGTGAAACACATGCTTAGGAACTGAGGATACAGAGGAAAACAAGACAAATTCACTGCCCTCAAGGCCCTATTGAAAATCATTTATCTGTTGCATGTTTGCCCACGTCCCCCACAATTCTTGCACACAAATTAGCTAGAATGTAAAACATTTAGAGATGGAAATTCTTTCTTTGTGACTAGCCTATGAATTTTCTGAGAGCTAACCCATTATTACTATTATTAACATCATCATCATCATCATCATCACCAATATTTACTGACCTATAACCACATGCCACATCCTATGCTTGATAAACTACTATGTACTTAACCTATATTATGTCATGCAATCCTCACAATAATCCTAAATATTAGAATTATTACTTCTCCCATTTCACATATAAGGGAAATGAGTCACAAAGAATTTAAATTACTTGCAAGAAGCTATGCAGATAGTAAGCAATGGATACAAGCTTCAGACTGAGGCAGTGTGAACTCCACGATGTAGAATTTAAGCAACAATATCTTTACTCCCCCATCGTGACATGGACCTAACACTGTGCAGACACACATTGAGTGTGTATTAGAGTGCTGACTCTTGCATCACACTTCTTGGGTTCAGTCACTGGATTTCTCACTTACCAGCTCTGTGACCTCTTTGGTCTTCAGGCTCCTCACCTGCAAAATTGAAATAATGATAGTAGCTTCCTCAGAGGGTTGTCAGAAGGATCAAATTCCTGAATATACATAAATATTTAGAACAGCACCTGGCAAAAATTTACCATTACTTTGGTTGATAATTATAGGTACCATTAGAAAGGTTCAGAGCATATTTGCAAAGGAACAAACAAACATCTAGCCCAGTGCCTATGCACAGTTTGAACTTAGCAGCAATAAATAAATCTCCAGCCCAGTGCCCAGAGCACAGCAGGGTGTCCAGTAATTGTTTATTGATTGAACAACTGACTGTCAAAAGCCAAGGGACGGTGCTTGTGTGGAAACCTAGGATGAGTTTGCATCGTGCTCTGAACATTGATCTGACTCCACAGGGTGATGGGTCCCCAGCCAGGAAGAATCCAATTTCAATATTGTAAGTGGCACACACGTCCTCTAACCCATCTCCCTTCTGCCTTCCAGCTCCAGGCCTGGAAATGTACTCCCCTCTGCAACACAGCTGGCTGTGTCTGGACACCAGTGACACGCCACATTTAGTTTATCTGATGGCTCTCAAAGTTGCAATTATACCTCCTGAATAAAGAGGGTTATGAAATTAATTAAAGGATGCCAATCTCAAGCAGACTTGCAGAATTTCTGTCGCTGCTTAGGTGGAACAATTCCAAGTGCATCTGCAGCTAGTGAGGCAAGAGGCCTTGCAGCCTGTCCCTCTCCCTCCAAGGGGCGTAACTTGCACTTCTCTTTCTCTAGAGAGAAGTGTCTCACGGCCCTTCTTCTGACCTTGAAAAACTGAGCCAAGGATTGTTGTTTCTATGCTTCACTAAAAGAGAAGCTGAGGCCACGGATGGCTCTGAAGCAGAAAGAGTTGAGATTTCCTTTCAGATCCGGGTTCTTTGTGGGGTAGGCAGAGGAGAGAAGGAAATGTCATCACATCATCATTTTCCAATTCTTCTTTCTTTTAGAGTCCTCATATTGCTTACTAACACATGAAATCCTTAAGGGCAGGGACCAGCTCAGAACCTTGCACAACTATAGCAATGACGAGATGGTGTTTGGCTTGGTCCCAGGGCCTCCAAATGGTCAAATCCCTAGCCAGTTGCCCACTCTGCCATCGATTCAAAAAATGGATATGAGAAAGGAACTCCCCTAGCAAAATCCTTCATATTATTACTCTGAACATAATGACTTCTAGCCCTTAGATATGTACTCCTATCCAAAACCCATTAAAACACAGTATCTGGGAGTAGGACAGACATTTCTATTGTTGTTTCATTCTCATGATTCTGAAGGTCACTTGGAGTTGGAAAGCATTTATGTCAGGATTTTGTTCCAAAAGCTACTGCAAAATTTCAGCGAACTAGACATTACAAGTAGCTCTAAGAGTCAGGAAGCCTAGGTGGTTTAAAAAGGCTGAAGCCTCCAGCTTTAAACACAGTCAGGCAGTGACTCAGGCCCCTTATCTGATATTCACAGATTATCTCAGCCCACAGGATTTACCACTCCAATGGTGAGGTTAGGGAAGAGTGTTTCTCCAAAGGACTGGAAAGGACTGTTTGAGCTACCTTTCTAGAGAGAGAAAATAGCTTCCATCAAGCAGAAGGAAGAACTAGGTCCCTCTCGTATTAACCACAAAAGGGAGGGAAATTTCAGAGTCAAAACAGAGAAGAAAGAAAATCCTAAGAGTGCCCTCAGCTTGGGAATGCAGAGCTTAAACCTTGTCTCTAGGTCACACACTTTGTCCAGAGTTGTATCCTCACACAGGGCTGGCTCGTAGTAAGTTCTCTTGAAAGCCGTGTTAGATAGATAAATAAAAGTCCTGCAAGTAAACATAGCTGTCTTCTGTCCCATTGCATCAAATCCCTATGCTGGTTTAGGGTTAATCTGAAGAGTCAAGTTACTCTCCGATACTACCTAAGCAAGAAGCATCTCAATCTCATACCTCAACCTCTCAACCTCTGTCTCATAAGAGAGGGAAAATGATACAGATAAAAGAACACAAATGGATTGTGGGGTCCAACCACTTTATGTATGACCTTGGGTGAATCACTTAGCTGTGCTATTCCTCGGCTTCATTAGCTGCAGGTTGAGAATAATGGCATGTATCCCACGGTGCTATTGTGGGTGATTTTGCTGAGTTTTCTGCAGTGACTGCACACAATAGATACTCTGTAAATGGCAGCAGTCAAGAGAGTATGTCTCTGGCTGGCTTTTGAGCCTTTGAGTGCAGGGGAGGGTTTTTGCTGGTGGGTTGGACATTTATTAAGCTTTGATTGTCCCCAGGAGACCCTGGAGGGTGCCATGGCTTGAATGTACCCCCTTTAAAATTCAAATGATGTCAGTGTGGTGACATTAAGAAGCAAGGCCTTTAAAATGTGATTAGGCAATGACGACCCATCCTTGTGAATGGGATTAAAGCCTTATAAAAGAGACTTTACTCAGCATTCAGTTCTCTTGCCCTCCACCTTCTGCCATGTGAAAATGCAATGTTCCCTCCCTCTGCACCAACAAGGCACCATCTTGGAAGGAGAGAGCAGCTCTTGCCAGACACCAAACCTGCTAGTGACTTGATCTTGGACTTCCCAGTCAGCAGAACTGTGGAAAATAATTTCTATTCATTGTAAATTACCAAGTCTCAGGTATTTTGTTAATATTAATAGCATACTATGGGCTGGGCACAGTGGCTTACGCCTGTAATTCCAGCACTTCGGCAGGCTGAAGTGGGCGGATCACCTGAGGTCAGGAGTTCTAGACTAGCCTGGCCAACATGGTAAAACCCCATCTCTACTTAAAAAATATAAAAATTAGCCAGGTGTGGTGTCAGACACCAGCTACTCAGGGCACTGAGGCAGGAGAATCACTTGAACCCAGGAGGCAGAGGTTGCAGTGAGCCGAGATCGTGCCATTGCACTCCAGCCTGGGGGACAAGAGCAAGACATCGTCTCAAAAAAAAAAAAAAAAATCATGCTATACATGCTGTTAATAGCAGCACGAAATTAACTAAGACAGAGGACTTTGGTGTCCAGAAATGGTCTTCTTTAGAATAGATGCGGATGCTTAAAAAAATAGAGTTAGAAAGATAAGGTGGGTTCAAGTCCCAAGTATGCCACTTTTTGGCTGTGTGACTTGAGAAATTCCCTTTGCCTTTCTTGGCCTCTGTTTCCCTATGTGCAGAAGTCAGGAGTCAAGTTAGATGATTTCTCATGCACCATCCAAGAGTTTATCATCCTATTCTCCTGTCAGTAGCATAGCTGGCAGACACTTCAAGCTGGGAGGCCGATGGCTGAGGCCTATGCAGGGCTAGAGGACTGTATCTGGCATTGCAAGAAAAGGGAAACCAGAGAAGAAGTTAGAGTGTGGCAATAAAATGAACTAAAGTTATAAGACTGTGGGTGGTTTCAAAGTATTTCTAAATCTATTTTATAATTGCATTATAAACTTTGTATCTTGTTTTAAAATTAGAGGTAGGGAGGGGTAAGCACCACAATATCTAATGCTCAAGGGTGGGCTATGAGTAAGGGCAGATTCAGGGAAGGTGGAGGAGGGTTTTAGAGGGGCTTTGATGAGAAATGGAATTCAAGTGGAGCAATGGAAAAAGCATCACTGGTTTGGCCAGAATACAGGGACAATTCTGAACAATTCTGCCTTGCAGTGTTGGAGGCAGGCCTCACAGACACTGGCCTGTAAGAGGCTTCCACTGAAATTACTCTGTGACCTTAAATAAGCTACAATCCTTCTCTGAGGCTCAGATACCAAACTAGCACAATGAGGGGGGTTGGACTAAATCAGAGCCATTTTCTTCTTCCACAAAGCAGAAGAGATATATGTGTGTGACACAGTCCCACGGGTGCACCTACATTGTGGTGATGTTTTCCTCCCACCGAAGGCTTTCTCAGGGTCATTGGCCTATTCATGTTAGGATTGCTCTGTCTGCGGATTGACAGTGGAAGACAGCGATCGTGGGCAAGGCCTGTCTTTTTGCTACACTGCATTGCTTCCTGTTCTTACTAAATAAATCAAAATAAAAATAAATGAGATATCTATCATTTAACCATAACTTTGAATCTGTGATAATTTATAGAAGAGTAAATACATCAAAATCCATGGAATGTGCAACATCCACCCCAAGGCAATGGTTACGCACCAGGGTGGAGAAGCTCTGGGCAAGAGGATCTCTGAGGGTCTATCAAGCACCCAAGGACACTGTAGGGTGGATGTATCCCACCAGAGCATCTCATAGCCACTACACAGGGGTATTAGGGCATAACAGTCAAGGGGATCAAGGGGACAGGCCCTGGAGTCAGACTGGCTGGTAGTTCTATGAGTGTAACCTCTTCTGTGTCTTAATTTTCTCATCTGTAAAATGGGGATGATAACTAGGAATACTGTGAGGATAAAATGGAATAATGCATGTAAAGCGCTTAGTACAGAGCTTCGTACATGTTAAGTGCACAATATGTGGTAAGTGTTAGTTAATGTCATTCAGATCCTACACATTTCCTGTTATTCATTCAACAAGGATTTACCCAGTGCCTCTGATGAGCCAAGTACTGCTTCGTATTCTGAGCATGTAGCAAAGAACAAGATACAGTTTATGTCTCCCAGAGGTTTACCTTCCAGTGGAGAGAGAGAGGCTAAAAACAAGAAGACCAATTAATAAATCAGATAAGTTTAGATGGCACAAGTGCTCTGATGAGATTAAAGTGCTATAGTGGAAATAAATCAGGTGAGAGTCATGTTACATCAACTGGCTGTGAGGGGGCGACTCCATCTCCTCCCAGCCCTGTACCCAACCCAACCCTTTCCTCTCCTCTCTGCCTCTTCTCTCTGAACCCCTCTCCTGTTATATATTCCTGTAGTCCTGTGTTGGATAAGCTTTGATTCAGTTATTCAGGCATTAAACTTGATATCCATGTGTCCTCACTTGGATTGGAAGTTACAGTGTTAGACTTTCTTGTTGTTCCCTGATATATTTTTTACTCCTAGGACAGTGTTTGGTTTAGAGTAGATACTCAAAAAATATTTGTTGAATGTATGTGCCAAAAATTAAAGGCTTGAATAATCTACTGCTTCTTCTGCTTCTTCACAGTGATAGGAGAAATGCTTGCCCAGCCTCCCTCAGTCTGTCCACCAAGAATTCACAGCCCTTTATCTTATACCACATACTTTTGTGTTTTGCATTACATAATCAAACTAGAAGAGACCACTGAGCCTCTGAGAATCCAACATTGCCTTTATTGTTCGCCACATAAATTTGAGCAAGTCACCTAATCTCTCTAAACATCTGTTTTCTCGTCAATAAAATGGGAAGCTAATTCTGTGTCTTAGTGGGAATTGTCACATGTTTGATGTGAAAGAATGAATTGTAAATTCCTATCAAATGCATGACATTATTACCATGAAAGGCAATTAATGGCCAGAGGAAAATTCTGAATCCCTGAGCAAATGTTTGATAAGAATCACCATATAGCCTCCTTCAGTCCCTGAAGCTCTCCTGTCTCCCTTATATCCTCTGAGGCGCACTCTTCTTTTTGTCCTTAGCCAAACGTTGTGCAGACTTCTTGGGTATGAAAAGAACATTCTGCCTAGAGCTATGATCAGATGACTGAAGTTTTCTGCAAATGAAAGAGCTGGAGTTTGAGGTATTTAGAAGCTCAGAATAAACAGACTAATTGGAGAAATGAAATATCCATTAGTCTAAATGAATATTTCTATAAAGCTGCATGTTAGACATTGATAAAAAGAAACGATTAAATGCAAAATTAACCAAGATTAATTATTTTAATCAAGAGATTAATCACGATTATATCTTTACATTAGTTTGCTCTGCTGATGTTTGCTCAGCAATCTGGGGGAAAATCTGTTCATTTATCACCTTCATGTTTGAAAATCAGCCCATAATTTATACAGTCGCCCATCCATCCTCACTAACCTCTTTGTAAACAGAAGCTCCTGAACAGATAAATAGCATTTGAGAAGAAAATGTATGGGACCAAGGACACAGAGCTTCATGCCAGGGACCAAATTCAAAGCTGAGGAATTAAAAAACAATTATTGGGATACTGGGGCTCAGAAACCCATACCCCAAAATACTGCATTTCAATATGCTGAACTGAAGAAGCCTCAAGTTCTTTGGACCTACCCCATACTCAGTGTCTCTCTCATATAAGCTGAAGTTCCTTTATCTGCTTAGGATCAAGACCCATCAAGGAGAACAATAGGTTTCTCCCCTTTCTGTTTCTCGCTATCACAGGATAAAAGACCAAAAATATAACCATACATGAACAGACCCTGTTTCAAGATAATGACTGTCTCCAAGGACCATTTAAATTCCAAAAAGAATCATTTACAAGTTCATTGCTGTTCCCCAAGATCCAATCATTCTCCCTGGTAATCATTTACTGCCCCTCAATAGAATTCTTCTTCTCCCCGCCCTCACAACCTGTTTCACTGGGATCCAAGCTCCCATTTTTTCTGAAATCTCAAGGTGGTATATATGCTTCCAGACCTTATTGTTGGGTTGGGTCTTTATTCTGAAGGTGCCCACATATATATGTTTAATAAATTTGTATGCCTTTTCTCCTACTAATCAATCTGCCTCATGTCGGTGATTTTCAGTGAAACTCCAGGGTCCATAGACGATGGTCCCTAGAGGGAATCTGCAACTGCTCCTCATCTTAGATCAGTTGCCTAATCTGGTGGTTTTTACAGTTGAATTCCCCAAGATCCCTAGAGGGCAGGCTTATAGAACTGATAGTAGTTGCCTGCTGAGAATATAGGTGATGCTCTTGTGTAGATGACTACCCAAGAAGGCTCCGCAGCTGATACGAGGGAGCAGGCAAGGACTCGGGCTCTTGGAAATCAAAACAGTCCAGTGCCAAATGAGATAGTGAAACATGGGGAGTTGGGGAAAGGGCACAAAGATGTTGATGATGTAGGTTTGCCCTTCTTGATGCTTTTACACATAGTTCTGCATCTCCAGCTTTTAACAGTTAAATTTGCTGATAAGGATCCAAATCTAGTCCTCTCTGAGGCTCCCTCTTCTCAGTAAAAGGTACCACCATGCACCCACTATTGTTTATGCCAGAAAACCAGAGTAATTTTTAACATGTCTCTCTTTATTACTTCCTCGACCAACAAATACACACACATACACAAAGAAATATATATGTGCATATATTCATATATATGTGTGTGTGTATATACACACACAAACACACACACACACACATGAAGTCTTGGGTGTCTTCACTCCCCCTTAACTGGTTTGTCAACCCCTTCTCCCACTCTTTTTCCTCTTGATGTTAATTATTACTTTGTTGTGGAATGATTAATCTTAATCATTTATATATTGATTAAGTATACTATTACGTATGCCTTGCAATATTGACTGACTTGTGGAGTGGCTTGAGCCCGTGTGCCCCCAGCTCTGACTACCAAGTGAATGAGTGGTACTGAGAATTGCCTCCTTGGGAACTCCATGTAGCTCATGGCATTTGTGAATGAAATAGCATTGATAAAATTCTGACATCGTAGAAAGACACACACATGCATGGATCTGGTTACTTATAACCTTACATTGCTCATTAGGCATCTATAAATAAAAACAATTTTATTATTTCCTTCTAATCTGGATGCCTTTTATTTCTATTTCTTGCCTAATTGCATTGGCTTATAAGCTCTACTACAATGTTAAATAAAAGTGATGAGTGGATATCTTTGCCCTTTAAATAACACATGCATCAATGAGAAAGTTAAAAGGGAATGACAAATTATTTTGAAATGAATTCAAATGAAAATTCAACATAAACATTTGTGAGATGCTGTTCTCAGGAAAGCATTCAGCCTTTTACCATTAAGTACAATCTTAGCTGTAGGGTTTTGCAGATGCCATTTATCAGGTAGAGAAAATTTTATTCTATTCTTAGTTGACTGAGAATTTTTATCAGGAATGTATGTTGGATTTTGTCCAATATCTTTTCTGCATTTATTGGCATGATCACATATTTTTTTCTCTTTAGTTTGTTAATATGGTGAATTACAATTGACTGCCCTTTGAAAGTTAAACCAAACTTGCAATCTTAGAATAATCACCCAGGATATGTAATGATTATTATATATTATTTTTGTTAAATATTGAATTCAATGTACTAAAATTTTGTTTAAAATGTTTGTGTCTGTGTTTATGAACAAAATTGACCTGCAGTTTTCTACTTTTGTAATGTCTTTGGTTCTGGTGTCAGAGCAATGCTTGCTTCATAGAATGAGTTAGAAAGTATTTCTGGCCGGGTGCGGTGGCTCACGCCTGTAATCCCAGCACTTTGGGAGGCCAAGGTGGGCGGATCATGAAGTCAGGAGATCGAGACCAACCTGGCTAACAGTGAAACCCCATCTCTACCAAAAATACGAAAAAATTAGCCGGGCATGGTGGCGGGCGCCTGTAGTCCCAGCTACTTGGGAGGCTGAGGCAGGAGGATGGTGTGAACCTGGGAGGCAGAGCTTGCAGTGAGCCGAGATTGTGCCACTGCGCTCCAGCCTGGGCAAGAAAGCGAGACTCTGTCTCAAAAAAAAAAAAAAAAAAAAAAGAAGAAAGTATTTCTTCATATTTAATTTTCTAGAAAAGTTTTTATAGAATTAATAATATTTCTTTTTGAAATGTTTGGTAAAATTTACCTGTGAAAGCATCTGTGCTTGAAATTATTTTTGTGGGATTGTTTTTAACCAGAAATTCAATGTCCTTGAAAGGCATAATGTTAATTCAGGTTAATTATTTCTTCCTTGATGTTATTTGGTTGTATCTTTCAAGCAATTTCTTCATTTTGTCTAAGTTGGCATTAAGTTGTTCATAATATTTCATTAGTATTCTTTAATCTTTGTAGACTCTCTGGTGATGGCATCTCTCAGTTTAGGTATTGATTAATTATTTTTCAATTGTTTTCCTAGCTAGAGGTAAATCAATTGTATTGACCTTCTCAAAAGAAAAAAAAAAAGCTGGGCATGGTGTCACATACCTGTGGTCCCAGCTACACAGGCAGCTTTGGTGGGAGGATTGCTTGAGCACAGGAAGGCAGGATGCAGTGAGTTATGGTCATGCCCCTGCACACCAGCCTGGGTGACAGAATGAGACTGTCTCAAAACAAACAAAAAACCAGCTTTGGTTTTATTGATTTACTCTATAGTTGCTCTGTTTTCTTTCGCATTGTTTCTGCTCTGTTTTTTATTATGTCCTTTTTCCTTTGCATTTAATTGGCTCTTCTTTTTCTTATTCCTCCAAACAGAAGCTGAAGTCATTGATTTGAGACCTTTCTACTTTTCTAGCATAAGCATTTACTGCCATAAATTTTCTACTAAATTCTGTTATAGTGGCGTCTCATAAATTTTTATATTTTGAATTTTTGTTTTTATTCATTTCAAAACTGTGTAATTTACCATCTAACTTCCTCTTTGCTACATGTGTTATTTTAAAGTAAGCTATTTAGTTTTCAAATATTTTGGGATTTTCCAGGGACCTATTAGTTATTGATTTCTAATTTATTTCCATTGCAGTGAGAGTATGTGCTTTGTATAATTTGAGTTCCTTTGAGTTTATTGAGATTTACTTCATTACCCAGAATATGATCTATCATGGGAATGTTCCACATGCCATTGAAAAGAATGTGTACTCTGCTGTTGTTAGATGGAGTATTCCATAAATGTCAATTAGGTCAAGTTTGTTGATAGTATTGTTCAAATCTTCTATGATCTTCCTAGTTTTTCTCCAATTGTTCTATTGATTACTAAAAGAAGGGTGTTAAATTTTTTATTTCAATTATTGCTTTTCCCAACTGTACTTGCCGTGCTGTTGGTTTTTGCTTCATGTATTTTGAAACTCTATTATTGGGTTTATAAAAGGTTGAGATTCTTAGATTCTTTTTATAAATTGATACATTAGAAAGTGGCCATCTTTACCACTGGTAATATTATTTATTTGCTCTAAAATGTAGTTTCTTTGACATTAATATAACCATGCCAGCTTTCTTTGGATTAGTGTTTGCGTGGTGTATCTTTTCCACCCTTTTATTTTAACCTATTACATCTTTTTTTTTTTTTTTTTCTTAGATGGAATCTTGCTCTGTCACTCAGGCTGGAAAGCAGTGGCGTGATCTTGGCTCACTGCAACCTCTGCCTCCCAGGTTCAAGCAATTCTCCTGCCTCAGCCTCCTGAGTAGCTGAGATTACAGGCGTATGCCACCATGCCTGGCTAATTTTTGTATTTTAGTAGAGATGGTGTTTCACCATGTTGGCCAGGCTGGTCTCGAACTCCTAACCTCAAGTGATCCAACTGCCTCGGCCTCCCAAAGTGCTGGGATTACAGACATGAGCCACCATTCCTGGCCAACCTGTTGTATCTTTTATTTGAAGTATATTTCTTGCAGGCAGATGTATTAAGCTGTTCTTGCATTGCTATAAAGAAATACCTGAGACTGGGTAATTTATAAATAAAAGAAGTTTAATTGGTTCATGGTTCTGCAGGCTGAGCAGGAAGTATGGCACCAGCACCTGCTTCTGGGGAGGCCTCTGGAAGCTTACAATCATGGTGGAAGTCCAAAGGGGAGCTTGCATGTAACATGGTGAGAGCAGGAACAAGAAAGAGAGATGGGGGAGCCACAGACTTTCAAACAGCCATATCTTGGAAGAACTCACTCACTCTCATAAGGATATCACCAAGGGGACGGTGCTAAACCATTCATGAGAAATTCATCCCCATGATCCAATCACCTTCTACTAGAGGCCCCACCTCTAACACTGGGGATTACAACTCAACATGAGATTTGGATGGGGACAGGTATACAAACTATATCAGCAGAATATAATTGGGTCTTGCTTTTTAAATGTAATCTGACACCCTTCTGACTTTTAACGTTGTTATTTATAGCATTAACATTTAATATTATTTAGATCGTTATGCTTAAAATTATCATATTGCTATTTTCCGATTTAATCCTTCTCTTCATTTCATTTTACCTCTTCCTTCTTTTTATTAATAACAAATTGAATTTTAATATTCATTTTTATCTCCTTTGTTGGCTGTTCTACAACTTTGTTATTTTATTGGTTGTTTTGGCATGATCAAATTCTGCCTTTAAATGACATTATACTGTGAGTGGCAGAGTTTGATTTGCACACATTATTCTCTGTTTCTAAATCTTATTTTTATTCCCTACTTTTTGGGGCCTCTCAATGATAAGTTATATAGTTGATTTCTGTACAAAGTTCTATAAGAGAGAGTAAAGAAGGAAAGGGTACTCATGTTGCAGAGGTGGGTCTAGGCCTCAGCCTTGGAGAATTTACTCTGGTCTAGGAGAAAATAAATGATACATTTTGGAGCTCAGCTCTTCATATTTCAGTTGCCATTTTTCAAAAACTAACTTTTTTGATGAATGATTTATTTCCCTTTAAGTAATATAATACAAATAGTACTTGCTAGGCAATATTGGATAACACAAAAGCTAACAGGAAAACAGGAGCAAATTCTGGCGACTATTGTCCTTCTAGACTTTCTGCCTGCAAAGACAGAAATACATTTATATGCAAATATAATACCTAATGTTTAGTAAGCACTTCGTATATGTTAGACATTTTGTATAGCAATTAATATGGATGATTTCATCCTCACAAATTTATAAAGTAGGTGCTATTACTATCTACACTTTATAGATAAGAAAACTGATACACACAGAGACTAATAAATGTTCAGGAGATCTCCTATTACATATAACTTTGATATTCGAATCCAGACAACTGAGCCAAAGCTGTCACTCTTAATGACTGAACTAAATTTCCTAACATAGGTACATATTCTTATAAAAATGAAATAATTTTCTCTACATGTATGTATAATTTTTTCCATGTCATATTTACACTTTTACACTCATAATTCTTGGCTTTAGATTCTGATAAGTAGTAAAATTGGCACTTTAAAGTTTCTTTATTTTCTCCTTCTCTCCTGTCCCCATTATCCTTTCCTGTCCAGCCACTCCAGTCTCTTGGACAGATATTAGTGGACTAACTCTCCATAACCAGGCTATATACAACGTTTAAGAATTCAGAGCAGTTTTTTCTATCCCACAATAAGAATAACCATTTCTAAGGAGTTCTGAGAAGACTGGAGATCTGTTCTTCCATGTTCTTATGAAACATCCCTAGGGGGAGAGTATAGAGGCTTCTGTCATCAAGTAAAAGTTGTACTGACTTATGCAAATTTACCATTAATTTATTTTCCAGAACCAGTAGCTTGGTATATAGGGTAGTTTCACGGTATTGTGAGTAATGGCCAACACTGACATCTGCTGTTAAGCAGTAAAATTTCAGCTCAGCTCTGTTAGCCATTGCAAGTGAAGGAATTCCTGACAGAATTCTATACTTCTAATGTTAAGGCAGCCCCTGAGCTTCTAAGAGCAACAAAAGCTAGATAAATTGTCTCCAGCAAGAGCTTTTGCTTGTCTTACATAGCTCCTGACTTAAAATGTGTATGATGGATTCCATTCATAGTTGTGCTCTTGGAAGTCTGAATTCCCTCATTTTTTCTCTGAGTTCATCTGTATTTGCAAAATGCTTTTATCCTCTACCCACCTTCTCACTTTCCAGTCTGCATCTGATAGCTCAAAGCTTGGATTAGGGATTTCCATACTGAAGTTCAGGCTCAATAATTAAACAAATGGCAGGCAATACATTTATTTGCAAAGGGGAAAATATAGAAACCAGCATTTCTGAGAGCTGAGTATACACAAGTCTTATGCTCAGTGTTTTCACGCAGTTTTCCTCTCAATACTCATGACCATCCTTAATAAGTAACAATTATTATTCAATTATTTGACAGAAAAAAATTTTTCACCTCTAATTTCAAGTCTTAAATTCATGGAGCTTACATAATTTTCCTACAGGCAGAGAGGTAGTACATCAAGGAGATTAGATTTGAAAGCAAGTCTTCATTGCAAAGCTTAGTATGCCACTCTGTACAAAGTTATATTTTATAATATGTATCTACCTAGATAACCTTATTTAATAATCATACAATCTTATCAGATAAGCACTTCTAGCTTCATTTTACAAATGAGGAAAACAAGGCTTGCGTAGAGTCAGACAGCTTAAGAGATCCCAAATCAGAGTGTGACCTAAAATATTCTGATCTTATCATGAGCTGCCTTTGCTCAGTGCTTAAGCATGTGGGATCTGGTGTCAGACTGTTTGGGTTCCCCTGTGTGCTTTGCCAGTTTCTAAATGGGTGAACTTAGTCAAGTGGCTTAATCATAGCATGACTCATTTTTTCCCCATCAATAAAGTAGGGATAAGTATAGTACTTTCCTTGTAAGACTGTTGTGAGGATCAAGTGAGATTATATATATAAAGCACATATGGCAGGTAATACGTAAGATGTTGTTATTATGATCAAGAATATATATATATATATCCTGTCTTTGTTATGAGGTTTCTAGGGAAGACAATAAAGACACTTGTTAGAAAATTGCAGCATAAAGCCATCTATTTTCTGGAGTAGATCCCCTTCATTTTTCCCCCTCTCTAATAGGCCTAGGTCGGGAGTTGCAGAAGCTGATGTTAGGGTCTGGTTGCCAGAACTGTCTCTTCCCTACCACCATGACAGAATCAGCTGTGTGAACATCCAAAGCTTTCCTATTGTCTCTGGCAGCTGGAAGCAGGCTCCAAGGGTATGGGCATCATCATACTGGTTTGTCTTTAAGCATTTCTATTTCAGGTTACTGGGCCTGCTTCTGAGGGCGAAGGAGTGAGATTGAAAAGAATGCAAGTTCTACTAGGCTGGCTGGGTTCTGATGCTTTCCAGAGTTTCTCTACCAAGTAGGAAGAGTGTCAGAGCCAGAGTTGGGCAATTGGGTCCAGATGCACTTGTAGAGCTGGGAAAACACCTCAGCAATCATTTTTCTGACCCTTTGCTTCCTCATTGTTACAATAAGGATAACAAGGCTGAGCAGGGTGAGTGAAATAAATGATATATGTGAAATGCTAAAACTGAGTGCCCCTTGTGGGACTGTAATGCAAGGACAGGACTTCTGGATTGAGGATTGAAACACCTCAATTTTCACATAACCACAAATGTTCTGTGTGTTTTTGTGTGAGTTATTTGTCTTCACTGGCTGACAGTTTCTTCATCTCTATAATCAGTAGTTTGGATTTTATGAATTCTTAATGTTTCTTCCAGCTTAATCTGTGTAAATAATTCATCCATTTGTCCATCACAGTTGTATTAAGTACCTACCTACCTACCACCCAGGAACTGATGATACCATAATGAATAAGATTGACTTCTAGAAATTCAAGTGCTAGAGTGGATATACTCCATGAATTATGTGAGCAAATGAAGGGAAGTAAATTGTTTCTAGGGAAGTTGCAATGGCCCCAAGAACGGGGGATATTTGAAATAAGCCCGGAAGAACTAGCATAGGTTTGCCAAATGGGGAAGAAATAGTTACAAATGAGATGATTATTATTTCACTCCACATTCTGCACAGCTTAGTCCGTGTCACGTTGGATCCAATCAGAATAGAAAAATCCCTATTCTCTGAGGGACATGTCTAAATCTCATTTCCAAATAAGATCAAATTTCGCCTCTTAAGTTTCACTCTAAAGTGGTGGCCGTCATCACGTGGATTTACTGTCCTGATCCTGGGTCATTTCTCTAATATAAAGCAAAACTCGAGCCAACATCTTATGGAAAGGTGTACAGATCTGAGCACACAGAACAAACAAGGAATACACATGCTCTCAATTCTCAGCCATTGTTCTGGTATTCAAGGAAAGTTTTGGGCTCCTCTGGGAAATCAAAGAGCTAAGCTGGGGGAAAAACCACATTGGTAGGACTGTGGAGGATTGTGGCTCCAAGACAGCAGGGCTCTTGAAGCTCCCACCAGGCTGGAGATGAGCTAATATGCTGAAAGTCATCTCTGCCTGCTGAGAGTGGTGCTAGTGAAATTGAGGAGGGAGGGGAAGTGGGGGTTGCTACTGAAGACTGCAGCCGTCCCTAGGGTACACAATAATTGTTCAAAAAATTGTTCACAAAATTTCTTATTTGCCTAGCCCCCTGTATTTCTCCCTATCTTTATCGCTGCAACTTTTCCTTAGGGACTTATGCTCCGTTTTTCATTCCGTTCCTGTAGTTCATGTGCGGCTGATACATGTGTGGTCTGGGATTTTTCACGTGACCCCAGTCTGGCCAGTCAGAAGTCATATCCCCCTTGCCACGGTAATCAGTTCTGGATTGTGCTTGCATCCCAATGAAAGAAAATCCAGAGTTCTTTTTGGAGTGACTGGGAGAGGGGCACTCTCTTCTAGTAACAAGGACGGGAAGACAGAATGCAAACCTGAAGGTGCTAGCAGCCATCATGGTGCCAGGAAGGAAGAATCTTCCTGTGAGTTCAACGTTAAAAATACAAAACTGACACCAAGACAACAAAACTTAGAAAAATAAATAACACTGATGATACTGTTCCAGCACCCAGATGCCGCTCTGCCTGAAGCTGTACCTAATCTTGGACTTCCTTATTATGTCAGCCAATAAAGCTCCCTTTTTGTTTAAACCAGCTCAAAGTTAGTTTTATGTCACTTGAAAATTATTTTCTAGGCTGGTCATTGTGGCTCACACCTGTAATCCTAGCACTTTGGAAGGCTGAGCCGGGTGGATCACTTGAGCCCAGGAGTTCAATAACAGCCTGGCCAACATGGTGAAACCCCATCACTACAAAAAATACAAACAAATTAGCCAGGTGTGGTGGCATGCACCGGTGGTCCCAGCTACTCGGGAGGCTGAGGTGGGAAGATCACCTGAGCCCAGGGAGGTCAAGGCTGCTGTAAGCTGTGATTGCACCACTGCACTCCAGCCTGGACAACAGAGCAAGACCCTGCCTCAGGAAAAAAAAAAAAAAAAAAGACGAGAAAATTATTTTTTGGCATTATTTTCTGGGACCATCTTTCTGGCAATCTGAAGACATCTTCCCAGTCTAATGCTCCAGGTTCTCAAATCTCAAGGCATTGTCTCGGTCTAATAGTCCAGCTTCTCAACCCTGATAGACACTTTTCCTCTTTAGGGCTCCCAAATCGTATTCCAACCTGTAGCTCCAGAGCTCTCTTGTCTGTAGCATTCTCCTCCCACGACTTTTTGCTGCCTCTTTTTAAAAATAACTCCCATCTGCTCATCGGCCTCCTGCTCATTCTTCTGTTTCCATGTCGTGAGCTTCTCTGGTTTCTATCTCTGGCTCTGGGAAAGCTTTAGAGATACATTTCTCAGAACCACTTCTGCTGTGCTTGAAATTACACGTATCTCTCTCTTTGGCTCAACAGATGACCCATGAAAAATTCCTTGCTGCGTTTCTGGATTCACTCACTTGAAACTTTTTACAATGCCATAGATTCCTGGAGATAACTTCTTGACACCATAAAGATGGAGTAGAGGTGAGCAGAGGTGGCATATAATCAGAGAAAACCTAACCTATGCAAATACTCAGGAGAGATGTCCCATTGTATGGGTTTAAGCTAGGAGGCAACTTGAGCCAAGTCAGTTCAGGTAATAGGGTTTGGTTAATTTCTAACTATAAATAAAGCCAATAATAATAATAATTTCTAACTATAATAAAGCCAAAATGTGCCATGAGTGGTGCTAAGCACTTCTACAGGTTTGCAATCATTTCTCACAACAGCTTAGGAAGTATGACAGTTACCTTTGTCTTGAAGATGAGAAAATTGAGGCACAGAGAAGTTGAGAAAGCTGCTCAAGATCACATAGCAAATGGAGGTTATAATAGTCATCTATGCAGTTCACAACCAAATATGCCTAGGTTTCCACTTTCTAGACACAATAAATATTGCACTTCTCTCTCTCTTTTTTTTTTTTTTGAAAACCAATGCACTGTATGACGTGCTTCGGCCAAAGAAATGTTAGTAGAGGTGGCATATGTCACCGCGCAGTGAAAGCTCTAAAGGCTAGTGCTCAATTCATTATGCTTAGACATCTCCCTCTGCAGATACTCCATCTGATGGTGATGTCATCAGCCTGGTGAGGGTGACAGCATGGGGCTCCCCATTGATGCTCTGTGGGTGTATTAAAAACATCAAAAATACAATTGTATTGTTTTAAGGCTCTAAAATTTGTAGTGTTTTAAATTATTGACCCATAATATAAACAATTTAATTGACACATTAGTAGAGTCATGGTTAAAAAAATCAGATAATCTGGTTTCAAAACCTACAATTTTAGCAATTCTATTTTTCTCTGTAAAAAGACATGGAAAAGTAAGAAACCCAGAAATGACTGGGCAGCAACTAGAAGCAACTGGGACACAGCACTACTGTAAGCTCCAGGACATCTAGTCAACCTCGCAGTAGTAAAAAGATCCAGGACATACAGTCAGCCTCCCAGCAGTAAAACCTTGGTTGCTGTGAACACAGTTCTGAATACCGGCCTCCATTGCTCTCTACATCAGTTGCCTGCAATTTTGGTAAAGGAGTGACTTTGTTTCCACCTTGTCCTGAGCCTCTGCTTCCATCTTTATATTGTGGTCCTGCTTAGTCATGGCACCTGCCGTCCTTTGGCACTTGTCTCCCAAAAGCATCTCCTTCCTCACTCTACTCATGGATTTTCCTTTCCATCCTCTATTTACCTCATTGCTTTGCTTCTTTTCAGGTTGTGGCTTCTATAAGCCACCCACTCACTCTAACTTACATTTTAATGTCCCTAAGAATGAATGTATTTGTGGTTCAGAAAATTCTGGGCCACTTTGTAGACTGCTGGTATGGAAAATAGATGGCATTTTCATCTCTGTGGAACAGATTAAGAGGTCAGGTGGTTATCTCTGTTACAGTCAGCTACCATGAGGATTGGGTCACCTGCCAAGAGGCCAAGAGGTCCATATAAGAAGTTCCTCAAAAAAATGTCTGTAGGCCAGGCATGATGGTTCACACCTGTAATCCCAGCACTTTGGGAGGCCAAAACGGGCAGATCGCCTGAGGTTAGGAATTAGAGACCAGCCTGGCCAACATGGTGAAATCCTGACTCTACTAAAAGTGCAAAAATTAGCCACTCTGGTGGTGCACTTCTGTAGTCCCAGCTACACGGGAGGCTGAGGCAGGAGAATTGCTTGAACCCAGGAGGTGGAGATTGCAGTGAGCTGAGATGGCACCTCTGCACTCCAGCCTGGATGACAGAGCCAGACTCCATCAAAAAAAAAAAAAAAAAAAAGAAAAAAAAAAGAAAAGAAAAGAAAAAAGAGCTAGATGATAGAAACTATGAGACTTGCCATAACGGAGTCATGCTCTCACACCACAATAATCATCAACACAGAAGACTTCTGTGACTTCTGTGGGTTTTCTCCCCCTACACACCAAGTAGCAGATACCAGCTGGGTGTCATCTAATTCGGTGCCAACGCTCTCTACCCAGAGATTGTGTTAAATCCCACAAGTTGAGTGCTCAGTGCCCACGACTGCCCTCCCTTAACACCAGTGGCAAGTTCAGGCCTCCGGAACTTCTTACATGCCGGCTTTAAGTTGGGGCTCCTATGCCCCCCTCTTTGGGTTGAATTAATTTTCTGGAGCAGCTCCCAGAACTCAGGTAAACACTTATATTTACTGGCTTATTATAAAAGATATTGCAAAAGACACAGATGATGATGTACGTAGGATGGGGTATAGGGGAAGGGACGCAGAACTTCCATGCCCCTGCTGAGCACGTCACCCTCCAGGAACTTCCACATGTTGGGCTATCCAGGAGCTCTTCGAACCCAGTTATGTTGGTTTTTTTAAGGAGGCTTCATGATCTGAGCATTCCTTCTCCCTGAGTATAGGGTGGGACCCTCTCTGGGGAGGGTCGTAAGACCCACAATGGGAAAGGGATGGGGGAAGCACGGAGTCCTGTCTTGGGGCAGGTGAAAAGAAGTCAGGAGAAAGTCAGAGTCCTGTCTCTGAGGCTTCACACACCCAACATTATAACACGTGACTGTTAACGAGGGCTATGGGGGTTATGATCCAGGAACCATGGAGGAAACTAATATACATCGTAACACCACAGGGGGCATAACCAGAAGGCATTTTGTTAGGCTTGTCCAGAGCATTTACCCTGCATTCACAAATCGCCTTCTTTTTCTTCCTTAGCACCTTTTCACACATTGTAGATTCTTCCCTCACAAACGAAGTCTGGCTGACTCCTCATCTATGCCTATGCAGTCCCCTCCCCATAGTCAATGGACTTCTACACTGTAGGTTCAGCCCCACCCAGGGATCTGATTGCTCTGAATACAAGCCTCAGTCTATAGAGTAGAGCTTCTGGCTTCCAAACAGGTTCTTGAAACAAATCTGGTCTACATGTTTTCTAAAATTAAAATCTCGTTGCACAAATTCTACATGAATATCTTATCCTTGTAATAAATTAAAAGATCAGAGATAATTCTAAAGTTCCTTTTGACCAAGAAACTTTAGAATTATCTCTACTCTTTTAATTTAATCTCGGGCTATCCCCTTCCCCTGGTGATAATTACATTACCATTTCTTCAATCTCTTTCTCTTTCTCTCCCTTACCCCTCATGATTATAGTGTAGAATTACTATGTGTGTGTTTTACATAAATGGTATCATACTGCATATATCATTTTTGTAATTTGCTTATTTTTATACAAGTCATTGATATATTTTCATGTAATTATATATTATAGATCTACTTCATTTCCTTGAACCTTAGCTTATTTTCCATAGTGTAACATCACAGTTTATTTAGCCAATTTCTCATTAATGAACATATACATTATTTATTTTATTTTTTTGAGATAATATCTCTCCCTGTCACCCATGCTGGAGTGCGGTGGTGTGATCATAGCTCACTTTAGCCTTGAGTTCCTGGGCTCAAGCAATCCTCCCACCTGTCTCCCAAGTAGCTAGGATGACAGGCGTCCACCACCATTCCTGGCTATTTTTTTTATTTTTAGTAGAAATTGGGTCTTGGCTATGTTGCCCAGGCTGGTCTCAAACTACTGCCCTCAAATGATCCTCCCACTTTGGTCTCCAAAAATGCTGGGATTACAAGCATGAGCCACCATACCCAGCAATTGTTCCATTTTTTTTAAAGTTATGAACAATGCTGCAATGAATATCCCTTCTTATGCTTTCTTGTGTGTTTCTCAAGATCTAACAATAAAAATGGAATTCGTTGGTAATCTAGGAACATACACCTTTAATTCCAGGAGATATTCCCAAACCGAAGCTCCCTTTGGTAACCTAGTTCAAATATATTATTCTTTGCCTTCTTATCTGGATCTGAAAGTATGTCCAGAAGACATATGTAGCATGCTAGTTCAAGTAGCAGCAAACCAACATTCACTCCAGGCACTGTGCTAAGATATTTCATACATCTTAATGATCCTACAGAATCTTCTAAGTTAGACATTATAACCACATTACAGATGAGGGATTTTAGGTTCAGTGAAATTAAGACAGTTCCCAAAACTCACATAACCATTAGGCAGTGGGTTCAGGGTTTGAATCTAGGTCTCTCAGATTACAAAGTCCATGTCCTTAATAATACTACATGGATTTGCCTCTGTTGAATTTCTAGGACTTTGGCTTTGTCTGGCTCTCCCAAGAAAGAAGCAGATCCAGTGCCCAATCCCCAGCCTTGAAACAAGGCTTACCTTAGAATGATGGTTGACCCTCATGCTGCCAAGTGGCGGAGAGGTGTATTGTGAGAGGTGCAGAGAGAGGCATCAGGTTATCTCAGCAGGTGGTGCACATAATCTGCAACCCACCTTATCTATGCAGTGGTCTGAACAATAGTGAGAGCTCCCCTCTAACAGAATAGACAGAATGTGTTTTTGCTCATGTGAATGTCATCCATTGTTGGTGTCCAGGGAAAATATAAAAAGTTGAACATTAATCTACTAGATTGATTCTCCAGGACACCTGTCTGAGAAGCTTGCCTCTAATTTGACAGATTGCTCCACTTTCTGAGCAGCCATTGACCCCCTCCAAGTCTGTTCAGTCCCAGTGTAGAAGAAGCCACGTATATTTGCACTTACATAGGCCTGCCCGCCATACTTGAAGCCCCAGCCCCATGTCCTGCACTTGCTCAAGCTGCTCCCTGTGCTTGCAGTCCCCATCACTGCTTATCTCCACAAATGTCCACAAACGGACCAACTCAGATGTCAAATTACCCACCCAACATGCCCTGATTCCTCCCGCTGGGAATTACCTCTTCATCCTCTAAACTCTCACAGTATCCCCATCTTCCCCTGATCGATCATTCCCTATAAGGTATCTCAGTTATCTTTGCTTGAAACAAGTTAGCATATGAGCTAAAATTGGAGAGACAGGGAGGTTGGAGTGATGAGCTGCAAAACCTTGGGCAAGGTACTTAATCTCTCTGTGCTATAATTTTCTCACTGAATCCACTGTTTATCCTCAGTCAACATGAGTTCACCACATATTCATTGAGTGCCTGAACTGCACCAAGCCCACTGTTTATCCCCGGAGAAAGAAAGGTGAACAAAATGATAAGTTACTCTGTTCTCATGAAGCTTACATTTTAATCAGGGGAAATAGGCATCAATCAAAATACATCAGAACAAATTTGTAGAGTTATTCCTGTGATGGGTACTTGAAAGAGAGATATATAGGATATGCTATGGGAATTTGGTCTAAACAGGGTGTTCTGCTAGGGAAATTGAATTGAAATATGAAATATAAGCAAGAGTTAAGTAGAGAAAAAGAAGAACGAAGCCCAGTGATGGCACAGTGGAATGCATGTGCAAAGGTCCTGGGGTGGCAGTCATTATATTTATTAGAAAAAGCTCAAGGAAGGCCATTGTGGCTGCAGTGCAGAATTGAGAGAGGGTGTGCTCTGAGATGAGGCAGAAGAGATAGTCAAATACATTCAGAGTTTCCTCCAGGAAGCTCTCCTGGATTGATACAATGAAAATAAGAGAAGTCCTTGAGTCTCTGCCTTGGGACAGGTGTTAGGGTCTAACCCATTTGTTTATACGGATTAGAAGAAACAATATGTCCGTGAGTTCCCATGTGGTTAAGATCATGTTATTCTTATGTTTATCTCAGGATATCACGCTTATTAGATATTAGAACATATGTGCTGTTGGTTCATACCTTTCCCTCAGTCACCTAGAGTTTCATTTTGCTATTAGTTTGTGCATTTACTTTGATTTGTTCACAATGAAGGCTCACGAATTTGAATTCTACTCATTCAAGAATTTGTGATACTAAAAGAAAAATTGAGTTGACATTAGGAAGCACATAAGAAAGTTTTCAAGCCACGTTAGAAGTATTCAATTAGATACAAACAATTACGAGGCTAATTATAAATCATTCCTACCTATTCATTAAAGCAGGTCCAAGATGGTAGTTAAAAGTAATAAAGCTGCATCTCTTTGCAAACAGTCCATAACTCAGGATGTTGCTAATTCAAATTAGCCACCCCCTCAATCAAGGAGATTACTGAAGTGTGTTGGCTTGCTTGTTTTAAAATTAAATGGAACATCTTTCTTTTCTTATTATATAAGTGCACCTACAATGTAATAAATTTAGAAAATTCAGAACAGGACTGTGAGCATAGTGATGTGTTTTTTCATTCTCTTTAAATACAGCTTGATAAATTAATAGATGGGTGGAGACATAGATGGATGAATAGGTAGATTGTTGAATTGGTCATAATATATTTCTAAATAGATATGCAGATTGATTTTCTAAAAATTGAGATCATAGCATGTCAGAGATTGTCAATTTTAACCAACTACCCATGTTTTCCTATATCTCTCTGCCTTCTTTAAAGTTAATTGGGCTATAAGACCGGGTCTGGTCAAAGAGATGGGATAGAAGTAACACACACCATTTCCAGTCTTGGCAACACAACTCCCTCCACGATGTACCGCACCCTACTTCTGCCCTTCTGTCTTATGTTAAAAGCCTCTTTGAGATCATCATGGCGGATGGGAGGCAGGACTAGATTGCACCTCTGGACACAGCGGTGTGTGGGGGCTTGCACTGTAAATTTTAGCTCCAGATCGACTGCAAGAAAAAAACAGTAATTCCGAGAGGGCCCATAGACCCTCTAAAGGAAGCAGATTGTTCCTGCAGGACCTGGGAGAACCCTCAAAACCATGAGTGCCCCAATTACGGAAGTGGGAAAGGGAGGCCTTCCTCTCCCGAACACACACTCCCACTGGAGAAGCTGAAGGTCTGTTAGCCAGAGAAGTTTTTGACTTTACCTGGAGCTGAGTGACTTTGGAGAGCTGAGCGAAATACAGGGTTAGAGTAAGCAACAGAAAGGCTCTGGGAGCTCGCTGGGTCCCCAAGCAGTCCATTCCTGCCTGGCGCCACAGGGATTCAATGGGAGAGGAGCAGGGAGTGAAACTACCCAGGGAGAAGAAAATCTCTAGCTGAGATTTTCAACTTTGTAACAGTTTGAACCAGGCGAGAAGCCTCCTGGCCAGAACGCAAGGGAGGGTGCAAATCCAGTGTGCAGACTCCACTGGCAGCAAAAGAACCAAGCCCTTTTATTTCACAGCTGGGAGGTGGGTAGCCTGGGGCAGGTTTTCAAACCTATATTGCTCTCCGCCTGGAAACAGACTGAGGGCTATTGGGGTGGTAAGGTGGGAGTGAGACTGGCCCTTCCGGTTTGCATGGGAGCTGGGTGAGGCCTGTGACTGCTGGCTTTCCCTCACTTCCCTGACAACCTGAATGACTCAGCAGAGGCATCCATAATCCTCCTAAGTACCCAACTCCAGTGACCTGGGAATCTCACCCGCAACCCCTACAGCAGCCCACAGCAAGACCCGCCCAAGGAGTGTCTGAGCTCAGATATGCCTAGCCCTGCCCCTGCCAGAGGGTCCTTCCTTACTCACCCTGGTAGTCTAAGACAAAGGGCATATAATCTTGGGAGTTCTAGGGCTCCACCCACCACCTGTCCCTCTCTATACTACTGCAGGTGATGCTCTCTGGAAAGCGCCACCTCCTGGCAGGAGGCCAACTAGCACAAAAATAGAACATTAAACCGCCAAAGCTCTCTCTCACGGAGTCCATTGCACTCCCCCCCACCTCCCCCACACCCCTGCCACCTCCACCTCCACTGGAACAGGCACTGGTATCCATGGCTGAGAGTCCCATAGATGGTTCATATCACAGGACTCTGTGCAGACAACCCCCAGTATCAGCCCAGAACTGGGTAGACTTGCCAAGTGGCTAGACCGAGAAGAGACAACAATCACTGCAGTTAGGCTCACAGGAAGCCACATCCATAGTAAAAGTGAGAGAGTACCTCATCAAAGGAACAACACGTGGGACAAAAGAATCTGAACAACAGCCTTCAGCCCTAGACCTTCCCTCTGAGAGAGCCTACCCAAATGAAAAGGAACCACAGAAACAACTCTGGTAACATGACAAAACAAGGCCCTTTAACGACCCCAAAAAAATCACACTAGCACACCAGCTAGTGATCCAAACCAAGAAGAAATCCCTGATTTACCTGAAAAAGAACTCAGAAGGTCAGTTATTAAGCTAATCAGAGAGGGACCAGAGAAAGGCAAAGCCCAATGCAAGGAAACCCAAAAAAACGGTACAGGAAGTGAAGGGAGAAATATTCAAGGAAATAGATAGCTTAAAGAAAAAACAATAAAAAATTCAGGAAACATTGGACACACTTTTTGAAATGTGAAATGCTCTGGAAATTCTCAGCAATAGAAATGAACTAGTAGATGAAAGAAATTCAAGCTTGAAGACAAGTTCTTCAAATTAGCCCAATCCAACAAAGACAAAGAAAAAAGAATAAGAAAATACAAACAAAGCCTCCAAGAAGTCTGGGATTACGTTAAATGACCAAACTTAAGAGTAATCGGTGTTCTGGCTGGGAGCCGTGGCTCATGCCTGCAATCCCAGCACTTTGGGAGGCCAAGGCAGATGAATCACCTGAGGTCAGAAATTCGAGACCAGCCTGACCAACGTGGAGAAACCCCAGCTCTACTAAAAATACAAAATTAGCCAGGAGTGCTGACACATGCCTGTAATCCCAGCTACTCGAGAGGCTGAGGCAGGAGAATCACTTCAACCTGGGAGGCGGAGGTTGCAGTGAGATGAGATTGCACCACTGCACTCCAGCCTGGGTGACAAGAGTGAAACTCCGTCTCAAAAAGGAAAAAAAAAATCGGTGTTCCTGAAGAAGAGAATTCCAAAAGCTTGGAAAACATACGTGGCGGAATAATCAAGGAAAACTTCCCCAGTCTTGCTAGAGACCTAGACATCCAAATAAAAGAAGCACAAAGAACACCTGGGAAATTCATTGCAAAAAGAGCTTTGCCTGGGCACATTGTCATCAGGTTACCCAAAGTTAAGAGGAAGGAAAGAATCTTAAGAGCTGGGAGACAGAAGCACCAGGTAACCTATAAAGGAAAACCTATCAGATTAACAGCAGATTTCTCAACAGAAACCCTGCACGTTAGAAGGGATTGGGGCTCTATCTTCAGCCTCCTCAAACAAAACAATTATCAGCCAAGAATTTTGTATCCAGTGAAACTAAGCATCTTATATGAAGAAAAGATACAGTCATTTTCAGACAAACAAATGCTGAGAGAATTCTCCATTACCAAGCCATCACTACAAGAACTGCTAAATGGAGCTCTAAATCTTGAAACAAATCCTGGAAACACATCAAAACAGAACCTCTTTAAAGCATAAATCACACAGGACCTATAAAACAAAACTACAAGTTAAAAAGCAAAAACAAAGAACAAAAAAACCAAAGTACACAGGCAACAAACAGCATGATGAATGTGGCGGTACCTCACATTTCAATACTAACATTGAGTGTAAATGGCCTAAATGCTCCACTTAAAAGATACAGAACTGCAGAATGGATAAGAACTCACAAACAAACCATCTGCTGCCTTCAGGAGACTCACCTAACACATAAGGACTCACATAAACTTAAAGCAAAGGGGTGGAAAAAAGGCATTTCATGCAAATGGACACCAAACGTGAGCAGGGGTAGCTATTTTTATATCAGACAAAACAAACTTTAAAGCAGTAGCAGTTAAAAGAGACAAAGAGGGACATTGTGTAATGGTAAAAGGCCTTGTTCAACAGGAAAATATCACAGTCCTAAACATATATGCACCTAACACTGGAGCTCCCAAATTTATAAAACAATTACTAATAGACCAAGCAATGAGATACACAGCAGCACAGTAATAGTGGGTGACTTCAATACTCCACTGACAGCACTAGACAGGTCATCAAGGCAGAAAGTCAACAAAGAAACAATAGATTTAAACTATACCCTGGAACAAATGGACTTAACAAATATATACAGAACGTTTCATCCAACAACTGCAGAATACACATTCTATTCAACAACACATGGAAATTTCTCCAAGATAGATCATATGATAGACCATAAACTGAGCCTCAATAAATTTAAGAAAATTGAAATTATATCAAGCACTCTCTCAGACCACAGTGGAATAAAACTGGAAATCAAGTCCAAAAGGAACCTTCAAAACCATGCAAATACGTAAATTAAATAACCTGCTCCTGAATGAGAATTGGGTCAAAAACAAAATCAGGATGAGAATTTAAAAATTTTTCAAACTGAACGACAATAATGACACAACCTATCAAAACTTCTGGGATACAGCAAAGGCAGTACTAAGAGGAAAGTTCATAGCCCTAAATGCCTACATCAAAAAGACTGAAAGAGCACAAACTGGCCCTCTAAGGTCACACCTCAAGGACCTAGAGAAACAAGAAAAAATCAAACCCAAACCCAGCAGAGGAAAGAAAATAACTAAGATCAGAGCAGAACTAAATGAAATTGAAACCAAAAAAATACAAAAGATAAATGAAACGAAAAGCTGGTTATTTAAAAAGACAAAATCGATAGACCATTGGCAAGGTTAACCAAGAAAAGAAGAGAAGAAATCCAAATAACCTCACTAAGAAACGAAACAGGAGATATTACAACTGACGCTACTGAAATACAAAAGATCATTCAAGGCTACTATGAACTCCTTTAAGCAAGTAAACTAGAAAACCTTGAAGAGATGGATAAACTCCTGAGAAAATACAACCCTCCTAGCTTAAATCAGGAAGAATAAAATACCCTGAACAGACCAATAACAAGCAGTAAGACTGAAATGGTAATTTAAAAATTACCAGCAAAAAGAATTCCAGGACCACACAGATTCACAGCATAATTCCACCAGACATTCAAAGAATAATTTGTACCAATCCTTTTGACACTATTCCACAAGACAGAGAAAGAAGGAACCCTCCCTAATTCATCCTATGAAGCCAGCATCACCCTAATACCAAAACCAGGAAAGGACATAACCAAAAAAGAAAACTACAGACTGATAGCCTTGATGAACATAGATGCTAAAATCCTTAACAAAATACTAGCTAACTGAATCCAACAACATACCAAAAAGATAATCCACCATGATCAAGTGGGTTTCATACCAGGGATTACAGGGATGGTTTAACATACAGAAGTCAAGAAATGTGATACACAACATAAACAGAATTAAAAACAAAAATCACATGATCATCTCAATAGATGGAGAAAAAGCATTCGACAAAACCCAGTATCCCTTTATGATAAAAACTCTCAACAAAATCAGCATACAAGGGACATAGCTTAATGTAATAAAACCCATCTATGATAAACCCACAGCCCACATAATACCGAATGGGGAAAAGTTGAAAGCATTCCCTTTGAGAACTGGAACAAGAGAAGGATGCCAACTCTCACCACTCTTCTAGTATTGGAGGTCCTAGCTAGTGCAATCAGACAAGAGAAACAAATAAAAGGCATCCAAATCGGTAAAGAGGAAGTCAAACTGTCACTGTTTGCTTATGATATGATCGTTTACCTTGAAAACCCTAAGTACTCCTCCAGAAAGCTCCTAGAACTGATACACTTCCACACTGCTGGTGGGAATGTACACTACCATAGCTGCTATGGAGTTAAAACATACTGCTTAATCACTTAACCACAAAAGAAGACAGTAAGAGAGAAAAAAGGAAGAAAGGATCTACAAAACAACCAGGAAATAAGTTACAAAATGACAGTAGCAAACTCTTACCTATCAATAATAACCTGGTTATTGTAAGAATTAAAGAAAGAGGAAAGAAACATAAAAGGTGGCTTGCCAGTTAAGACAGGTTTATTTCAGAGAAAATAAGCCTGATTGGGGCATTTGGCTGAGTTAAGTTAGAGGCACACTTTTTTTTTACAGACTAAGAGTTTTTAAGGATTTGGGGTGGGAGAGTTTATTAGAAACTTGGACTGCTTTTGTTTTTGTTTTTTTGTTGTCGTTGTGCTTATTTGGAAGGGAGAGTTGTGTGTTTGTTTTTATATATTTTTCTGCAGCTGCAGGCACACCCTCTAGTCTGCTTTTAGCTTTCCTATTTTAGTGCACCTGAAGGGAAAGGAATATACTTATTAAGGCCCACTGTCTTACTGGGGCCCATTGCATGAGGGTGCAGTTTGGCAGTTACTCAAGAGACTTTCCCCTGCCCTCTCTCTGTGCCTGAGCTGTTTTATCTGTGTTTTACTGTCTGCTTTTTCTGGCTGCTTGTGGTTAGAAAAGAAGTGATTTTTTTGAAATGCATGAGGCTAGAAAGGGAGCTGGAACTTAAAGTCGTGGTGTTTGTCCAAGATGACAGTGCTCCTGCTCTGTCAGATATAAATGGATTACATTCACCAACTAAAAGGTACAGAGTGGCTAAATGAATTAAAAAAAACAAGATCCAATTATATGCTGTCTAAAAGAAACTCACTTCATCTATAATAACACAGACTAAAAGTGAATAAATAGAAAAATATATTTCATGCAAGTGGAGACAAAAAAGAGCAGAAATAACTATATTTATATCAGATTAAATAGACTTTAAGTCAAGAATGGTAGAAAAAAAAAGACAAAGAATGTCATTATAAAATGATAAAGGGGCCAATACAGCAAGAGAATATATCACTTCTAAATATATATGCACTAAACACCAGGCACCCAAATGTGTAAGGCAAATATTAATAGATCTAAAGGGAGATATTAACTATATCTCTTACTATTACAATAACAGTAGGAAACTTCAACATCCTACTTTCAACAATGAGCTGATCATCCAGACAGAAAATAAAACATGAGAGTTAAGCTGCACTGTAGCACAAATGGACCTAACAAAAATTTATAGAACATTCCATCTAAAAGCTGCAGAATGCACATTTTCTTAACAGCAAATGGAACATTCTCCAGGATAAACTTACCATAAGTTATGTCATAAAACAAGTCTCAACAATTTTTTAAAAATAGAAATCATAAGTATATTTCCTCACTACAATGGAATAACCCAGAAATTAATAATAAGGGATGTTGGAAATTATTAATTCATGGAAATTAAACAACATACTTCTCAAAAACAAATGCACCAATGATGAAATTAGAGAAAAATAAAAAAACTCCTTGAGACAAATGAAAATGGAAACATGACATACCAAACCTATGGGATACAACAAAAGCAGTTCTAAGAAGTAAGTTTATAGCAAAAATGCCTACATCAAAAAAGTAGAATGATCACAACAAGGAAACAACTTAATACCTAAAGGAACTAGAAAAGTAAGAACAAACCAAACCCCAAATTAGTAGAAGGAAAGTAACAACAAAGCAGAAATACACAAAATAAAGATTTTTAAAAATCAATGCAAAGGGTCAACAAAACAGAGTTGGGTTTTTAAAAAGATAAAATAGACAAACCTTTAGCTAGACTAATGAAGACAAAAGAGAGAAGACTCTCCCACCAAAGAAGAGCCCAGGACCTGATGACCTCATAGGTGAACCCTACTAAACATTTTAAAAATAACTAATATCAATTATTCTCAAACTCTTCCAAAAAACTGAAGAGAAAGGAATACTGCCAAACTCATTTTATGAGTCCCACATTACCTTGATTCCAAAACCAGATGAAAACACAACAACAAAAAAAGGAAATGACAGGCCAATATCCCTGATGAACATAGGTGCAAAAATCCCCAACAAAATACTACCACACTGAATTCAATAACACATTTACAAAATCATTCACCATAATCAAGTGGGATTCATTCCAGGTATGTAATGGTAGTTCAATATATGCAAATCAATAAATAGGTACATCTCATTAACAGACTCAAAGACAAAAACATATGATCATACCAACAGATGCTGAAAAAGCATTTGGTAAAATTCAACATCCCTTCATAATAAAAAACATGAAACAAGCTGGGTATAAGAAACTTACTTCAACACAATAAAGGCCATATATGACACACAGTTAACATAATACTGAATGGGGAAAGATTGAAAGCTTTTTCTGTAAGATCTGGAACAAGACAAACAGGGGTCTACTTTTACCACTTTTATTAAATGTAGTACTGAACGTTCTAGCCAGAGTAATTAGGCAAGAGAAAGAAATAAAGGTCATTCAAATAATTGGAAAGAAAGAAATTAAGTTGTCGCTGTTCTCAAACAACATGGTCATATATGTAGACAACCCTAAAGTCTCCACCAAAAAACTTTTAGAAGTAATAAATGAATTTAGCAAAGTTGCAGGATACCAAAATAACACACAAAATCAGTAGTGTTTCCATTGATATATTCCGGTGCAAACTACCTGAAAAAGCAATAAAGAAAGCAATTCCATTTACAGAATCTACCAAAAAAATACATGGGCATAAACTTAACCAAGGGAGATGAAAGATCTCTACAATAAAAACTGTAAAACACTGTAAAGGAAATTGAAGAAGACATAAATAAAAAGATCTCCTGTATTCACAAGTTGGCTTTTGTTAAAATGGCCATATCACCCCAAATGATCAACAGATTCAATGACATCTATCAAAATACCAATGACATTCTCCAAAGAAATAGAAAAAACAATCTTAAAATTTATATGGAAATACAAAAGACCCTGGAGAGCCCAGTTCATTTTGAGCAAAAAAACAAAGCTAAAAGCATCATACTACCTAACTTCAAAATATACTACAAAGCTATACAAACCTAAACAGCATGGTACTCATGTAAGAACAGAACCAAAGACCAATACAATAGAATACAGAATGCAGAAATAAATCTGTGCATTTACAGTAACTGATTTTCAACAAAGACCTCAAAACAGACATTGGAGAAAGGACAATCTCTTCAATAAATGATGCTGAGAAAACTGGATATCTACATATAGAGGAGTGAAACTAGATCTCTATCTCTCATCATATACACAGTTCAACTTTAAATTGGTCAAAGACTTAAAAGTAAGACCCCAAACTATGAAACTAGTGAAAAAAAAACACTAGGGAAATGACTCATGAAATTGGAACAGGCAAGGATTTTTTGAATAAGACCTCAAAAGCATAAGCAACAAAAGCAAAAATTGACAAATAGGATTACATCAAATCAAAAAGCTTCTGCAACGCAAAGGAAACAATCAATAGAGTGAAGAAACAACCTACAGAATGGGAGAAATTATTTCCAAATTATGCATCTGACAAGAGGTTAATACATAGACTATATAAGGAACTCAAAAAACTCAATAACAAAAAACCACAAATAATCCAATGTAAAAATGGGCAAAAACTTCAATAGACATTCCTCAAAAGAAGACATTCAAATGGCCAACAGATGTATGAAAAAATGCTCATCTTTACTAATTATCAGGGGAATGCAAATCAAAACTACAATGACACCTTATCCCAGTTGAAATGACTATTACCAAACACAAAAATAACAAATGCTGGTAAGTATGTGGAGAAAAGGGAATTCTTATGTACCACTGGTGGTGATGTAAATTAGTACAGTCCTTATGGAAAATAGTACGGAGATTCCTCAGAAAATTAAATATATAGCTATCATATGATCCAGCAATCCCAATACTGGGTATATACCCAAAAAAGTCATAGAAAAAAATTAAAAGGAGCAAATAAAAATAAAGCTATGATAATTAAGACAATGTGAGATTAATAAAAACCAGTGAATCATAATAAATCAACAGGACAGAATACAGTATGCAACTAGAGCCTTACATTTATGATCAGTTGATTTTCAAAAATGGTGCACAAACAATTCAATGAAACATGATAACCTTTTTAATAAAAGTTTCTGAAACAACTGGATATCCAGATGCAAAAAAGTGAACTTTGACTCATATCCCATGCCACACAAAAATGAATCAAAATGGACTACAGACCTAAATGCAAAATCTAAAACTACAATGTTTTTAGAAAGTGACATAGAAGAAAATTGTTGCCTTCTTGCATTAGGGAAATATTGCTTAAAAATAACACCAAAAACTCAATTCGTAAAAGAAAATTGATAAATTGGACTTCATCATAAAGTAAAACATTTGCTCTTCAAAAGGCATTATTACAAAAATAAAGAGGTGATTCACAGACTGGTAGAAAATATTTATAAAACACATCTATCAAATGGTTTATATCTTAAAAATGTAAGAAATTCTAACAACTCAATAACAAGAAGACAGATGCCCTAAATTTTAAAAAAAGCAAAAGTTTTCAGCAGGCACTTCACACAAAAAGATAAATAGATGGCAAATAAGCACATTAAAAGATACACAACATAATTAACCCTGGGAAAATTCAAATTAAAAGCATAACAAGATAATATCATGTACCCACCAGAATGCCTAAAGTTAAAGATAAGTCATGCCAAATATTGGTAAAGATAGTAAACAGCTCTTACATACTGCTGGTGGAAATATAACATTGCATAACCCCTGTGGAAAACAATATGGCAGTGTCTTAAAAAGTTAATCATGTACATATAATACCACATGGCCCAGCTATTCTTCTAGGTACTTATCCAAGAAAAATGAAAGTATATGACCACACAATTACTTCTAAATAAAAGCATATAGAAACATTACTTGTAATAGCCAAAGACTGGAAATAATGAAAACGTCCATCAACAGATGAGTGAATAAATAAATTGTGGCATATCCACACAGTGGTGTACCACTCAGCAATGAAAAGGAACAAAATATTGATAACTATTGTGTCCAGAATTGGTTCCTTCCAGTAGGTTCTTGGTCTCCTTGACTTCAAGAATGAAGCCGCAGACCCTTGTGGTGAGTGTTACAGTTCTTAAAGATGGTGTGTCCAGAGTTTGTTCCTTCAGATGTTCAGATGCGTCCAGAGTTTCTTCCTTCCGGTGGGTTCGTGGTCTTGCTTGACTTCAGGGGTGAAGCTGCAGACCTTTGTTGTGAGTGTTATAGCTCATAAAGGAAGTGCGGACCCAAAGAGTGAGGAGCAGCAAGATTTATTGTGAAGAGCCAAAGAACAAAGCCTCCACAACATGGAAACGGACCCGAGCGGGTTGCAGCTGTTGGTTGGGTGGCCAGCTTTTATTCCCTTATTTGGCCCTGCCCACGTCCTGCTGATTGGTCCATTTTACAGAGTGTTGATTGGCCCATTTTACAGAGTGCCGATTGGTCCGTTTTTACAGAGTGCTGATTGGTGCGTTTACAAACCTTTAGCTAGACACAGAGCACTGATTGGTGCATTTACAAACTTTAACTAGACACAGAGCGCTGATTGGTGCGTTTTTACAGAGTGCTGATTGGTGCATTTACAAACCTTTAGCTAGACACAGAGCACTGATTAGTGCATTTACAAACGTTTAGCTAGACAGAAAAGTTCTCCAAGTCCCTACCCGACCTAGAAGCCAAGCCGGCTTCACCTCTCACTATTAAATATGAGTGAATCCCAAAATTATTCTTAGTGTAAGAAGCCAGACAAAAGGAGTACACAGGGTATGATTCAATTCATAAGAATTCTACAGAATGAAAATTTGTCTATAGGAACAGAAAGCAGACCAGTGGCTGCCTGAGGATAGGTTGGGAGAAGGGAATGATGCAGGATGTGGTGCAATTTCAACCCTCACGCTTTGCAACTGCTTTGGAAAGGGGTTGGTGGTTTCCTATAAAGTTAAATATACACTTCCTATAGGATCTGGCAATTATATGATTAAAAGATAAATAAAATGATATGTTCATAAAAAGCCTTGTACACCAATATTTTATAGCAGCATTTCTCATAATAACCCAAATGTCTTGCGAAAGGTAAAAGCTTGAAAAAGTGATATATTTATGCAAAGGATACTTGATAACAATGAAAAAGAACAAGTTAGTGATACACACAATAATGTGGATGAAACTCAGAAGCATTATGCTGAGCAAAAAAGTAAGATAAAAGGAAAGCAGGATCCCTTTACTTGAATTTCTAAAATAGGCAAAACTATAGCGATAGATACCATATCAGCAACTGCTTGGATTATGCAGTCAGAGGCGATTTACTGCAAAAGGCTCCTGAGGAAACTCTCTGACGTGAGAGAAACATTCTCTGTCTTTATTGGGAATGATGCTTACACGGGTCTATAAACTGGCCAAAATTCATAGAACTATACACCTAAAATATGTCCTTTTTATTGTATGTAAATGATGCTTCAGTGCTGTTGATTTTAAAATGGATAGAGTATGGAGAATTGGAAACAGAAGTGAAAGAGAACAAGTCCCCGAGGCCTTAGGATTTGTGTTTCCCCAGTCACTTTATAAGAAACAGCAGGTGGCTCTTGCCAAATTGAGTTTATTTTTAGGCAAACAGTTCATTGGTATACCCTAGGGGGTTATTTTCTAGCACTGAGTATTTCCTTTTGCATTTTGTTCTCTGCAAATAAAACAAAATAGTTGGAATGGAGCTTGGCTAAATAACAATTGAGAGTGTTTTGTTCTTGCTGGGATACATAGTAGCGGATCCAAGGTTTTGCTTACATGGTTTCACTCCTGCAGTTTCCATTACCAGTGGTCAACTGCAGTCTGAAAATATTAGGATATTTTGAGAGGAGGTCAGAGGAGAAAGAGAAAGAGAGAGCACATTTATATAGCTTATTT
This sequence comes from Homo sapiens, assembly GCF_000001405.40. NCBI lineage: Eukaryota > Metazoa > Chordata > Mammalia > Primates > Hominidae > Homo > Homo sapiens. Next base: position 26,476,055 of record NC_000016.10, read on the forward strand.
TATGGTATTATGGTATTTTATTATAATTGTTTTATTTTATTATTAGTTATTGCTTGTGTTAATATCTTTCTCTGCCTAATTTATAAATTAAAGTGTTTTGTTTTTTTTGTTTGTTTGTTTGTTTGTTTAGAGACAACATCTCACTATGTTCCCCAGGATGGCCTCAAACTCCTGGGCTCATGTGATCCTCCCATCTGCCCCCTGAGTAGCTGGGACTACAGGTGCACGCCCCCACATCCAACTTATAAATTAAATCATAGGCATGTATGTAAAGGAAAAAAAGTAGCGTACACAGGGTTCGGTACCATCTTTAGTTTCAGGCATCCACTGGGGGTCTGGGAACATATCCCCGATGGAGCAGGGGTGACTACTGCATCTGGAAATCAAAGTTTAATAGCATTTTCTCTAATCGTGATGATTAGTACTTTACAGATGGCCTCTGGAATTATGAACATGAAAGGAAGAGCGATGGGCTGGGTATCAGAAGACCTGAGGTGTTCACACAGTGCCGATAAACATCTTTGTGACCTCAGGAATGCTGCCTCCTGACGCTCAGCCTTAATCTCTTCATCTGGAGAGAAAGGGTGAGTGAGCCTCCGTTGGACTAAGCAGTTAAGAAAGATTCAACCGTGATCGTGTCTGTGAATTCATTTTTGAAGTAAAACAGTGAAAAATAATATCAATTAATTAATTAATTTCATTAATCACTTAACTTTAGAGAAACAAAGGATGTACTTTAGCCAGAATTACGCAGGATGGGGCGGGAGGGAGAGCACCCACATTTCATGGTGGCCATCTTAAGTCACCTGAAATTGTGATGCGGAATGGGTGAAGCAAAGAACGTAGAATCAGAAAATCTTGGTTTGTACTCCCAACAATTTAATATAGAAAAATATCAACTAATAAGGGGCAAATTATTTAACCCCTTTGGACCTATGTTTTTCTAGCTATGTAGTTTTAATGATTATGTGGAGTTTTACTAGAATACATTGAAATAACTTCTGTGAAAACATATAATGTAGTGCCTGATCAATAGCTTATTTTTAAATTAAATTTTGGTTATATGTAATAAAAATAATAAATAATAAAAATTTAATAAAATTTAACAATAAAAAAATAATAAAAATGTTCTCTAAAGTGTAATGTTTAGCCCTTTGAAAACAGTCCATGTAATCATGAAAGGCAAAGTAATGCAGCAGACGGTGTTCTGGTAACAACAGCAATGAGGATAATAAAGATCATAATTATTATTATAAACATTTATTGAGAAGTTACTATATGCCAGACTCTGTACTGATTGTTTTTCCCACACATCTCACTCAATCTTTTCATTAACCTGAAAGACAGGTGCTAAATACAATTTATCCTCATCTTACAGATAAAAGCCAAAGGTCAGAGATGTTAAGTCTCTTGCCTAGAGTTACACAGCTAGTGGTGCTAAGATGGGATTGACTGCTCAGCTTGTTCCAGGCGCCAGTCTAAACATACCAACTGTGCCATTGAAAAGATTTCACTATTGCTGAAATGTGCGCTATATGCAGTTCAATGACAGTAAAATCATAGTGTGAGAGATCCCACAGTACAGAGGTCCTGCTGTCTGTCTCTCAGAGGGAAATTGTTATTGAGGCCTTCAGGCTTTTGTCATTACAAAACATTTGTGCATCTCCAGGCATACCTGCAACTAGATGCTCATTTGGTAAGATGCAATCAGAAGATTCCAGAGCAGGTTGCTTTTACCCCCATTGATAAGCAAACATATCCATTGTACAGATGCACCTGCTGTTTGCAAGGATTCCTACACCTGATCCTTTTTAAAAAGAAAGAACATTTTGCAAGGTAGGAAATTCTTAAGCCCTCATTTAGAGGTCTCACAAATTCACATTTTTCTAAATATGCTTTCGTATGTGTGGAAGAAAGAAGGGCACAGGATGGGAAACATAAAAGATGGCCATAGGTGGACTGTTTCTATCTTTTTTTATATATCAGTTTTCTATTCGGATGGCCAAATGGAAAATTGGTGTAAAAATAAAGGTAAAAATGGTTATTAAGCACTTGTTCTATGTCTAGCACCCTTTTAGATAGTTTTCACTTGAGCACTTTCACTTGAGCCTCAAAACAAGCACACTACGTTGCATATGGTATTATAGGATTGTCTAGGTTATGCAGCAGTTAATCAGTGAACTCTGAAATTTCAGTGGCATCCCACAACAACAGTTTATGTCTCATACTAAGAGCCCAATTTGTATCATTGAGGAGTTCTGCTCCACATAGCCATTCAGGGACTCAGGCTGATGGATGCTCATCATGTGGCTGCCACAATTATTGTACTGACAGAAACAAAAGCTGAAGAGGCACACAATGCCTTTTAAATGTTTCATCAGGAAGTGGCACATCACTTCTACTCACAGTGTATTGGGCTGAATTAGTTACACGGCTTTGCCTAACTGCAAGAAGGCTGGGAAATGAGTGGTGAGTAGGAGAACATTGATATTTGGGAGTAGATGTTTCTAACACAAATGAGTGTTATGATCTCCAATTTGACAGAGGAACTAAATGGATCAATGAGGTTACTTGACTTAAGGCACACAGTTTTAAAGCAGCAAAATGGTATCATAAATATATGTCTTCTAAAATTTGATTTCTGAATTACTACACTGTCAAATTCAAATGTCGAGCTTTTACAACAACAAAATCACAAAACATATACAGAGCAGGCAAGTATGACCTATTTAAAGGAAAAAATGAAATCAGTAGAAACTGTCTCTGAAAAACACCTGTTGGCAGATCTACCAGACAAAGCCTTTAAAACAACTATCTTAACAATGGTCAATGAACTAAAAATAAATGTGGAGAAAGTTACAAAACTGATGTATAAACAAAATGAAAACATCAATAAAGAAACAGAAAACCTGAAAAGAAACAAAAAATAAATTCTGGAGCTAAAAAGTACAATAACTAGATTGAAAAATTTACCAGTGGAATGTAAAGGCATATTTGAGCAGGTGGAAGGAAAAACAGCAAACATGAAGATTGGCAACAGGAATTACCAAGCCTGAGGAACAGAAAGAAAAAAAGATTGAGGTAGAGTGAACAGAGTCTAAGAGACTTATGGTACGTAATCAAACAGACCAACATACACATTATGGCAGTCCCAGAATGAGAAGAGAGGGAAAAACAGGTAGAAAGAATATTTGAAGTAATAATGACTGAAAATTTCCCAAATTTGAGAAAAAACATTAGTATAACCATCCAAAAAGCTCAATGAACTTCCAGTAAGATAAACTCAAAAAGACCAGACTAAGGCACATTATAATCAAACTCTCAAAAGACAAAGAATAAAATAAATCCTGAAAGCAGCAAGAGAAAATTGACTCATCTCAGACAAAGGATTCTCAATAAGATCTTCAGCAGATTTCTCATCAGAAACTTTGGAGAACAGAAGGCAGTGTACTAATATATTCAAAGTGCTAAGAAAAAAAAACACACAACTGTCACCCAAGTATCTTTATAGCTGGCAAAATTTTCCTTCAAATGTAAGAGAGAAATTAAGACATACCCAGAGAAACAAAAACTGAGGGAGTTTGTTACCATGAGACCTACCCTGCAAGAAATGCTCAATGGAGTCTTGCAAGGTTAAAGAGTAGACTAGGCAGTAATTTGAAGCCACAAGAAGAAACAAAGATCAAAAAAATAGAGAATGGCATGAACAACTATAAAAGCTTTTATTGTTGTAACAATAGTTTATAACCCTACTTTTTGTTTCTACGTGGTTTAAGAGACTAATACATTTTAGAATTATTATTCTAAAAGCTACTATTATTGTAACTTTTTAACTCTACATTTTTTTCTACATAATTTGGCCTAATACTTCATTGAAAGAAATTACCAATTTATGTTTTGAGGCATAAAATGTATAAAAAGGTAACCAAAATAGGTGGGGATGAAGCTGTTTACAAAGCAGAGTTTTTGTGTTATTGAAATTAAGCTGGTATAAATTCAAATTAAAGTGTTATAACTCTAGGATATCAAATGAAATCCTCACAATAACAACAAAGAAAATAGCTATAAAATATGTGCAAAAAGAAATGAGACAGTTATTTAAGCATTTCACTACAAAAAATCAACTAAACACAGCAGGAGGTAGTAACGCAGAAAATGAGGAACAAAAAAGCTGTAAGATATATGGAGAACAAACAGCAAAATGACAGAAATAAATCCCTCCTTATCAGTAATTACTCAAGTGTAAATGAATTAAACTCTCCAATCAAAAGACAGAGATTGGCAAAATGAGTTTTAAAAATACGGTCCAACTATTTGTTGTTTAAAACAGATTCACTTTAGATTCAAAGACATACATAGATTGAAAGGGAATGAATACAAAAAGATATTTTATTCAAATAATAATCAAAAGAGAACATGGGTGTCCATACTGATATCAGACAAATAGACTTTGTCACAAAGCTTACAAGAGACAAAAAATTATGTATTAGTAAAAGTTTCAATACAGCAAGAAGCTATAACAAAGATAAACCTTTAGGTACCTAGTAGTACATCTATAACATTTCCACAACAAACATAACACATCTGCATACAACATAAGAAATCTAAAACAAACAACTATAATATTTGCACATCTAATATTTGTTAATTCTTTTTGATAACCATCAAAATGTATGAAGCAAAAACTGACACAACTGAGCAAAGAAATAGACATTTCTACAACAATAATTGGAGACTTCAGTACTCCACTCAGATACAACCAGACAAAAGATAATTATGTAAGGGAATTGAGGACTTAAACAACACAATAATCCAACTAGATCTAACAAGTATTTACAGAACACTCCACCCAACAACAGCATGCATATTCTTCTCAAGTGTACATGGGATGTTTTCTAGACTAGACCATATACCAGGTCACATGTTAAGTCTCAACAGATTTTAAAAGATAGGTATCAACCAAAGTCTCTTTCTCAACTACAATGGGATAAAGTTAGAAATCAATAACGTAAGGAAAACTGTAAGATTTATAAAATTGTAGAAATTAAACTACACCTTCTCAAATGATCAGTGAATGAAAGAAGAAATCAGGGGGGAAATTAGAAAATACTTAAAGATGAATGAAAATGAAAGTATAACATACCTAAACTTATGGAACACAGCAAAAGCAGTGCTAGAGGAAAATTTATAGTCATGAATGCTTACAGTAAACAAACAAGAAAGATCTCAAAGCAACAACCTAACTTTACAACTTAAGAAACCATAATAAGAACACACTGATCACAAAACTAGCAGAGGAAGGAAATAATAAAGATGAGAGATCAACAAAATAGAGAATAGAAAAACAACAGAAAACATCAATGAAACCAAAAGCTAGTTCTTTGAAAAGATCAATAAAATTGACGAAGCTAGCTAGATAGACTAAGAAAAAGAGAAAAGACTCAAATTTCTAAAATTAGAAATGAAAGTGGGAACATACTCCTGATTCTCTAGAAATAAAAGTGATTATGAGAGGATTGTGAACAATGGTAAGCCAACAAATTGAATGGCATAGATGAAATGAACAAATTCCTAGAAACACAAAACCTACCAAGACTAAATCTGAATAGACCTATAATTAGTAAGGAGAATGAATAAGTAATTTTTAAAAATTCTAACAAAGAAAAGCCCAGGACATAATGGCTTCATTGGTGACATCTACCAAACATTTAAAGAAAAACTAATAGCAATTCTATTCAAAGTTTTCCAAAACATTGAAGAGGAGGGAACACTTTCTAATTAATTCTATGAGCTCAGTATTACCTTTATATCAAAGCCAGGCAAATAAGTTATAGAAAAAGAAAACTACAAACCAATATCCCTCATGAAAATTGATGCAAAAATCCTCAAGTAAATACCTGCAAACCGAATTCAGCAGCACGTTAAGAGGATTATGTGCCATGATCTAGTGGGATTTATTCCTAAAATGCAATGACGGTTCAAAATATGAAAATCAACTAATGAAGGAAGTTCGAAAAAATCCACATGATCATAGCAATTGAGGCAAGAAAAAAAGCATTTGACAAAATTTAACACTCTTTTTTAATAAAAACTCATAACAAACTAGAAATAGAAAAAAAAGTGAATTCAACATAATAAAAGCCACATACGAAAAATCCACAGTGAACATTTTACTGCCTAGTGGAAGACTGAAAGCTTTTCCTCCGAGATCAGGAACAAGAAAAAGAGGCCTGCTTTCACTACTTCTATTAAACATTATATTTCTAGCCAGATACTAAGGCAAGAAAAAAATAAAAGGCATCTAAGATGCCTTTTATTAGAAAGAAGTAAAATTATTTCTGTTTATGGCTGATACAATCATATATTTAGAAAATTCTAAAGAATTCATACCAAAAACCTCTTAAAGCTAATAAATGAATTCACAGTAGCAGGATACAAAGTCAACACAGAAAAACCAGTTACATTTGTATACACTAACAATGAACAATCTAAAAATAAAGTTATTAAAACAATTTCATTTACACTAGCATCAGAAGAATAAAATACTTACAAATTAACTTAACCAAGGAGGTTAAAAACATAAACAATGAAAAATATAAAACATTGCTGAAATAACTTTTTTTAACTTTTATTTTAGGTTTGGGGGTACAAGTGAAGATTTCTTACATTGTCCATTTTCTAGAAGCAAGTACATTTTCTAGAAGCTTTCTATCCCCACTTCTGGTGAATATCAGGCTACCTTGTTTGCCCTCAGATCATTCATTCATTCAAATTACATTTACTTATCAAATATTTATAAAGTTTATACCACATGTCAAGCACTGTTCTAGGCATTAAGGATACAGCAGTGAAAAAGACAACAAGACCCCTGCTCTTAAACAGGATTAAGATGGAAAATATACAAGTAAAATATACAGGTAAAATATACAGGTAAACTCACAGCACAGGGGTTTGCTGTACAGATTATTTCATCACCCAGGAATTAAGCCCAGTACCCAATAGTTATCTTTTCTGTTCCTCTCCCTCCTCCCATCCTTCACCCTCAAGTAGACCTGTGTCTGTTGTTTTCTTCTTTGTGTTCATAAGTTCTCAGAAATAAATTTTACAAGATGGAAATAAGTGGAAACACATCCCATGTTCATGGCTTGGAAGACAAATATTCTTAAGGTATCAATATTACCCAAATCAATCTACAGACTCAATGTAATCCCTCATCAAAATCCCAGTGATGTTTTTTGTAGAAATAGAAAAAAAACCCATCCTAAAATGTATATGGAATCTCAAGGACCCCAAGTAACCACAATAATATTGAAAATAAAGGACAAAGTTGGAGGACTCACATTTTCTGATTTCAAAACTTACTACAATGCTACAGTAATTAAAACAGTGAGCTACTGGCATACAGATAGACATATAGACCAAAGGAATATAATAGAGGTTCAGAAATAATCTCTCACATATTTGGCAAGTAAGTTTTGACAAGGATGCCAAGATCATTCAATGGAAAAAAACAGTCTCTTAAACAAATGTGCTTAAAAACATGAATATCCACATGAAAAAGAATGAAATTGTACTCTTACCTAACACCATATGCAAAAATCAACTTAATATGAATTAAAGTTCTAAATGTAAAATTTTAAAGGATAAAGCTCTTGGAAAAAAATATAGGGGTAAAGCTTGATGACATTGGATTTAGCAATGATTTCTTGGATATGACACCAAAAGCCTGGATGACAACAATGATAAAAATATATAAATTTGACTTTATTAAAATTTTAATGTATTTGTGCCTCAAAATACAATATCAACAGAGTAAAAAGGTAACCAACCAATTGGAAGAATATATTTTCAAGTTATATGTCTGACAAGGTATTAATATCCAGAATATATAGAGAACTCCTAAAACTCAACCAAAAACCAAACTAATTGTTTAAAAAATGGGCAAAGAACTTGAGTAGATATTTCTCCAAAGAAAGTATACAAAGAGCTATTTTCTTTTTTTTTTTTTTTTTTTTTTTTTGAGACGGAGTCTCGCTCTGTCGCCCAGGCTGGAGTGCAGTGGCGGGATCTCGGCTCACTGCAAGCTCCGCCTCCCGGGTTCACGCCATTCTCCTGCCTCAGCCTCCCAAGTAGCTGGGACTACAGGCACCCGCCACTACGCCCGGCTAATTTTTTGTATTTTTAGTAGAGACGGGGTTTCACCGTTTTAGCCGGGATGGTCTCGATCCCCTGACCTCGTGATCCGCCCGCCTCGGCCTCCCAAAGTGCTGGGATTACAGGCGTGAGCCACCGCGCCCGGCCACAAAGAGCTATTTTCTTAAAAAACACAGAAAATAACAAGTGTTAGTAAGAATAATAAATTAATTGGAACTCTTGTGTGCTGTTGCTTGGAATATAAAGTGATTCAGCTACTGTGGAAAACAGTGTCATAATTTCTCAAAGCAAAAATAGAATTAGCATATTATCCAGCAATTCCACCTTGGGATATACACCCAATGAATTGAAGGCAAGGTCTCAAACAGGTATTTGTACACCCATGTTCAGAGCAGCATTATTCACAATAGCCAAGATGTGGAAGCAACACAAATGTTCATTGACAGAGGAATGGCTAAGCAAACTGTGGAATAGGCATACAATGGAATATTATTCAGCTGTTATATAAGAAGGAAATTCGGACACATGCTGCAACATGGAGGAACCTTAAGGACATTATGCTAAATTAAATAAGCCAGACATAAAGGGCCAAATACTGTACGAATCCAATCACATGAGATACTTTAAGTAGTCAATATCATAGAGACAGAAAGTAGAATGGTGGTTGCCAGGGGCTTGGTATAGGGTAAGTGGAAATTTGTTATTTAATACATAACATTTTGGTTTTACAGAATGAAAAATATGAAGATGAGTGGCAGTGATAGCTGCACAACATTATGAATGTCTTTCATACCATTGTGTGCTTAAAAATGGTTAAAGTGGTAAATTTTATGTTATGTGTATTTTACCATAATTTTGAAACTTGGGAAAACATCTATCTTCTGAGCTTCAAACAGTGATCATTTAAATTCTCTGCAGTGCCTCCATGGAATACCATATCAAGAATCCTTTTATATTCTGTGGACAGATCTTTGGATACCATTTAGTCAAGCAGTATGAAGGAAAAGTTGCATATCAGTTAAGGTTTAGTCAGAAAAGTAGAAAACTAGAATAATTCAGAAATTTGGAAAGGTAGAACCAGTAAGAGTGTGTGTGTGTGTGTGTGTGTGTGTGTGTGTAAGAGATTTCTTAGATAACTGACATGCAATTGTGGAATTTGGTTAAGCAGTCTCTGTAAGCTTCTGTGTCCATGTCTGATACTAGATCCTAAAGTCCTTAGAGCAAGCAGTTAGGAATGGAAGATCATGAGCATGCTGGAACCCAAAAACATTAGCCGAAGCCCCAGAAAGATGAATTGGGAACCACATCTATTCTTGTTCACTATGACCTTGGCAATAAGGGTATCCTGAAGAAGCCAGGGCCCTTCATCATGGAGCTAAGCACATAGTTCTAGTCTTCGAGTCAGAGAAGTTAAAGAGGAAGGTAAAGCACTTAAAGGCCAATATGCTACTTCATGCCAAGAAGGTGAATCAGCAGATCAGCAACAAAATGTGTGAGCTACAAAATTGCTGCTGCCTTTCTTCTGCCATCCAGATCCCACAAATCTTCTTTCTGCCCTACTCTAATACAAAAACATACAACAAAGTGAATTCTGGGGAGGATAGTTCACCCTAGCCAAGTTGACACATTACACAGCCAAAACACACGCTTTGTCAACTTATCTCCCATACACATCTACTTAAACCATACCTAATCTCCAGCTCATAACAATAACAGAGTTATACCTCTGATTCAAGTATCTTGTATATAACAAAAACCATATTAACCCTTTCCCCAAAAGAGGATACAAAGTCCCTTTTTTTGTCTTTGAATGGTGTTTACTCTTCTCCTACCGAATTCACATTCCTCCTTTGATATCCTCTAATACAAACACTGAGATATAAAGTTAACTTTCATTAATGCATTTTACTTTAAAAGATAAAGGCAAAAGAGAGGAATTAAACAAAAATATTTGATGAATATATAAGGTCATGATGTAACTTGGAAAGCTTTGTGACTCCCCATACATACCAGAAATGTCTGGATTGACAGCCATGTGTAATTCCCTGCCCAATTGCATGTCTCTGTCTGTTGACACACCTAACACTTGCCTTGGTCATGACAAGTGTGAAAATGTAGTAGTATGGAGCCTACAACAGGGATTCATCAGTTCACCAAGCTGCAGAGGACTGGGAATTTCCCACATCAAAACCAAGGTCAGGACTATATCTGCTTCATAAGGCTGCCCATTTCAATGTTTTGTTTGGTTTTTGTTGTTGTTTTTTGTTCTTTGTAGAGATGGGGTCTTGTTATGTTGCCCAGGCTACTCTCAAACTCCTAGGCTCAAATAACCCTGCTGCCCCAGCCTCCCAAAGTGCTGGGATCACAGGCGTGAGCCTCCACACCCAGTCCATTCCAATGTTTTGATAATTAGTTGCTTCTGAATGTTATTGATCATAACAATCATAGAAACCATTTATTAAGTGCCTTTGTCAGAGGCATTTGAGCCAGAGCAACTGTAACTTGAATAGAAGCTCGGTAAAATAAGGTTGAGACCTACTGGGCTGCATTCCCAGACGATTAAGGCATTCTATGCCACAGGATGAGATAGGAGGTCGACACAAGACCCAGGTCATAAAGACCTTGCTGATAAAAACAGGTTCCAGTAAGGAAGCTGGCTAAAACCCACCAAAACCAAGATGGCCATGAGAGTGACCTCTAGTTGTCCTCCCTGCTACACTCCCATTAGCACCATGACAGTTTACAAATGCCATGGCAACGTCAGAAAGTTACCCTATATGGTCTAAAAGGCAGGGGACATGAATAATCCACCCCTTGTTTAGCGTATCGTCAAGAAATAACCATAAAAATGGGCAACCAGCAGCCTTCGGGGCTGCGCTAGGGAATAGCCACTCTTTTGTTCCTTTACTTTCCTAATAAACTTGCTTTCACTTTACTCTTTGGACTCACCCTGAATTCTTTCTTGCGCGCGATCCAAGAACCCTGTCTTGGGGTCTGGATCGGGGCCCCTTTCCTGTAACATCTTTGATATGGTTTGGGCTATCTTCACATGTATTGTTTATTCCCATTTTATATATACTGAAACTGAGGCTCACAGGAGTTACTTTACTAGGAATGCCCAGTTTACACATGGTTAAGGTGAGAGCTCAACCCAGATTAGTTTGATGTTAAAGCCTCTGTACTTAACCATCAAATTTTCTGCCTTTCTAGAAACTTGCCCATGTTTTTTAAAAACAAGTCAAGGAACATTTCTTACTCAGGCTTTTTGAAGGCAAGTCCATTTTCTAGAAGCTTTCTATCCCCACTTCTGGTGAATATCAGGCTACCTTGTTTGCCCTCAGATCATTCATTCATTCAAATTACATTTACTTATCAAATATTTATAAAGTTTATACCACATGTCAAGCACTGTTCTAGGCATTAAGGATACAGCAGTGAAAAACACAACAAGACCCCTGCTCTTAAACAGGAGTAAGATGGAAAATATACAAGTAAATGAAGAAGCTAAACAAGAAAATTTGATGAGAAAGATTAGCTATAAAAGAAACAAATAGAATGATGTGGCAGTTTATGTTTAGTTACTAATTTTAACATAATTCATGTTTTCATTTGATCTATAAACCTTATAAAATGTTCCATTACATTAGGCTATGGCTTGGTGCCTGAATTCTGAATGCTCTCCTAACAGACAACTTTTGTGTGTTTTACCAGGGAAGAATTAGAGCACTGATAAATTTTAATTAGTCGAATTCACTTGTGGTCTGATAAGTCTTAATGTCATTCAAGAGAGAATTTCCAAGCACATGGATTGTTGCTAACACCTCTTGCAGTGTCATGACATTGAGCAAGTTTAGTAGTTCTTGAGCTATACGAGCTTTAATTCCAGAATATGTGATACCATCTATTTGAGTCGACTTCACAGATTGAGGAGTTCTACACAAGTCTTCATTAAAAATGGCTGAGATTATGCTTAAATGGATATCGCGAAGTAGTGTAAATTGAAGTTCATGTAAATGAAAGAAACATGTTCTTATCTTCAATCAAACATTTTTCTATCCAGTGTTAGCCTTGGGCAATAGTTTTTACCAGGGCGATTTCATCCCCCAGGGTACATTTGATAAAGTCTAGAGACATTTTTGATTTTCACAACTTGCAGTGGGGGAGGGTGAGTACAGGGATCGCCCAAGTGGGCGGAAGCCAGGAATGCTTCTTAACATCTAGCAATGCAGAGGACAGCTACCCACAACAAAGAATAATTAAAATTTCAATAGTTCTGAGATTGAGACACACTGGGCTACAGAATGTTTGATCTCTTTTGAGACCAAGAGTCTGGAAGACCACCTTGCACATAAAAATCTAAAATTCTACATAGAACTGAGAGGACTCAGCTGCGTGTACACTGTCAGAAGAACAAGAAGCCATGAACCCATAAAAGGCGTTGACTAATCCTTTAGCAGATTGAAAATGATCCCTCCCAAATCACCAACAGACCTCAGAAGCTGATTAAAATCTGTAGTGAGGGAATCATTGCATCCTGGAGAAATCTATGGTAACTTGCTGAGGATGAAGCATTGCAAAATCCAGCCAGGAGCTACCTGAAAAATGGGGCTGAATCTGCAGAATGTTAACAAGTGCATTTAACAAATGGTTTTCTACTCTTTCTCCACTTACTCCCTTCTCTTCCTCCTCTCCAAATTCAGAGGGCTGGGGATGCCGGGAGATAATCAAAGTGGAAGGTAAGACGGGGTGGAAGAAAAGGAAAAGAAAAATCATCTTTGAATCTTGTTCGCTACACCCTGGATGGGAGGAAGGTGAGGAAAAAGAAGGGTCAGGGTCGGGGGCCGCGGAGGGGAGGATCTTGCGCCTATGGCCCCTTTTCTTCCTCCAAACCCTTCTCTGTATCCATCTCTGGCTTTTCCTTGTGAGATTCACAGAATAAAATATCAGAGGAGAGGGAAATTAGAGATTTTCTTACCCAGTATTTCCCCAAATATGAAACAAACTACTTGTGGCACAGAGACGAATGTAGATGATTTGCGGCATGAAGTGGTATTTGAGAGAACTATTTGATGGCAATTATCAAGAATTTTTGACCTTCTTTTTCCCTCTGCCTGAAATGCTCTTCCCCAGATCTTTATATATACTGACTTCTCATCTTTCAGGTTTTAGCTCAAAAGCCTCCAAGAGATCTTTCCTGAGCACCTTAGCAAAAGCAGTGCAACACTTCCATACACATACACAACCCTCTGGATTTCATTACCTTAGTTTGCTTTCTTTGTAGCACTTCCCACTATCTGAAATCTTATTATTTATTTACTTATTTTGTTGCCCATCTTCCCTTCCCTTGCCCTCTAAGAATCAAGTACCATAAAGATAAGTACCATCTTTATCATGCTTAAAGCTGCACAGGCTCAAAGGACTCACAGCTGAGTCTGGAACATAGTAGGGTCTCAGTATAAATCTGCTGAAATCAATTACTTTTTATCTTTCCAATTAAGTTTGGTGCACTCCTTACAGCTAAACAAATTCTCTCTTGAAGGGAGATGATGCCGCACATCTCCAAGATCGCCATGCTCAGTTTCTGAATTCACAAAGTGCAGGGACTGACAGGGGAGGTGAAAAGGGAAGAATAGGGAAAGAAAAATGCAGGATCCATAAAGACAAGCAGAAGTCAGAGGCGTACGGAGTTCCAGACTTTAAGGAAACTCACCCAGCCTGCCCCAGGTGACAGGGATTTTGTAGTTTCAGTGAAAGACCTTGAGTCAGTGGGAGTCCCGGCAAGACAGTGGCTCACCCACTGCCTTGAAAATCTGCCGAAGCCTGGAGGCATGGGTGCGTGGAATATTTGCTAACTGACATTCAGTGTCTCATTGCCTCACTCTGGGATCCTGAGACCTGCAATTTCCACCAACTGTGAGGAAGCCTTCCAGAGCCCAGAGGGGATTATCCAGCAGAGGCAGCCCTCAGATGAAGACGAAAATCTTTCTTTGGAAAGGGCTGTTTACTGATTCAGAAGACAGGACTGAGGCATCAGAAGCACCGAGCCTATTCCATTCTCTCCCATACTACTCAGAGAAAACCACCAAGGGTTCTTGTAGAGTGCCATAAGGAGTTAAGCACAGTCGCCATCAGAAACACCTATTGTGGACCAGGTTGTGCGTACATGCACATACATGCGACTACGTGTACCTAAATAGATACACAGTAACACATGTGTGCAAACATATCTTTTTAATTATTCACAGTGTCTCTCCTCCATCTCATTCCAAAAGGGATTTGAGGTGTCTTATGCAAAAGTCACATATATTATGAGGAGTAAAATGAGAATAAGAGGAGGGCACAGTTCCGAGCAGCAGGAAAGTCTCTGGGCCAACCATGTGCCCATTCTCCAAGACAAGTGTGTCTTAGGAAAAACAAGTGTTGTTTAAAGGAAGTGGCTGTAGGCAATGTGAGGTCTGGCATCAGACACAAGCAGTTCTCCTGCCTCAGCCTCCTGAGTAGCTGGGACTACAGGTGCGCATCACCATGCTCAGCTACATTTTGTATTTTTAGTAGAGATGGGGTTTCACCATGTTGGCCAGGCTGGTCTCGAACTCCTGACCTCATGATATGCCTGCCTTGGCCTCCCAAAGTACTGGGATTACAGATGTGAGCCACCGTGCCCAGTCAGCTTTTTACTATGTTAAAACATAATAAAACATTTATTAAACTGCTATGCACAGGTTTCTCGATAAAGTCCCTGCTTATAAGGAAGCTGGCAAATCTTCTCAATTAGTCTGCAGCTGTATTTTGGGATGCGCGTCCTCTGGAAAGAACTCAGGATAACTGTGGGTCAGGTACCCAGACCTTTACCATGCATCCCCTCAACAAACAACACTGTGGGATCATAGTGTCCACTGCACAGAAAGAAGACTGAGACTCAAATTGTACGAAAGGTTTGCCTAGGCTCTCACAGCTAGTATGTTGTAGGACATGGACTTGAATTTAACGATTCTAAATCTCATGCTTCTACCTCCCTTCTCTTTTCTTGCAAGTCTGTCTGAGCCAAAGGATCTGCCTTATATCGCAAATCAGGTCTAAAGTGGTGTTTGCTAAATCTTCATTCTCTGGAATGAGCCCAGCCCTCAGTCCTGGGAGTGCTGAGTCCTCAGTAACTAGTTTTGGAAGCTGCAACAGCCTAATCTCTCACTCCTGACTTTTCCATAGAAACATCTATAGTTCCTCCACAGCTGCGAAGCTCTCACTGGGTGGCCTTTCACTCCATTATATCACTCAGTGAGCCTACTCAGGGCAACCATGGTTATCTCACCTTGGAGCCTGAGTTTCAGACGGAGCTAAATCTTTAGGTCAGAATTACCTCTCCCTACCACACTGCTATCTCTTAGCTCTCTCTTAGCTCAAATATAAGGCAGAGAATGTTTTGTGTAGGCATCACTCAGGTTAGCAAGGTGTTTACACTCCGCGAAGCGTGTAGCAGCTAAGATCAAT
Source organism: Homo sapiens (assembly GCF_000001405.40). NCBI lineage: Eukaryota > Metazoa > Chordata > Mammalia > Primates > Hominidae > Homo > Homo sapiens. Next base: position 26,491,697 of record NC_000016.10, read on the forward strand.
TGAGAACCCCTGATTTGTGTGTCCTATTTAATACTCACTCCAAGTGTATATGTTCCCTGAGCAACGTGTCAGGAGAAACCATTAGAACTCTTTAACTCCGTGTGCCTCTCTCTCTCTCTCTGAACTGCATAGTTGAATCACCATACATTATATGCATTTCATTATGGGCAAAGCATTTGCCTAGGGATGGAGCCCTCATTTAGAGTTTGACCATCTCAATCCACTTTTGGGGCTTCTTTTCCACCTATACTCTTAAGTGTTTTCTGAGAATTTCTTGTGGTATTCTGTACTCCTCCTTTGCTGAAGACTATCTGGGACCTCAGTCATATCCCCAGTCTTGCCCCTTTTATGTTCTGATGACTTTCAGATCTGCGCTTTTACCCAGAATTCTCAGCTGAGTTCAGGCGTCATATATCTCGCTGCCTCTTGGGGTGTACCCCACAGAATTTAAACTCAGAGGCTCACCTTAGCAGTCATTACCCTCTGTGCAACCTATCACCCCAAACGAAGGCTTCCTCCTTCATTCTAAGCACCCAGGCCAGAAAACGGGAACTACGCCAGCCTCTCTTGACCATTCTTCCTTTACAGCCCATCCAAACAGGTTCTGTAGATTTTGCCTCCTGAAAATCTATGGGATTCATTCTGTCTTGGTTGCTGTGATAAAACAGAATTGTGATATAACAGCTTAAGAGCAGACATGAGCTATTTTCATATGATTTTGAATTCTTGGTTCCTAGACATAAAAATCTGACTAATGGATAACATAATCATTAAGAGAATGAACACAGGAGAGAAAATGTGCATTGTTTTTAATTCGAGCTCTTCCACATAATGGTTGTGTGACTTTAGCCAATTTACTCAGCCACTCTGTGACTCAGTTTCCTCATCTACAAAATGGGGATAATATTACCTATCACCTTTAGAGCATATACTTTATGCCAGGCATATTCTAAATGCTATATATGGATTAACTCATTTAACATTCCCAGAAGTGTCTGAGATAGCTATTATTATTGCCCTCATTTTATAGATGAGTAAACTGAGGCAAACAGAAGTTACACAACTGCCTGCATCCATTCAGCCACCAAGCAATAGAGTTGGGTTCTGGCTCAGATGATCTGGCTCCAGAACCTTTGCTCTTTTTATTTTTATTTTTTTGTGAGACAGAGTCTTGTTCTGTCGGCCAGGCTGGAGTGCAGTGGCATGACCTCGGCTCACTGAAACCTCCGCCTCCCGGGCTCAAGCAATTCTCCTGCCTCAGCCTCCCGTGTAGCTGGGATTACAGGTGTGTGCCACCACATCCGGCTAATTTTTGTATTTTTAGTAGAGGCGGGGTTTCACCATGTTGGCCAGGCTGGTCTCGAACTCCTGACCTCAGGTAAACCGCCTGCCTCTGCCTCCCAAAGTGCTGGGATTACAGGTGTGAGCCACCGCGCCCGGCCCAGAGCCCTTGCTCTTAACCACCAGGTAATAAGACTTATCTCAAGGCACTGTTAAGAGGATTCAGTTCATGCATGTAAAATGCTTAGCACAATACCTGGTACATGGTAAGTGCTTGACAATTAGTTAACATATATACCCAATAATGGGTTTCTAGTCTCACAAAGAGCACAAGGGTTTTAGTGATATAGTTTCCTAAACATAGAGATTCTAGATAGCTTTTCCTATCAATTTCATTCCTTGGGAACCTATGGCTGATTAATTGACATACATCTCAAGCCAATCTTAAAAATTTGATTACTGCACCTTCTCTGCTGTCTCTTATGATGACCAAGCCCTCTCTCCTTTCGGTAATTAACTACACCATATGGGTCTAGCTATCTGGACTCATTTCTCCCCACTGAGTTCAGGGAGCCTATATCATTGGCATCCCTTGTTTTTGAGGTTAGCCAATAAAATGTTATGCATGAGTGTGTGTATTTTGTCAGTTCATTGCTTCGTTTTTGCAGCCTTTCATTCACTCATTTATTTGTTTAATAACATTAATTGAATGCTGACTTTTAAAGATCCTGCTTTAAATTTATTTTGAAAGTTTTTAGCTCCTTTTTTTTCCTATTTTCTCTCACTCCCCTAGCAGAGTAAGGCAATTCCCCAGGGCCATAGTAGCTTTTCTTGCCATTCCTCCCTCACCACCCCCTCCTTCTGCAATTCAGAGTAGAGGCATACAATGCACTTTATGAAGGACACAGGATAATAACAAAATCGCTGATAATGCTAAAGATAGCTTTTAATGAATCTTGTTTCTGGGTATTATTGGAAGCATTTTTGCTGGCAAGGGAGACCTTTTCAAGCTCCAAGAGTTTCACATTTGGAGACTTTTACAGCATTGGGAGGGTTGTTTAGTATTGGCTGAAAAAACATTTCCTTTGACAAGAGCTAGATCTAATTTGTTAAACTGGTTGCTTTTGTTTTTCTGGTTCTATTATTTTTTAAAAATCTGTACACTTTCCTGGATGCAAAAATAGCCGAGGTGCATTTAATTTTTTTTTTTTTTTTTACTCCCTTGACTGTTGACAGCCTGTGCTGTTGAGTGCAGAAACGAAGCCTGTTTTCTTATTAAAATGCACTGAGTTTCCAAGGTAGGCACTTGGGGTTTGCAGGTGCACTGTCTCATTTACAGGGGATTCTATTGGGATGGGACTGGATCACACAGCCCTTGGACCCCTTGCTGAGTCATCTCAATAGTAACCTTTCACTCATGCTTCCTGAATACCTCTTGGGTGCCAACTGCTTTGACATTGTGACTTAATGAAGGGATAAATGTCATTATGCTACCTTTTGTAGATGAAGTCACTGAATCTCACTCATTCTTTTATTCATTAATTCAATAAATATTAGTTGGGGACCCACTATGTGCCAGACATCATTCTAGATTCTGGCAATGTAGCAGTGAACAAATAAATGAAAAATCCTTGCCCACGATAAGCTTAAATTTTAATAAGATGAGCCAGAAATCAAATAATAAATACAGATGACTTCTCATAGTGGCAAGAGCTATGGAAAAATAGCAAAGAAATTGATAGGGAAACTGGCGGTTGCAATTATATGGAAAAGGGGCTTTACTAAAATGATAGCATTAGAATAAAGACTTGAGGGACATGAGAGAGTTGGTGATACAGATATCTGGGGGTAGGGAAGGGGCATTTTTAGACAGAAAAAATGTAAGTGCAAAGGCACTGGAGCCAGAATGCTTAACATGTGGGAAAAGCAGCAGAGACCAGAGAGACGGGAGCGAAATGAACAAGGCAGAAAGTGCAAGAGAGTGGAGTCAGCGAGGTGATTCAGGTTCTGCAAGGGTGTCGAGGACACTGCAAAGATGTTGGCTTTGATGCTGAGAGTATGAGAGGCATCCGAGGGTTTTAACGGAGTAATAAGACTTGACCTGCACAGTCTGCAGCTGAGACTCAGTCCTCTCCATCCAAAAGCTAGTGCGTTTTCCTGTATTCTGACACTACTTCCTTCTCTTAAATTTCAGTATAATTTTTTGTGTATGTACCTGTCTGTCCCATGAGACTGTGGCTCCTCCAGAGTACAGGTTGATCTTCTGAGCATATTCTCTAGTTCTGACATGAGGCAAGTACTCAGCAAAGACTTACAGAAAAGACCATTTGTATACCTAGGAAAAGAAAGGGAAGGCTTGATTATAAAAAGAATATAATAAAATAATGTATTTTGCAGCAACATAGATAGATCTGGATATCTTAAGTGAAATAAGCCAGAAACAGAAAGAGAAATATTACACATTATCACACATAAATAGATGTTAAAATGTGTACATGTGATAGAGAGTGGAATAACAGACAACAGAGACTCAGAAGGGTGAAGGGATGGGAGGGGGTGGAGGATAAGAAATTACTTAATGGGTAAAATGTATGTTATTCCAGAGATGGATACCCTAAAAGCCCTGGCTTGACCACTAGGCAATCTCCATGTGACACCAAATTGCACTTGTACCCCACACGTATATATAAATTTTAAAAAGCAGACTTCAAAATTGGTTTTATAAAATAAGGAGGAGAAAACAAGCAAAATATAACTGTAAAATATGTGCACATATTCTTTCCTTTCTATGTGTTTCCTTTCAGTGTTTTTCACCTGCAGACAAAATTCAGACCAATAATAATCTCAGGGTAATCGTTTTGTATTAGTCATTTTAAATTTAATATTGAAACCTAAGCATTTTCCAACATTTCTATAGATCTTTTCTACCAAGCTTTTAAACAACTGATCAATATATCTTTATAATGCTGTGTCATAATTCACTACCAGTTCAATTTTTGGCCATTTAGAAGCCTTCCAGGTAGGCGTATTTTGTTTCTTTTTGTTAATATAGGTAATCCAGCAAAGAACATCTTCATGCATGTAGCTTTTTAATTTTGTTGTCTTCTTTTCTCAGGCTACATTCCTAGAAGTGAGATTCTCAGATCAAAGGGTATCAATGCGGAGTACTTACTCTTTGGAACTTTCATTTCAATTTCCAATAATTACTGGAATAATTAGTGCAATTGTCATTACATGCATTGATCCCAGTATTGCCTTTCCAGTTCAGGCAGATGAAATTGCCTTGATTCTTTCTATATTCTAAGAGTGCTAGGGGTAAAGGAAGCAGACATTATATGATAATAGTAAAATCTATTCTTTGCCCAACATCTAATTCTGCATCATTTTTCGTTTAATCTTTACAATAGCCCTCACTGGCATTGAACAAATGCTCTTGTTCATATTGAATGAGGGAGGAAACCAAGCCACAAGAGATCCATAACTTGCCCACAATCCCACATGCAGATGAGAGATTCAACCCCGGCTCTGTCAGACTCTTTCCTTTATGTCACAATTCAGCCCATGAGTGAAGCAGTGTCTCTTCCATCAAGGTGTCCTCAACTTAGTGTGGGAGAGGCTGTGTTGGTATAAATATGATCACAATGAGTTACAGTACGGATATGCTAAAGGATCAGAGGTCGCACCCAATGTGACAATCATTAGATCTGTCACGGTGGGGCAGAAAAGACTTCACAAAAGAGGTGACAGTGGAGAATAGGAATTTTCCAAATAGAGAAAATGTGAGAAGACATTTCAGAAAAAGGAATATTGTATGTTTGTACCCTTGCCTGTTTTTGTGTTTTGCTCTTTAGAGTTTCCCTGAGTGGGGCGCTATCGACATTTTGAATAGGCTGGTTTCAGGGTGGGTCTGTAGCAGGGATCCCCAGTCCCCTGTTAGGTTCCTGTTGGTAACCAGGCCACACAGCAGGAGGTGAGCAGCAGGCAAGCTGTATTGTATGCCGCTCCCCATCACTTGCATTATTGCCTGAGCTCCACCTCTTGTCAGACCAACAGCAGCATTAGCTTCTCATGGGAGCATGAACCCTATTGAGAACTGTACATGTGAGGGATCAACGTTGCAGGCTCCTTATGAGAATCTAATGCTTGATGATCTGTCACTTTCTCCCATCACCACCAGATGGGACCGTTTAGTTTCAGGAAAACAACCTCAGGGGTCCCACTGATTCTACATTACAGTGAGTTATATACTTATTTCATTATATGTTACAATGTAATAACAGTAGAAATAAAGTGCACAATAAATGTCATGTGCTTGAATCATCCCCAAATCATCTCCCTCCCTGGTCCATAGAAAAATTGTCTCCCACAAAATCAGTCTCTGCTGCCAAAAGGGTATACCTTAGGAGAGACCTAATGTCCTTTGACCATACACACTAAATATTATAGCACACACAGGTCATGTGATAATCGTGCTCCCACACATTTCCAAAAGCCCTCTAGGGGTTTGAGAACACTACAAATGAATAAGTTTGGACTTTTGTATCCAAATCATCTGCAAGTTGCTTTGTAGATGAGAAGATGTCTATGTGAGATGTGGGTTGGAGGTGGGAGATGGTAACAGCCTGTGTCTAAATGGAGGATCCATTGTGTATCTAAGTGTGTGTGCATGCCCCTGAGTGTGTGAGTGCATCAGTCACTGTGTGCCTCTAGGCCTGACTTTCGCTCAGACTGTGGTTCATAGACAACATCATGGAGTCATTTGAAGCAACACACAGATGTGCATACAGTCAGTCACACAGTGGGGTCACTCAAACAAGGAACCTCACCTTAGAGACTAATAGCTGCATAAAGCCATACTCACATGGCCAATCACACACCTGACAGGTTGCACGCAAAGTCATACACACACAGAATCAGCATCCTTTTTAATGCCCAGATTCTCAGCCAGACTCAGGCACCAGCACAAAGAGAAGTACCTGCATTCGAATCACACACACACACACACACAGCCCCCAAGGCAGGCTCTGTGTAGGTTCCAACCCCCGGAGGAACAAGAACTACAAACAGATTCTACAGAACAACACTCAAAGAGAAGCTCGAGTCCTGTTGTGCTGTGGGTGACCTTGAAAATGTTGCTTCTAATCCTCTGTTTAGAAAACTGAAAGGGTTTACATTGAATGATGGGACAAAGGGAAAGACCAAACCACAGAGACTGGGACTACTTGCCACTTGGATTCAGAGAAAACTCTTGAATTCAGGCTCCTGATGAGAAAACATCCCCCATGAAGACAGTCTGCTCTCCTCCCTGTGCCCAGCCCTGGTTCCTCTACACCCTCACAGGGTTTCAGACTCACTTCGTGTCACTTCTAACATCTAACAGTGCATCTTGGGAAATCCAGAGGAATCTTGCCTTCTGCTTACAACTCTTTAACTGAACCAATACTCGTGTGCTCTGAAGGTGCATTTCTGGATTTTCTTTCACAAGCGGCTAAAGTATCCAATTATCATTGCATTTTGATTATTCACAATCAGAAGAATAGATGTTCCAAACGAGAAATAATCTCTATATCTTTTATGTTAAACTTGAAAATAACATGTCCCCAGTTGGATAGAGAGTCAAATAAACTTTGTTCACACACAAACACTCAGATTCATTCAAAAGCTCTGGCAAAGCAGCACATGGAGATACTCTCAGAAACCCATTCCCTCAGCCCCACCAATGACGCGGCACATAAGGGAGACCCCAGTGCCCAGACACACATAGGAGCTCAGATGCCCATACACAGCAACAACTGCACGTATGGAAACACATACACCCGACACAGGCACCCCTAGCTGTGGATGCATCCATTTCCCTGGGCAACGCAGGCCTCTGCTCGGAAAGGAAGGCTTTCACTTTTATTTATTTGTTTATTTTGAGATGGAGTCTTGCTCTGTCGCCGAGTGCTCTGTCTGGAGTGCAGTGGTTGGTGCGATCTCAGCTCACTGCAACCTTCATCTACCAAGTTCAAGCAATACTCCTGCCTCAGCCTTCCAAATAGCTGGGACTACAGGCGTGCGCCATCACGCATGGCTAATTTTTTGTATTTTTAGTAGAGACAGGGTTTCACCATGTTAGCCAGGATGGTCTTGATCTCCTGACCTTGTGATCTGCCCACCTCGGCCTCCCAAAGTGTTGGGATTACAGGTGTGAGCCACTGCACCCGGCCTGGCTTTCGCTTTTATAGGCGGTCTCATAAAATCAACAGAATGGCCAATGCATTGGTGGTGAGGTAGGAGGTGGGACTTGACTCCAGAGGTGGGGCTCAAACTTCTGACCAGATTGAAGACCAGCTGAAACAAAGAAGAGACTAAAGCACCTCTCCATAAGATGCACCCACCAGTGCCATGTTAGTTTACAATTGCCATGGCAACACTCAGAAGTTACTGCCCCTTTTCATAGCTACGACCAAAGTTACCACCCCTATTCTAGAAACTTCTGAATATCCCTTTCCTTAATTTGCATGTAATTAAAAGTGGGTATAAATATGACTGCAGCCCTGCTTCTATACTGCTACTCTGGGCACACTGCCTATGGGGTAGCCCTGCTCTGCAAGGAGCGATATCGCTGCTGCTGCTGTACACTGCTGCTTCCGTAAAAGTTGCTGACACCACTGGCTCACCCTTGAATTCTTTTCTGGGCAAAGCAAAGAACCCTCCCATGCTAAGCCCCAATTTTGGGGCTCACCTGTCCTGCATCAGTGGGAGTTGATAGCAACCATCTCAAAATATCCTCTAAAATAAATGACAATTTGGAGATATCAGAAAATTAAACCTCATTCACAGTGGCAAGGAAGCAAAGCCATATCAGAAGACATTCTGCAACAAAGAGAGTGACAATTTGTAAAATGTTTTCTCCCTTCCCTTTAAGCAATTCTTTGTGAGCCTATTTGACTGAAGGACTATGTTTTCTTCCAAAGTCTTTGTTGTTGTTAATTTGTGGACATAATGTTGTTGATTTGTGGACAAATTGTTGTTGTTAATTTGAGTTGTTAATTTGTGGACACAATGAGAGAGAAGAGATACTCAGCAGTGGCTCCATGTGCCCAGATCTTGCTGGGAAAGCCTCTCAGGGTCATTTTTCCTGCTGAGAGCTGAGGCTGTGGTTAGCACTGGCCCCGTTACACCTTCCCTCAGTCACTTATCAGAGAGGAAAGGGCCTGACAGAACTGAACTGGGTACATGGGGAGGGAGGAGAGAGATGTATCCTGGTAGAGAGATAGAGAGAAAGAGAAGCACAGAGAGAGAAAAAAAAAAGAAGAAGGTGGGGAAGAAATAATATGGGAGATGGAAAGAGAGGCAGAAAGTGAAAGAATAGACTCTATGCATGTGAATTACTCATGAGACAAAGACAACATGTTTATGAAAAAAAATCACAGTATGAGAGAAAACCTGTGTGTGTGTGCATGTGTGGTGCGCGTGTGTGTGTGTACGTGTGTGTGTGTGTGTCCACGCACACATACACATACAAGTCTGTCTAGAAACAGACAAGATGACAGGAAAAGAAAGCCAGAGAAGGCATGCAGAAAAGCATGCACAAGTGAAGCGAGAAGGCTTTAGAAATTCTGTGTGTAAGCATGAGAGTGTTTGAGAGAGAGGCTGGAAAAGACTGAGTCATAGAGAGAGAGAAACCATATCAAGGAAAGTACGATGTTCCCTGAAATTGGTTCAATGAAGGAGCAATTTTCCAAAATCCAATTCACTCAGTGATTTATTCTGGAAAACTATACAATTCATCTAATTACTAAAAATCTATTTCTTTTAAATATGTATACAATTTCTGACAATTTCCATTAAAACTACTTTTGAAGTCTGGTAAAGATTTTAGTTGATTCATTTTCATTTTGTGTTACCAATAATATTTAAGGGAGTATTTAAATGTTATTTTTGCCAGTCCTGGTCTCTTCCTAGAGAAGAAAAGATATAATGATACTCTACTGGAAAAGGGAGAAGAGAATGAGAAGGGGCAGACTGAGAAAGAAGAGGGACTGTAACAAAACAAACCAACACAAAAAAAACAGAGAGTCAGAAAGAAAAGGAGCATGAGGATCAGAGAGAAGGGATCTGAAACATCAGAAAAACGGGAGACTGATAGGCAGAGAGAGAGAGAACACTCTGGGGTAAAAAAGTAAAATAAAAACAGATCATCAACCCCATAGACCATTCCAAAGTACCCTATACAGATTCATACAAACTTTACACGTTTTAAAAAGAAATACATTGATGATAATTTAATATATTCAGAGCACTTGAAAAATTGATCACTTAGGGAAATAGTTTCTTGCAGATTTTTGTTCTTTGTTTTTGTAGAAGATTCATTCAACAAATAATTTCTGAGATCTTCTCTATGTTAGGCTTCTCAGATACAGGATACAAAAATGAAAAAAAAAAAAGTTGGGTCGGGCACAGTGGCTCAAGCCTGTAATTCCAGCACTTTGGGAGGCCAAGGCAGGCGGATCACAAAGTCAGGAGTTCAAGACCAGCCTGGCCAACATGGTGAAACCCCGTCCCTACTAAAAATACAAAAATTAGCCAGGCATGATGGCAGGTGCCTGTAGTCCCAGCTACTCGGGAGGCTGAGGCAGGATAATCACTTGAACCTGGGAGGCGGAGGTTGCAGTGAGCTGAGGTCATGCCACTGCACTCCAGCCTGGGTGACAGAGCAAGACTCCATCTCAAAATAAAATAAAATAAAATAAAATAAAATAATATGAAAATTAAAAAAATAGTTGAAGATGTTCCTGGCCCACTGATTGAAGGAGGGTGTCTTGAGTTCTATAATGGAGTCAAACCCCGGGCAATACGAGAGCTCTGGGAACGAGCCCTAGTTATGGCTGTCTGGAGAGGTGTTACCTCGGGGAGCTTCAAGGACTGAGCAGACAGAATCCAAAGGAGTTTGGAGATGATGATGAAAGTCCAAGATGAAGACCGTGAGACCAGAGCTGGAGCATTTGCATTTGGCTCTGGTAGGGGAAAGAAAAACCAGGAGTCCCTGGTGATGGCCAGATTCTGTCCTAGAAGACTCATTGGACAGTGGGTTTTCCAGTGACAGAAGAAATGGAGAAAGGTAAAGTAGAGAGAGAAATAATGAGATCAGGTTTGGATATTTGAGCTCAGGCCCTGGTCAGTCACCCCAGTGGAAGTGGCCAGTAGGCCTCTGGGCACAGGACTGAGGCCTGGGAAGAGGTCAGGCTGGAGTGGAAGTTAACACCTCAGTGCAGAAATGATAGTCCAGGAAGTGTATGCAGAGTAAGAGGAAAAGGTCAAGAATAGAACCCGAGGAACAGCAACATTTCTCGTTCTAGGCTCTCTTTCATAGAACCTTGCAGTGGCACAATCTTAGCTCACTGCAGCCTCTGCCTCCCAGGTTCAAGCGATTCTTGTGCCTCAGCTTCCCAAGTAGCTGGGATTTCAGGTGTGCACCACCGCACCCAGCTAATTTTTGTACTTTTAGTAGAGAGGGGTTTTGCCAGTTGGCCAGGCTAGTCTTGAACTCCTGACCTCAAGTGATCTGCCCACCTCAGCCTCCCAAAGTGCTGGGATTACAGGCATGAGCCACCGCACCTGACCTATTTTCAATCTATTTTCTATTAACGATTTCAGTTTCAGCATCCACACACCATGTAGTATCATGGGAGCCATGGGTGCATACAGCTGCCCCGCGGATTTCAGGATAAATGTAGCTTCTTGTATCTCTTTTGTCACAGAGGTGTCCTCAAAAAACTTGGGATGGTGTATCGGATATTATCATATCGACCACCACCTATACTGGCGTAGACTTAATATTTTTCTAAAATGGTCTCACTCTTTTAAGTGAAAGTATCTATATTATACTATTCTATTACATCAATTCTATCTTTAATAACATAGGTGTGATATGCTAGTTATATGCAAAGAGCCTTGGATGGCTTCTGATTGTTTGTTGTAAGTCTGAGCTCCAGGTGCAGTCTTAGGGCGGATCACCTGAGGTCAGGAGTTCGAGACTAGCCTGGCCAACATGTCAAAACCCCATCTCTACTAAAAATACAAAAATTAGCTGGGTGTAATGGTGCACACCTGTTATCCCAGCTATTTGGGAAGCTGAGGCATAATTAAAATTAATGCGTATATCAGGATGTTCCTAAAGATGTCCATCTGTATTCTACATTGTATCATGTCATCTTCCAATAGTGTTACATCTCTCAAATGTGGAAAGTGTAAACTCAGTGTGCTGTGCTTCACCAGCTATTCACACATCATTGTTTAAGACTCCTGGCATTTGGGTAGCACAGCAGAATTGAGATAGGACCAAGAAAATTTTCTATTTTAGGATACTATCATCATCATTACCATTACCACCACATCATAATAATCATAATTTATTGTCTATTTAGTACTTCATTAGTCATTTCTTATATTCTAGCCTGACCCAGTTTTCAAAATAATCAGCACCTGATACCTGGTGACCCTTTCACTCCTAAGAGGGGACTTAGAGAAATGGTAGCTCCCCATGTCCTGAAGCCCCAAGACTGCACCTGGAGCTCAGACTTACAACCAACAATCAGAAGCCATCCAAGGCTCTTTGTTCCTCTTTCCCCATGTGCCAAATGGACTGAGAATTGTACTTATTTCATATGGTTGATATGATGATTAATTGAGTTACTATATGTAGAATATATAGACAAATGGCCTATATCTGACTTTGTTAAATAAATGGATAAACACCATAAGTATGGAGGCCTTGCCAGAGATGCTAAAGGGAGGCTATGGGATCATCGTGTAGCTGTGAGGACCATAACTGTGTGAAAATGCAGCTGTGCTCCGCTCAGAGAAGCTCGGTGTATAGACTCATGTCCAGCTAACCAGACTAACCAGCTCTAGTATCGGTGATGGGTTTAGGAATGGACAATTGACCCAAGTAAGCCAAAGAAAACCTGCCTGCAGACTTAATCTTTTGATTTTGTTAATGTAAGTCTGTGGCTGCTAATGGCCATCTTTACCATTTCTTAGGGAAAGAATATTTCAACACACAAAAATACAGAGATTAGAGATAGAGGCAGAGATAGCGATAGAGATAGATATAGATAGATAGATGATGATGATAGATAGAGTGAGAGAGAGAGAGAGAGAGAGAGAGAGACTGCTGATATTTTGAGTACCAGTTAGGTGAATCAATACGTTTCTTCTGATTTTGGATGTGCCTTTTGTTGTTGTTTAAACTAGTTTAAACTGAGTTTTCTTTCACTTCCAGATAAAATGGTCCTAATTAATGTTTGTAATGTTCTTTCTTATAGCTGTGCCCTGCACAAGTTGTTCTTTTGATCTAGAATGTCTTTTCTGCCTTCTCTAACTGATGAACTCCTTTTTATCTTCTTTTTTACTTTATTTTTATTTTTTGAGACGGAGTCTCACACTGTCTCCTAGGCTGGAGTGCAGTGGCGTGATCTTGGCTCTCTGCAACCTCCACCTCCTGGGTTCAAGGGATTCTCCTGCTTCAGCTTCCCGTGTAGCTAGGATTACAGGCACCCACCACCACGCCTGGCTAATTTTTGTATTTTTAGTAGAGACAGGGTTTCACTATGTTGGCCAGGCTGGTCTCAAACTCCTGACCTTGTTATCCACCTGCCTCGGCTTCCCAAAGTGCTGGGATTACAGGAGTGAGCCACCGTGCCCGGCCCTTTTCATCTTTCAAGTGCCAGTTCAAACATCACCTCTTTAGCTGAGCTTCCCCATGATCTCCCAGTAAGACACTTCTATTCTCTGTCCAACAGCATTTTGTACAAATCATTGTGAAAGCTCTGATCACATTGTAGTATATAAATAGTATCTATATCACCCACATTAGATTGGGCCAAAGTTAGTCTTATCTGCCTTTCTAACTTTATCAAGAGTGCATTATCCATGGCGTCGTAAACACACATAGCTGTTTTTCTTCTGAATGAATGAATGATTTTACCTAAAGCATGTACTCCAGCTAAAAGAAAGAATATTAGGGTATTAGGGGAAAGTTGGCCATGAAAGAGATTAGGGCAGCAGCACAAAAGATGGTTCCTTGCTCACCAACTTCCAGAGTCCAGTTGAGTTAACTTGACTATAAGACTCATTTGTTCTGAGGCCTCTGGCTGTAGTTTCAGAAGTGGGGAAGAATGAGCCTAGAGTGGAGAAAAAGGGAGGGTTGATGCACCTTCAGGTGTACCAGGCAGGTTTTGAAAATTCACTAACAGGAGAAAATAAAGCTCTGCGCATCCCAGCATGCCTTGCTCTTTCTGGAAAATTCTAACAAATCCACAAGAGCCTCTGCTTTTTATGAATAAAGAGCTATCTTTTAGAGTGAAAGTGCAGTCCACAATACCCGTTTACCAGCAGGTCTCGCCCTTCTGCCATCTGCAAAACAGCATTTCTGGGCTCAGAATGCAATTGGATGGATTAGTTTAACTTACTAAAGCTCGGTTCATGAGATTGTGCATTTGAATGTTATAATATAGAAAATTAATTTCTTAAGTTATTAGGACAGAAATTCAATAGGATTAATTTTCCTGGTTCAAAAATAATCAGAGGTCACCATGGCAACACACATCAATGGAGCAATACACAATGAATGAAACATTTCCAATGTTTGGCTGTTTATCAGAGGCCTCTCTCTTCCCTGTCCCTGGAGGGATTTGTTAGGATCTCTGAGGCCCCCTGGGGCTCTGCTCCTAAAATGCATAGGTCAGTGTGATTGTATCCAAGAACCACCAAGATACAAGTTGAAGTCTAGCTTTGAAGCAGAGTTTCCTCTGGGTTAAGCCCTCATCCCCCAAGGAATGAAAGGATAAGGTTTAGAGACAATACCAGTCATTGCTCAAAATTCATGAGGTGGCTGTGGAAAGGAACCTAGCAATGGCATGGACTCAGGTCATTTACTGAGTGCCAAATGCAACTCCTTGGAAATTAGAGAAACACAGGCTCCGAACATACTAAGAGGGATTTTCAAGGTTGAACAGCTCTGGCTGGCTAAAACAAGAAGACCAAGGAACACTGAATACCTTTCCCATTGGATTTTGCCTGGATTCAGCTGAGACAGGAGAAGATTTCTCTGGGTCCCAAATTCTATTTTCATGAAAGGCAGTCTATCAGAGCTATTGAAAACTTCCCTCAGCAGGAGCCAGTCTGGGCCTGAATGCTGGTTCCACCACCTTTTAAGCTTGGAAAATTTATTTCTCTGTTTGGCTCCTGATCTAATCACCCATGAAATAAGGTGTGTGTGTGTGTGTGTGTGTGTGTGTGTGTGTGTGTATGTGTGTATGTGTGTGAGATATCAGTTCAGTTGATAAAGATGCTGTGCAGATGCCATTAAATAATGAATGTAAAATACTTAATATAGTTCCAGGTATATGATAGGCACTTGATTTCTCTTGTTACAGAAATATAAACTCCAGGGCAAAGACATGGATTTCTCGAATTCTTGTTCTAAAGAACAGGGACTATCCAGAAAAGGTATCTTGAGGGCAGAAGGGCAGTTTATGCCTTTTACTCCAGATGTAATTTATATTTAAATTACAGAATACAGGCATGTAATTATAGTATTAGGAAACATGGGTTACAGTGTTATTCACATCTCTAAAAAACAAAAAAGGCTGGGTGCGGTGGCTCAGGCCTGTAATCCCAGCACTTTGGGAGGCTGAGGCGGGTGGATTGCCTGAGCTAAGGAGTTCGAGACCAGCCTGAGCAGCACCGCGAAACCCCGTCTCTACTAAAATACAAAACATTAGCCGCGCGTGGCAGCGTGCACCTGTAATCCCAGCTAGTCGGGAGGCTGAGGCAGGAGAATTGCTTGAACCCGGGAGGCTGAGGTTGCAGTGAGCCGATATCACACCACTGCACTCCAGCCTGGGCTACAGAGTGAGACTCCGTCTCAAAACAAAGAGACCTGGAGTTTTTGGGGACCCCCAAATGCACTTAGAACCATCAGAGGGATATTTTGACAAGGCCAGCTACTATAAACATGGAAAAGCCAAACTCAGAAAGAAAGCATATTTTCCACTGCTCTTACCTCCTGTCCCACCTGGCCTGGAATCTATATTCTCATCCCATGACCCGATTTTCCAAGAGCTTTTTGGAGAATGTGGTGAGAAAGTGGTGAGGCACCTAGAATCTAATCAAATAAGGAGCAGTAGAAGGTACCAGACCTGTAACAATCAATTAGTCAGTCAATGGGCCTGGTTTGGCATTTTTTCATGGTTCAAATAATTGTCATAGAGAAAATGTTACAAATGATGGGAGGGGAGTCTTAGACATCTCTCCTCTTGGCAAGCTTACCTTCCATATCCCTGCCCAAAGCTGCAGAGGTTGCTATTTGGATCAGTCCATGGTTGCCAGCGGGTGGTGGGTTCATTGAGTTGTAACAGGTAGGTACTGCCTATGTATGGTGCTCCTTCTTTTTCTCACTTTTTATGTCTAAATGCATAAGCTAAGTCAAGGATTCCCTTGAGACCCCCTCTCTCTCTCTTTCTGACTCAGTATCAATGAATGGGTAAGTAAATTCAGGTTTGCTCTAGAGATTTAGCCAGCTTTTTCTTACATAGGCTATGTGTGTGACTTATCATGGCCCTGATAGAAAATAGAATTCCATTCCCAATGGCTCAAACCTTTAATAAAGATATTATTTATGGAGGTGTGGGGAGGGTTCAGGAAATCCACAAAAGATAATGAGACACCAAGGGACCAGCAAAAATGAGACTCCAACACTACTTCCCAAAGCTGGAAAGTGCAAGGTAAGAAACTGGCATTTGAGAGCTCAATGAGACATGGAGCCATGGAGAAGGGGGCTGCGCTAAAGGAGCCATAGACGCGCTGAACTTCTACAAATACGAAGGCACCAAAACAGGGGTGAGGCAGAGGAAAACATCTCAGCTGCTTTTTCCTCCCACTGTCTGAGCTTCTGCAAGTGCTGTCGTTGTTTTATCTCAATGGGAAGCGAGTCAGTAAAGGGGTCCCGGTGATGTGGTATATATATGTCCAGCCTCCTGGGGTACCAGGCATGGCTTAGAAGGCTGAAAAATGTATGGGGGGCAGCTACAGAATAACCAGCAGATAGGCTCACATGAGGCTGTTTACCAATTTTATGTGTGTATGTATGTATGTATTTTTAGCACAAGGTCTCACTCTGTCACCCAGGCTGAAGTGCAGTGGCACCATCATAGTTCACTGCAACCTCGACCTCCTGAGCTCAAGCAATCCTCCTGCCGCAACCTCCCAAGTAGCTGGGACTACAAGTGTGTGCCACCATGCCAGGCTAATTAAAAAAAAAATGTTTGTGGAGATGGGGGTCTCGTTATGTTGCTGAGACTGGTCTTGAACTCCTGGCCTCACAGGATACTGCTGCCTCAGCCTCCTAAAGTGCTGGGATTATAGATATAAGCCACTGTTCCCAGCCTAATACTTAGATTTAGGGAAAAGAGGGGCTTGATGTTGGGTTGAGATCAATCAAAGTATCTATTAAGCCTCAAGTATAAACTGAGTGTCCCAACTCAGACTTTCACCAGAGCTCTGAATTCAATGGACTGGCACTGGTGCAAGTATTTTTTTTTAATGCTGTTTTGATTACATGTGTATATTCCTTAGCCTCTTCATGGTGAAATTAGAGGGAGTATTGTGTTTATATTTGGGTATTCCTGGGTCCTTGATCATAAGCTATCCAATATCATTAAACCTAGGCCTCAATTCCAATAGGATGGATGTCAAGAGCATAAACTTATAGTGTGAGATTGGCTTTTCCAGTTAGTAGGTGTGCAATCCAATACAAATCACATAGGGATAAGAGGTTGCTTGACCGCTGCATTTCCTCATTTGTAAAGTACCAATCTTAATTGTATCAAATTTATTTTATTTATTTATTTTGAGGTGGAGTCTCGCTCTGTCTCCCAGGCTGGAGTGCAGTGACATGATCTCGGCTCACTGCAACCTCTGTCTCCCAGGTTCAAGCAATTCTCCTGCCTCAGTCTCCCGAGTAGCTGGGATTACAGGCGCCCACCACCACACCCAGCTCATTTTTGTATTTTCAGTAGAGATGGGGTTTCACCATGTTGGCCAGGCTGATCTTGAATTCCTGACCTCAGGTGATCCACCTGCCTTGGCTTCCCAGAGTGAATTGCATCATATTTATTTGCTGCTATGAAATTTCAAGTGAGATCATATGTGAAATCTTTGGACAGCGCCTGGTAGGAAGAGGTGGAAGAGGAGGAGGAGAAAAAAAAAAAAAAGAAAACTGAACTGCTTAATCACCTATAGACCAAGTGATAGAAACAGGCTAATGAATCGAAGTTGTAAAAGGGTAGGTTTGGGCTCATTGTGAGAAATTGACTTCCAAAGCCCACACGGCATGTAGGGATGGAAAAGGAATGAGCCTCTTGTCATTAAACCATGTTCAAGTTGGGGCAGAGCGACTTCCTTGTCAGAGATGTTGCGGAATCAGCCTTTGTACTGGGTAGGAATTTGATTCAAATAACTTATTGGTTTGGTTCCAGTGACATTCTTTCTTGAAATCGGGAGCACCAGATTGAGGCCAAATCAAGCTGCAGGATTCTGTGTACTCTGGGGAAGACCATTCTCTGAAGAGCCTAAATATTTGGTTCTGGAAAACAAACAAACCAACAAAAAAAACCTAAAAAGTTACTTCTCTCTGGGCATTTCCCTGGAGCACTTTGAAGGATGTTCACTATGAAGGAGGCTGCAGCCAGAGGCTGAGGAGTTGGGAGAAAATAAAATGATGGCTTTTCAAGACATTGGAATTCTCAGAGCTCTGAAAGTGGAAGGATGGAGAAAGGATAATTTCAGATGACACATAGAACACTCTTTCACCCTGGTATGTTGGTGAGATTTCTTCCCACATACAACCTCTTGCAAAGTTTTGTGGCTTTGTGTTGGGAATTATCTCTCAAGCTTCTCTAAACATTACTTTAGGAAGCAGGCCAGGTTCAGTGGCTCACACCTGTAATCCCAGTGCTTTAGGAGGCTGAGGCAGGAGGATCGCTTAAGCCCAGGAGTTCAAGATCAGCATGAACAACATAGTGAGACCCTGTGTCTACAAAAAATTAAAAATTAGTCAGGTGTGGTGGTGTTGGTGGTGGTGCTGGTGCAAGCCTGTAGTCCCACCTACTCAGGAGGCTGAGGTGGGAGGAACGCTCAAGCCCAGGGGTTCAAGACCAGCCTGGGAAACATAGTGAGATCCTGTCTGTGCAAAAAAGCTTTTTAAAATGCAAAAAATAGCTGGGCATCATGGCACATTCCTGTTGTCCCAGCTACTCAGGAAGCTGAGGCAGGAGGATAGCTGAAATTCAGGAGTTCGAGGCTGCAGTGAGCTATTATCACGCCTTGGTACTCCAGTCTGGGCAATAGAGTGAGACCTTGTCTATGTAAAAGAAAACAAAAAAATAAAGGGGGCTCCATGGACATCGTTTGCCTTCCCACTTACCCAGGAAGCAGCCAGTCGAGCCACAGAGATGGGAAGGATGTTACTAGATGGACCGAGCTGATCAGTAGAAGTTTGGGGATGGGAGGAGAAGGGAATAACAAAGTCTGCATGGTAGCTATGTTCCTTTTGCCTGAAAAAACAAGGACCACAAACACAAACGCAGAAATTGGGCAAGCAACATGAGTCGCTACAGCGTAGTGGTGAAGAGCACAGATTCGGAGACTAGATGACTTGGGTTTAAATCCCTGCTCCATTACTTGCAAGCTGTTTCAGAAACTTCAGCAAGTTTCTTCACTACCTTATGCCTCAGTTTCCTCATCTGGAAATGGGCGTGATAATGTAATCCTTTAATAGGATTGGTAAAATATTTATATGAGTTAATATTTGCAAAGCCCATAGGATAGTGCCTGGCACGTAAGAAGTACTATGCAAGTGTTTGTCAAACAAATGCAAGAACAAAGTGCAAGGATGGGAGGGATAGCATAGCAAGCCTGTGGCCAATCTTTGGGGAGAGTGAGAGACAACAGCCCAGCTCCAGCCAGGTTTGGCCATGTAGAGTGAAGGAACTGTGTTGCTAAATTTCTCGAGGTTTTAAAAGAAAGTGGAAATTCAGAGGTGTTTTTATCCCCTGGGGACTCAGTTTCTTCATCTGACAAATGGGTTTACTGACTATTGTGTCTCAGACTAGAGTGAAGTTCATGGCAGGTTTGCACAGTGCAGGGGACCAAGAGGATAGAGGAACAAGGGCACCCAAGGCATGTTTCTTAATCTATTCTTGAGAGAAGAGTAGATTCCCTGGGAACCATGCAGACTTTCTACCTATTCAGACCATGGAAAGGTCTTTCTTGCCTCAGGGTACTAGGAGACAGGGTAATTGTCACTAGCTCCTCTAACAAACACCTCCCAGCTGAAAACTGAAAGACTTAACACAGTAAGTTCATTTTTTTGTTCACTCTCTTCTCAGCCCAATACAGGTCAGTGGCAGGGAGGGGGCTCCTTTGAGTGCCGCAGCTGATGGAGGCTCTTCCATCTTCAACTCGTGGCTCCTAAGAGCTTTACTGAGTGGTGGTATTCAGCCAGCAGACAGGAGCCAATGGAGAACAGCGAAGACCATGTCAGAGGCTTGTGTGGCCAGGCCTGGAGGTAGTGAATGTCACTTCCATCTGTATGATATAGGCCAGAGCTCGGCCAGGAGGCCCTCCCCCACCACAAAGGGGCTGGAAACACGGTCCAGTAATGCACCCAGGAAAGCAGGGAGAAACTCAGATCTAGGCGAGCTCCAGCATTCACTGCCACAGGGCCTTTGCACTTACTGTCCTCTCCATCTTGAGCATTCTCCTCCTCATCCCTGTCCTCGCCATTCAGCTCAAAAATTCCCCAAACAGACCTTCCCTGACATGCCCATTCACAGTTGCTCCTCCCCTCCCACCCCCATGTTCTTTACTACTTCAGCCCACTTCTTCATAGCATTTGCCACTTTCTGAAGTCATCCAACGTATTTGTTTTTTTCTTGTACATCCTATGGCTCTGCCTCCTTCTTTCAGTTGGAATAAAAACTCTGTGGCAGCAGAAAACTCCTGTGTCTTGTTTACCAACATATTTGCAGCATCTGCAACAGTCTGGTTGAGTTAATGGATTTGAAGTTTGTTGCAATCACAGATAGCCTTACGGAAAGCCAGAGCTACTCTGCTTCTGCAGGGACCAAAGATGAAATCCTAACTCTGAAATCTCATCTCTCTGTGGTCCAGCATCCTGGGTGCAGCCAAGAAGTTGCCACTCAGAGGGCTAACAACAGCATCCAGTGGTGTCTGTGCTGCCTGTTTCCTGAAGCCAGGCTTCTAGGATGGATTATTTCATCTGTTTTACAGCATCCACTGCAGCACCCTCCTCTACTCACTCGTTATTTTGGAATCTGTACAGAGGATTTTGAAATGTTTCTTCTATTTCAGGTCTACTTGTTAAGCATGAGAGAAAATGTCAGTGGAGGAGAATGTGTAAGGGATTTTGATGTGTGTGTGTGTGTGTTCACAATTGCATGCTGGAAAATGAATATGGGGTGAGTGTGGTGATGAATGCAAAATAAATCAATACCTATGACTGCAAAAACAAAGCAGCAGCAAATCTCAATGACTTACAATGTCAAGAGTTTATTTCTTGCTTGTGCTGTAAGTTGTTGGCTGTGGGTCAACCAGGCCCTGCTCCATGGATCTTCCCATTGCAGAACCCAGGCTGAAAAAGTATCTGGGACTTGTCTTTCTCAAGGAAGAGGAAAAAAATAAGAGGTAGGCAGGCACACACAAGAAGTCTCAAAGCTCTCACTCAGGCTGACATGTGGCCACTTCTTACTGGCTCAAGCAAACCATACAACCCAGCCTGATGTCCGGGGCATGGGGAAGTAGCCTCTTGCCCCAATCACTGCACAAAAAAGTGGCAAAATTACAGAGAGGAAAAGTGAATCATCGAAAACAACAATGTAAATGTACCACAGTCCTCATTCTACAGAGGTTTTTTGTTGTTGTGGTTGTTGTTGTTGTTTTTGAGATGGAGTCTCACACTGTCACCTGGGCTGGAGTGCAGTGGCGCGATCTCGGCTCACTGCAACCTCTGCCTCCCGGGTTCAAGTGATTCTCCTGCCTCAGTCTCCCATATAGCTGGGATTCCAGGCACCCATCACCATGCCCAGCTAGTTTCTGTATTTTTTTTAGTAGAGATGGAGTTTCACTGTGTTGGCCAGGCTGGTCTCAAACTCCTGACCTCATGATATGCCCACCTCAGCCTCTCAATCTATAGAGGATTTAAGGTGGCTATATCAGCTGGAATTGTTTCACTTGTATCAAACAGAAAGTCAGCTCAAACAGGCTTAATCTGGAAAGAGGAAATATGTCTGACTTTGGCCAAGGCTGAATGCAGGGTGACATGTGTTAAAGGCCAAATTCAAGGTCTCTCTGTTTCTTGTGTCTGTTTCTTTTTGTAGTATTAGTCTCAGGTAGGCTGTGTCTATGCTATAGCCTGTTGTAATTCTAGTCTTCTGCCTTATAAAGGGATCATGGCCCTTCGCCATAATTCCAGCCTATGTTCCAGAATTGGATCTCATTGGATCATCTTGAGGGACGTGAACAGATATAAACTCAATACTATGGACAGGGAATAAAATGTAGGGACTGGCCATGCTGCATAGATTCCATAAGGACTCTTAGGAACTGGAAGTGGCAGGGGTTTTCTTCTCAACTAGAAAAACATAGACCGAGAATGAAGAACCAATTGTTCCCCTAAACAAAGCTAAAATGGTTACAGTTGAGGGCAGGTTGCCGGGGAGTTGTAAACAACAGACTCTATTGTGGGTTTTTTGTTGTTGTTGTTGTTCTGTTGTTGTTGTTGTTGTTGTTGTTTTTGAGGTGGAGTCTCGCTCTGTCACCCAGGCTGGAGTGCAATGGCGTCATCTCGGCTCACTGCAACCTCCACCTCCCGGGTTCAGGAGATTCTTGCGCCTCAGCATCCTGAGTAGCTGGGATTACAGCCGCCTGCCACCACACCCGGCTAATTTTTGTATTTTTAGTAGAGATGGGGTTTCACCATGTTGGCCAGGCTGGTCTCGAACTCCTGACCTCAGGTGATCCACCCACCTCGGCCTCCCAAAGTGCTGGGATTACAGGTTTGAGCCACTGCACCTGGCCAACAGATTCTATTAAAGTGGCTTTTAATGAATTCACATATAAGCATGTCTCTGAACCGAGGAAAATGTAACTCAGAATAGAAAATCGAAACCAGGGATTAACACAGAATGCATAAGCAGCCCATGAGGGCTAATGAATGTGCTCTACTAGTGTTCAACTCTGAACTTCCGGATCATCATGTTGACTTGACAAAATACACTGTCATCATCCACCTATTTCTGCCGCTAAAACCTTAGCATAAATTATCTAGATCAAGGACTTTCAAAATTCTTATGTTGTCACCCATAATACACTCACTCCCGCCCCACCTACAGTTATGCCTGTATGTATATGTTTATATTGTTACATATGCATACATAGATATGATCTATATTTCTCAAGAAATAATATTAACGTGAAGTACATTCTGACAATTTCTATCCTATCTTGTTCTAGTCTGGCTTAGCCTGGCATACCCCACCCTTTCCCATTCTATCCTATTTCATTGAGTTCTACAGCTTTTATGTATTTAATTTTATTTTTTGAGACAGGATCTCGCTCTGTCACCCAGGATGGAGTACAGTAGTGTGATCATAGCTCACTGCAGCCTTGACCTCCTGGGCTCAAGCCATTCTCTTGCCTTAGCCTTCCAAGTAGCTGGGACTACAGGCCAGTGCCACCATGCTTGGTTAGCTTTTTCTTATTTTTTGCAGAAACAGAGTCTCACTATGTTTCCCAGGCTGCTCTCAAACTCCTTGCCTCAAGTGACCCTCACCTTGGCCTTTAAAAGCATTGGGTTTACCGACATGAACTGCTGTGCCTGGCCTGCTTTTTATGTTCTTAATGCTACTTGCAATCTACTATTGTATTGTAATCCGCATTTTGAAAGATATTGAAGGCAAAGCGTCTACAGTGCCTTATAAACATCTATTGAGTAACAGATGATGAATGAAAGAAATCCATCTAGGCTAGTCTATAATTATTGTGTACTCTACTATTAGGTATAATTATGTGTACCAGGTACTGGGGGTACGATTATGAACAAAACTCAGTCCCTGGCCTTCATTTCACCTTTCAACAGGGGAGAGGGAGGTCCTAACGAACAAGAACAGTGGGGCATATAGCTCTGTCACAGAGGCAAGCCAGGGGCCAGAGATGCACAGGTGAAAAATCACACTGGTTCTCCCAGAATGCAAGGTGAGAGAGAGAAAAATGCACTAAGGAGGTATCAGAAGAGGGATGTGAAACTCACAGAGCGCTTCTCTGCCACGTGAGGTTGGAAAACCTTCAGACTGAAGCAAACCAGGATGGGAGACGGCAATAAAGCCAAGGCCGTGGAGGGGATATTTGGGAAGCTTGTGTGACTCAAGGCCTCTCTGGCTTCTGTTCAGATAGAGTTGTTCCATGTTGATTTGGTTTGTTTTTGTTTTTTTTTAATGTTACTTGGGGTTTATGTTGAGATTAGGCAAGCGCCGGTGTATGCCGACCAGCCACATTTCAGAGCAATCATGGGAAGTAGCAGTGGGTGTCTCAGCTGGGTGAAGAATTCTTTCTTCAAACAGTCTCTTCTAGCCGTAAATATAGAGAACGTTTCTTTCTTCCTTTTTTTAACCTTCTTTTCCTGTTTAAGGGCATCACTTTTCATTTTCTTTACCTCCAGCTGTCTAGATGGTGTTTCAACCTTTTTTATATTTTTCTAAGTCTCATATTTAAAGTAGAATTTCTAGAGCGCAATGCCCTAGAAATTGCCATCTGATCTGAAAAAATCAGATCTTAACTTTCTGCACTGGGAATGTGGAGACACAAAGAAAAGGAGGATTTTTGGAGCACGTGGATGGTTGATATATGGAATGAAGACGATTGTGTCTGATTGCATGTGTAATGAAGCCTCATAATTTTAGGTTAGGGTTATGTGGATGTCCCAATTAATGGGCAATAGATTGTGTGGAGATAATTCTAGTTGATCATACTTTTTCTTCAATATCTTTGAATGCTTAAATATCCAATTTCCTGAGATTTTTATTGTTCAATTTTCTTCTTAAATGACCCTCCCTTCCTCCAAGTTAAAGTTGCTAAAGCAATGAGGTATGAGTCCCGGCAGCCTAAGGTGAGCAAAGCTGGCCGGCTCAGGTTCAACGAGGGAATGGTTCATGGTTCCGAATGCTTGGAATATTCCATAACAAATGCTGCCAGAGATTGGAGACTCAGATCTTTTCCCCAGCGCTCAGACAGAATTGAAAATGGAGAAAATTAAAGACAGGTTTAATTAACCTGCCAAAAAGGAAAAAAAAAAATCACAGGATGTCTGCGTGTGAGATTAAGAGTAAATCTAATGATCAAAAAGACTGGGAAGGGATGGTTTTAAAGGCACATTTCATATTCACTCAACTAATATCACTGAATCTCCTTAGAATCAAATCATCAAATTATTTCAGCCTTGGGTCTGCTGCAGCAGAGACAATTTTTGGAGGTGGAATTTGACTGACAGGAAGAGTCGGTCACCAGGCCTGGCCTGAAGTCTCCACTTCAGTGCCCAGTTTGTGGTGACTCTGGTCCTGACTGCTCTCAAAAAAAAATTCCCTTTGTCATTAGGTAAAGTATAGGCAGACATCAGGGCAAAGACACAGAAAAAAAGTGAAGGCCAGGCAACAAGCAACAGAATTTCAGTAATGACTAGGTGAAATGGCAAGTATCAGTGTTGGGCAGTGTATGAGTGAGTGTGGGGTGGGTGTAACTTCTACATGGTAGGGGGTGTGAGTGTAGGTGAACACGTGACTGTTGTTACTCACCAGTACCCGTGTAATATGCCATTTCCTTGACACACACAGAGACCACACTCCCCAGTCCTCCTTGGATATGGGGGAGGGGGTAGGGACATGTGACTTTTTATTTTATTTTATATTTTATTTTGTGAGACAGGGTCTTGCTCTGTTGCCCAGGCTGGAGTGCAGTGGCTTCATCTACTCACTGTAACTGCGAACTTCTGAGCCTATGTGATCTCCTGCCTCAGCCTCCTTTAGTAGTGGGACTACAGGCACATACCACCACACATGGCTAATTTTCTTATTTTCTATTTTCTTGTAGAGATGGAGTCTCTCTATGTTGGCCAGGCTGGTCCTGAACTCCTGGCCTCAGGCAGTCTTCCTGCCTTGGCTTTCCAAAGAACTGAGATTAGAGGCATAAATCACCAGGCTCTGGCCCAGCCGCCACATGACTGATTTCATCAGTGGTCTGGGAGCAGGAGTGCGGCGCACCACCTCAGTCAAGCTGGTTAACATCTAGTGACCTTCCTTCACATCCCCAACCTTTCCTCATCTAGCAGATGGTACAAAGCAGGACATGACCCTGGGAGAGGTTACAGCCACATAATTAAAGGGGCCAGGTGTCTGAATGACTGCAGAAGAACCCACACCGCCCAGCCATATAGGGCTTGAAATGAGCAAGAAACAACTTTCATGGTGTACGGATACTGAAATTTGGGGACTGTTCGTACAGTCTAGTTTAACTAATACAACATCAATCTTGAGCAGATGATCAAATCTTTTTTTTTTTTTGAGGTATCATCTCATTCTGTCATCCAAGCTGGAGTGCAGTGGGATGATCTTGGCTTACTGCAGCCTCCGCCTCCCGGATTCAAGCGATTCTCCTGTCTCAACCTCCTGAGTAGCTGAAATTACAGGCATGTGCCACCATGCAGGGCTAATTTTTGTATTTTTAGTAGAGACGGGATTTCACCATGTTGACCAGGCTGGTCTCAAACTCCTGACCTCATGTAATCCACCTGCCTCGGCCTCCCAAAGTGCTGGGATTACAGGCATGAGCCACTGTGTCTGGCCAACCTAACCTTTTTGAGCCTCATTTGTAAAATGGAGGTAATAAAAGCTCTGCTTTTATAGAATTGTTGTGAAGTTTAAATGAGATATTGAAATTAAAGGGCTTAGCATAGTATTTGGCACATATAATCATCTGATAAATATCAGTTAGCAGGTATGTAGTAAGAGGCTGCTTTTCTTGGAAATCTGGTTCATTTTATTGTTTAAACACTACAGTTATCATCTTCATATTAGTAGCAGCAGCAGTAGGTGTTCTGTTTTAATACACTTTCACTAATTACTGAATATTTCTTGATCACCTACTATGTATCAGGCATGGTGAGAGAAGTACTGAGAACAGAGGAGCAAATAAGACAAACTCTCACGTGTCTCTAACCACAATGGACTCTTAATTTCACCATGTTCTTCTAAGATGTGCGATTCATCCTTCCACTCGCATCCTGATTTTTCACTCTGCCCCAGAGATTAGAATCCCTGACCACAGCATCCTTCACTGAGGCCAGCTCCTTTCCCTTGGTGTCAGGAACCAAAAAGCTGTGTCCTAAATAAAGAGAATGATGTTATTTTTGCCTAACCAAAATTCACTACCATTGCACTCCAATTACCCGAGGAGAAGCTGTCCCAACAGAACTTTACAACTGTGTCTTCTTGATGGAGCTGGCCCCATACAGGGTCTAGTTCTTGATGTGAACACATGACCTAAGCTGGCCAGCCAGGCCCCTCCATGATCCCTGAGAACAGTAATCAGGGAATAGACACGTGGCCCAAGCTGGGGTAATAAAAATTTCAGGTCTTCCACAGAAATATTGACCTAGAGACGCTCCTTCTTGCTGGGAATATTTGGTGGGTGGATATAAGCCCAAAGTTCTCGAGTTGCTTGTGGCCATCTCTGGGACCATATGGTAAGACCTGCCTGAGATAAAGGCAACATTAGGGAAACTGAGTCAAGAGACTAAAAGAACACAAGTTCCTAAGGGTATCATTTGAGCATCTGGACCCGACTATTCCTAAAATTCTACCCTTGAACTTTTCAGTTAATTTAACCAAATAAATTCACTGCTTCAGGCAATTTGATTTGATGCCTTGTTGTTTGCAGCCAAAATATTCCTGAGTAATATCAGGGATGAACTTTGGAGATGCTGAATGGTCTAAATCACTATTCACCCAACTAAGAAGAGATATTCCCTGTCCTTTAGATAGCTGAGTGGCATGCTTCCCACTATGTCACCCTTGGGTGAGGTCACCTTCCAGGAACACCTCCAAACTCTCAAGCATATATATGCTATTAAAGACCTTCTTGGGGGTTATCCCTGTAGCTGAGGCAAATGTCCCAGTTCCCCTCCTGTCTGGTCCCACGTCTTTCTTCCTATTTACCAGCCATGTTACTCATGTCCCACCACGCCTTTTAGGTGAGATTTCCCCATTAAGGACAAAGTCACCATTTTGGTGTAGAAGATTATCTTTTTAAACTTTTTGCTCTGTAAGTTGATAGACTATAACCTCTGGGGAAATTTAGGAGGCCCACATCTCTTCTCTGGCTTCCTACTCCCTGCACTTGCATAGAAATGCCATTTTCTCCCCAAGACAGAAATCACTTTGGCTTAGTTTTTTTTTTCATTAAAATTCAAATTAATTTAATAAAATGTGAGACTGTAAATTAATGAACCACTTGCAGAATCTACACAATATATGCCTCTCATGTAACTATGAAATTTTTTCTATTAACAATGTCTGGGGCTCCCCAGGGGGACTTAGTCAGCTACAATTACTCTTATCACATCAGCCCAGTTAATAGCAGGCCTCTTCACTCAAACACAGACTCATAAACATTTCCCGAGCACCTACTGTGTACTAAATCCTACGCATGGCACTTCCACTGCATTATCTTCTAGATTCCTCATAGCCACTTGTTATAGACCGAATGATTATGTCCCCTAACTCAATTCATTTGTTGAAGCTCAAACCACTGATACAATGATATTTGGAGATGGAGCCTTTTGGGAAATGATTTCGTATAGATGAAGGCAAGGGGTGGGACCTCCGTGATGGGGTTAGTGACCTTATAAGAAAAAGAGACCAGAACTTTTGCTGGCTTTATCATGTGAGGACACAGTGAGAAGGCAGCTGTCTTCAAGTGAGCAAGAGGGCCCTCACCAAGAACCCAACCATACCAGCACCGTGACCTTGGACTTCCCAGCTTCCAGAAATGTGAGAAATAAATGTCTTGCTACACAAATCCAGCCTATGGCATTTTATTACAGCAGCCTAAGCACATTAAGTCACCACTCTAGATAGAAGTGGTATAACAGTAATCTATACAGCTATGGTCCCAACCCTTTAAGGAACTCAACTCACCTAGGAGAGAATACACAGACTCATGAAGAACCATGGTTACTCCTATATCCCTCATATCAGGAATACATTGCAATCCCTGGAAGGTAAGGAAGGGGTATATCCAAAAGCAATAACAGGCCAGGTGCTGTGGCTCATGCCTGTAATCTCAGCACTTTGGGAGGCCGAAGTGGGTGGATCACCTGAGGTCAGGAGTTCGAGAGCAGCCTGACCAACAAGGTGAAACCCCATCTCTACTAAAAATACAAAAATTAACCAGGAGTGTTGGTGTGTGCCTGTAATCCCAGCTACTCAGGAGACTGAGGCAGGAGAATTGCTTGAACCTGGGAGGCAGAGGTTGCAGTGAGCCAAGATTGTACCATTGCACTCCAGCCTGGACAACAATAGTGAAAACTGTGTCTAAAAAATATATAAAATAATAATAATAATAATAATAATAATAAAATTATGTGGCTATGTTATACCTTCCACTCTCAATTTTTAATACTCCGTTGTATAAAATAGTTCAGTGGGAAGTAGTAATGCAGAAAGCAGCCACCTCTACCTATAACCTCATATGTAATATGTACAACTGAAAGTTATTGAAAGATAACTACATGCCAGACATGGTTGTTATCAGATCACTGGGTCTGCACGACAAGCATATCTATTGCAATTTAGTACTGGCATCCTTCATTTAAAGATTAAAAAAAAAAAAAAACAGTTGCCTAAGTTCACCCAGTTAAAAAATGGAGAATCAGGAATTTAACCCAGACAGAAAATAATTGCTCCAGAACACCAAAGCCTAACCACCATGCTCTTCATCCTTATATATGTTAAAGATACTAGCACATTAGGCAGGTAATAAGGAAGTTACACATTCAGATGACTTATGGTGATGGGGAGCTATGATAAATATGTTTATGAAAATTGGGTGATATTTATTTATTTGGTGTCTACATTGTGTCAGCAACTATGGTAGAAATTGTAGACCCAATGCTGAACTAGAAAAACAAACAAACAAGCAAAATGATCTGGACCCTGACTTTATGAATATAGTATGCAAAGGCCCTGCGGCATGTGAAGAAACCCAGAGAAGAGCAGTAATACCAGAACAAAAGAATGAGAGCCAGTTGACAGTCAAGGCAGAGGTCAGCAGAAGCCAGGCATGCAAGGACTTGTAGCCCATTCACCATTTTTGTTTTTATTCTGAGAGCAATGGAATGTCAACAGAGTTTTAAGCAGGAGAATAGCTTGAGGGACATTATCTTTGGTAACCTAAGCAGTTTCAAGATTTCACAGTGCTGTGGTTTAGATATAGTTTGATTGGCCCCACCAAGTCTCATGTTAAAATTTCAACCCCAGTATTGAAGGTGGAGTCTGATAGGAGGTGTTTGGGTCATGAGGTGGATCTCTCATGAATGGCTTGGTGCCATTCTCTAGGGAGCTAGTGAGTTCTCATTCTTATTTTTCGTGAAAAGAAGGAACCTCCTTCCTCTGCCTCTTGCTTCCTCTCTTACCATGTGGTCTCTGCACACAGCGGCTCCCGTTCACCTTCTGCCATGACTGGAAGCAGCCTGAAGCTCTCACCAGAAGCAGATGCTGGTGCCATTCTTCCTTTACAGCCTGCAGAGCCATGAGCCGAATACACATGCTCAATAAAATTATAAATTATCCAGGCTCAAGTATTCCTTTATAGCAACACAAACTGATTAAGACAGACAGTATAGCAAACCCATGAAAAACACAGATGGAATGACAATTCTAATGACCCATCTTCTCTGGGTGCATCAGCCTAAGATAGAGTCTGGCGAGTTGTTTGTCATTCAATATGGGTGGTTCTACTGGGTAGAGTTGCCATCAAGGTCCTTAAGGTATATGATCTCTATTATTCTAATTCATCACTGATGGCCTTTGCTTTAGAAACCAGGACCTAAAACAATTTGCTGTAACCATCATAAGAGGGCTGTTTTGATTCTCGCACTTGGAAAAAACGTGTGAGAATTAAACAAACAGACAAACAAACTCTTTGTACTATGAAAAGCAATCTGAGGTTGCTTTCCTTAGAAGAAAGCTGTAGGCATGAAAGAAATACAGAGTTTCTTAGGATTTTCTCCAGATAAGGTATACTTCAAGGAAGAGGTATTGCTTGAGTGAAAATGTAAGAGATTGTTTTACTAATGGAGAAGATGAATCAAAAAAGTTAATTACTCTGCCCCGAGCCATAAAATCCTTAGGTAGCAGTGCTCAGATGAGCTCATATCCTTTCTCAAGTCTAACTCTCCCAGCTGTGCACCAATCCCTGCCACTGATCTTGGGGCTAGGCTTCCAATCACACGTGGTGCTTCATTCCTTCCCACAACACCAAACTGAGCAGAAAGGTAAATTTCAATTGAGTAGAAAAGTCATCTCTGCTCTAATTTTCCCGAAACAGTGCTTAGCACATAATAGGTGCCCATTCAATACTTCTTGAATGAGTGAAAGAAATCCTGTCACAGCATCTCCGATGGCTGGCAAGCTTCTGCCTACGAACATCAAAGGGCAAATATAACACAGCCTCCTGGGTCAGGTTTAAATTATTTCTTATAATGCAGCAAAATATCTTTCTTCATAACTCATGTCCTCTGGAGCTTTCCCAAACCAGTGAAGTCTTCCTTTCTCATGATACTCATTGAGATTTCTGAAAACAATTATTAAGACCTTCTTGGCACATCTTCCCCAATGAAACAACTTTAGCTCCTTAAAATGTCCTTCATGGTGTGTTTTTGTGTGGTTTTAAATGTTCTTACTTTCCTTCGGGGAGAACATCCACGTTTCTAGCTTCAGCCAACCCCGAAAAGGTTAACCACTGAGGACATCTTGAGACATTTATCAGCCTGGTGATAATATCAGAGGCTTAATAACCTTTAATCCTACATTAACAAACTTTATTAACTAACCTTTATCTGCCAGCTATTTTTTTCTCACTCAAGTTGCCACCCCTAGAATCTCAAAGTCCTTTTCTTGTTTGTCTTGTCACATCTCTAAAAATGTACTGTTATTTGTTGGATATGTTATATTGAAACTCAGTTCATATTGAAACTCAAAGCTACCTTTTTGAGAACTATGCATTCCTTATGCATAGTACGGTATCACTTAGGGTATCTTCTACGTGTATATGAAATGCTCATGTAAATAGACTTCTGTTTTTCGCTTGTTAATCTGTCTTTTGTGATAGGGGTCTCCTCCAACTAAGAACCTGTGGGGATTATTCTTGCCCCATATACATTTTAAACAAGGGAATAATTTAATTATTTTAATCAAAATGCTAGGAAACTTACTGTATTTTCATGGAGGAATTATTTCTGGAACTAACTCTTCAAACCTGTTTAACTCTTGGATCAATTTTCTGCATAGCATACTTAAACTGCTTCCAATTATTTTCTATTTTCTTTCTGCTGAAATTATTTATATATGGATCTATTTCACAGCAAAGATTTCACTCTTATTATAGAAACAAGCAATGATTTTGATAAGAACATCACCAGAGCTGGCCAGACCAGTCTTATATCTACAAACAGGAGATGTATCTTTATGCCAAAACCTAACACCTCATATAAATAGTTCGTTCTTTCTTATGTCCTCATCCTTTTCTCCTTAAACTTCTTTATGCTTTTTTTTTTTCCTGATCTTTTTGTTTTCTTCTCAGGTTTTCTATAAGTCAAATCTGTCTGTTTCCAAGGAAATAATGCCAACTCAAAATCATACAGTAAATATTGGAATGTATTATTTTATAACTAGCTTCAAGTACAGCTGGATTCAGCGACTTAAATAATGTCATGGGCATCCAGGACTGCCTTCTATTTCTCTGAGACATGCTTTATTTTCTCTCAAACAGTTACTTTACAGATGGAGCCCTCTCCATGTGGTGGGTCATAGCAGCACATAGATGTATATTTTACCACCTAGCAACTGCAGAGAAAAAAAAAAAAGAAAAAAGAAAAGGAAAAAAGCATCTTCCTTTCAAACTTTCTGGCAAACATTGCAGGACCAAGTCTGTCTTTGGGTCATACACCCACACATAAGCCAATTATTTAGCCACGCGGATGTAAGTCCCTGACTGGCTAGTTCATTCTTCACGGCAAGGGGTACAGCCAAGCCCTCCTAGTACCATATCAGTTTAAAATAAGGAAGTGATTTTCCTATAAGAAAAATACAGCTATTAATAACAAAATAAGTGGGAACAGATGCTGGGCAGTGACGGCTACAGTTCCTGAGCCCGTAACAGCTTTCTATCCACAGCTCCCTGATTTCCCTTCACAACTGTATTTCTTCAGCTATGGCTTACACTTGGCCTTTTGGTCATCTTGCTTCCTAGAGTTCTAGTTCACTCCTCACTGGGTCCAGCATTTCTTTGTTCTCCGACCTTAATAGGGGACCTCATTACAGGATTCACCTGAGACCTAGAAGTAAGATCCAGATTTTAAAAAAATCTACAGATGGGGTTGGTTGCCAAAACAGCCACCTCTAAGTCTCTAGTTGGAGGGAGAGTTTCTCTTTCTCCATCCCCTGCAGCCTCAAATTGCTGGGCCAATGCTTAATTCAGATGCTAGAATCCATTGTAAGCCAAAACAAGAAATGGAGAATAAATCCCCTCATTAAATCCGTGTTCAGTGGGGTATGTGCATAATTCATCCCAACACCATCAAATATAAATGTTCCAGCATCAGGGAAAATGGAGCCAGCACCACAAAAGTCTGAGCCCACTTACAGGGAGATGTCAGGAAGAGACGAGCCTTGCAAGAACCTTCTCAGAGCAGTAATGAGATCTGGCGCCAGAGTGTTTCCACCAAGGATCCTAGATGAGGACATGCTCAAAAGTGGTGCTTCCCTCAGCATATTTGTGGGCATCTGCATGTTTATAAACTCAGCTCCACATTCCTTCTGAGCTGGTGCTGGGCTGCCAGAGCTTCTGAAGTATATGGAATGAAGGTTTCCTGGGCTGTGGATTACACTGGTAAATTGCATGCAGGGAGTGTCAGCTCCAGCTGTCCAGCTCTGCTCAACTGCCGAAAGCATCATCTACAACCTGTAGCTTCAACTCCAACTAGCTCCAGAGCCAGAACTAACCATAGTGGGAAGAGCTATTGGGAACCCTTTTGTTCCCAAGCCTATCATGTAGAGATAAGGAGCTGATGACCTAAGGGACAGTTTTCCTACTAAGTGGAACGCTTACTATGCACCTCACCAAAATTACAGATGCAGCTGGGCATGGTGACTCATGCCTCTAATCCCAGCACTTTGGGAGGCTAAGGCGGGCAGACCACCTAAGGTCAGGAGTTCAAGACAAGCCTGGGCAACATGATGAAACCCCGTGTCTACAAAAAATACAAAAATTAGTTGGGTGTGGTGGTGTGTGACTGTAGTCCCAGCTACTTGGGGGGCTGAGGTGGGAGGATCACCTGAGCCAGGGAGCTCAAGGCTGCGGTGACCTGTGATCATGCCACCGTACCCCAGCCTGGGTGACAGGGTGAGACTCTGTCTCAAGAAAAAATTACAAATGCATCTGCTCTGTCCTCTGCTCTGAACAACAGCTCATATAGCCTTGTGCTTTCTGATCTCTTTCCAGAGAGATTGCCTCTTACTCACTATGGCCAGATCCTAATGATAACTTATAATTTCCTCCTTCTCCTCCTTCTTCTCCTTCCCCTCCTCTCCATTGTCATCATCATCATTACCATCACCATCACCATCATCACCACCATTACCATCACCACCATCATCACCTACACCATTACCATCCTCATCACCATCACTATCACCATCACCATCATCATCACTATCACCATCATCATCATCATCATGGCTACTATTCATTTACAATTTATCATGTACTAGGCACTATGTGAAATACTCTGCATGCATAATCTCATTTAGTCTTCAAACATACAAACTCTTCTATTTTTCAAGACTATTGCAACAGCTTCCTAGAATGCTCTTTAAAAAAAAAAAAGCTGCCACCTAATTATTGTCCCTAGTCTCAAGCTAAATATCAATTCTCTTTGGAGAAGACATTCTTGATTACCCCAGTTGTAGAGAGACATCATCTGGCCCAGTCACAATCACTTACATTTTTTTATTTTCTCTCACCATAGTTAACATTGTACAAACAGTCGTGATTACTTATTTGTGGATTTGTTTATATCAGTCTCCTCTAGCAGAACATAAGCAGTTGGAGGTAGAAGGAAGGAAGATGTTTTCCTTCTTTGCTATATTTTCATAGCCCATAGGAATATTTTGAACAAAGTCGGTACTCAAAAGGTATCTGTGGAATGCAAGAGCAACTCTATGTTGAAGGCAATAGTATAATCCCCATTTTATTGTTAACAAAACTGAAGTGCAGACATTATATATAATCAAATAGTTACCCCAGGTTTCATGGAAGAAAGACCTTAGTACTAAGTTAGGGAGTGGTTATTACTATTCATTGCAGGTTTCCCCAGTAGTAGAGCCCCAACCCATCATGCTGCCAAAACACTTCTTTCCACTCTTTTGGAATAGCTACTCTATCTTGGATCAGTGCCAAGTTCACCAAAAGCCACCGGACTGTGCCCTGGATAACAGTTCATTAGAGCTTAGCTCTCTCAGATAAAATGTAACTGTCCATGTGTTCTCATTCTAACCTAGGCTTGTATCACCAATTCTTTCATGTTTATATACTCATTTAGAATACTTGAGGGCACTTGTGGTGTTAGAGGCACTGGCCAGGCACATACTCCTTTCTGGTTATGTCAGTGACACCTGACTTTCTGGTAGAGAAAGATATGGCATAGCCAATTACTACTTTTTGAATGTTTGTGCTCCTCAAAACAATTCATGTTGAAACTTAATCCCCAATGAAACAATATTAAGGGATGGGGCTTCAGGAGATTATGGAGATTATTAGGCCACAGGGGCTTTGCCCTTATGAGTGGAACTATTGTCCTTTAAAAAGAAGCATATAAGAACTAGTGAGGCCCTTCTGTTCTTCACATGTGAGGACACAGCAAGAGTTGCCATCTATGAAGCAGAGGGCAAGCCTTCACCAGACACCAAATCTGCTGGTGGTGCCTTTACCTTAGACTTCCCAGCCTATGGAACTGTAAGAAATAAATATCTGTTGTTATAAATTGCCCAGTCTAAGGCATTTTTGTTATAGCAGCAGGAAAGGACTAAGATACCAGGCTTCTGGTTGACAATAGTAATAAAATGTTTAATTGTGTTAAGAAGTAAGAACACTCTGTTTGAGTCTCTGTCATCCCTTCTTGTCCTGAACACTGGTTTGGTTCTCAAAAATATTGGGGGAGGTGAACTGAATTAAGTTTTACCTAAACTGATTCCAGCTGATTTCTGCCCTATCAGAGAGATTGAAGAGTTTTTGTGTTATAAGAGTCATGGTATTCACGGTGTTGTTAGAAATTGGAAGATCAGGGTAATAAACAGTAAATATTCCACTTAGTATTTAATGTAGAGTGTAATTAGTCAATTCCCTTACAGGTTAAAGGAGCTCATGCGAGTCTAACTCCAATTTACAATGCTGTTCTTTGAGAAAGCCCATTCTTATTTCAGAGAGCTAGCTTGCTGAGAAACCCAAGGGACTGTAATGATGCAGGAGCTCTGTCTCCTAGGATTTAAAGATGAGACATTCAGAGATCCCTTAGCTTGTTTTAAATGGGTTTTAAGAATATGCAGGATCATAAAATGCAAGAGGAATTCATCCATCACCAAGAAGTCACACAGTTCCCCAGCCTCCCTGGTTCAGATGCATCTCAGGCTCCTAAGAAGCCAGGATGATTGCCAAACCCTGCTGAGGATAATAACCTGAAGTTTGGAGACCCTGTTCCTTCCCCTGCGCCCTCTGTATTTATGCTTCACACAGGAAAAAGGGACTGGATGGGCTTGGTGTCATTCAATGTGAGGTGTTGTCACTAGGGTGAGGCTGCTGAGCTCTGCCATATACCCTGCACACAAATGCATGGCATTAGGTAAGACACTGTACCTCTGCACCCCAGGTTTCACAAATGTAAAATGAGGATAATATTATCCTCTAGCTCATAGTGCTGTTGTGACAGAAAAAAAAAAAAAAAAGTGTGTACGACAACCCCAGCACTATACCTGTTGCATGACAAACATCCATTAAGTGGAGGCCACTGTTATACCATCTTTTCTCCTCTGTGGTTAGTTTTCCTGCCTAAGAGTACACCCAAGGTCATTGTGGGGATCAATGAGATTGCATCTGTGAGTGTACTTGATTGTGCTCATGAAAGTCGTGTCTTGATTTTGCTAAGAACATCCTTGGAGAAGATCTAGCCCCTGTCCTTCTCCTCACTTCACCTCCCAGCACTCCCTCTTACATTCTACAATCTATCCACATCAAAATTATTCCATGTCATGGCCAGGAGCGGTTACTCACGCCTGTAATCTCAGCACTTTGGGAGGCCGAGGCGGGTGGATCACCTGAGGTCAGAAGTTCGAGACCAGCCTGGGAAACATGGTGAAACCATGTCTCTACTAAAAATACAAAAATTAGCCGGGTATGGTGGCACGTGCCTGTAATCCCATGTACTTGGGAGGCTGAGGCAGGAGAATCCTTGAACCCAGAAGGCAGAGGTTGCAGTGAGCAGAGATCATGCCTTTGCACTCCAGCCTGGGTGACAGAGCAAAACTCCATCTCAAAAAAAAAAGAAAAATTATTCCATGTCTTGAACATGCTGTCCTGTTAGTCATTTTCATGCAACTGTGCATGACGTTCTTGCTGCCTTGATCACTAGCTGCTCCTGCACAGTACCCCATACCTCACCTCTCATTTGATAATTCTGTATTTTTGGGGTCTCTCCTTACCTGGCACTCACTTCAGAGTCTTCTCCAGCTTCCCTAAACCACTTAGGTGTCCCTGCTATGACTCCTTCAAGTCCCATATGCGAGCTTAGTGCCTTTCCAGCTGTTCATACTTCTTTCTTCCTGAAATTCCTCTACTTCAATTTGTCCAAAGATATTTTGAAATTAGGATTGCTAAGTTTACCAAATACAAATTTAAGATACCTAATTAAATTTGAATTTCAAATTCAAATTGGTAAAGAATGATTAATTTTTTAGTATAAAATTACCAAGTATTAAAAATAAATATTTGTTGTTTATCTTGAAATTTAAATTTAACTGGGCACTCTGTTTATTATCAGTGAATCTATCTGAAATGCTTGTTTACCTTCAAAGGAGCTGGATGTCTCACTGCTAGAAATGGGGCTCATCCGCCTTAGGAAGTCAGGCTGAAAGTCAGTGACAACCACAAAACCTAGTTCTTCCTGAATTTACCATCAGGAAATTGTTTTTTGTTTTTTGTTATTGTTGTTGTTGAGACAGTCTCTTGCTCTGTTGCCCAGGCTGGAGTGAAGTGGAGTGATCATGCCTGACTGCAGCCTCAACTTCCCAGTCTCAAGTGATCCTCCCACCTCAGCCTCCCAAGTAGCTGAAACTATAGCCACTCACCACGATGCCCGGCTCATGGTTTTTTGTTTGTTTGTTTTGTTTTGTTTTGTTTATGCTTTGTAGAGATGGAGTAACACTATGTTGCCTAGGCTGGTGTTGAATTCCTAGGCTCAAGCAATCTTCCCATCTTGGCCTCCCAACATGTTGAGATTACAGGCCTCCCACTGTGTCCAGCCATCACACCATTGTTGGAAACAAAACCAGAGGCTTGTTCTTGTCAGCCATTGAAATAATTGTAATCCAACAAATAGAGCTGTGGTTCATCTCCAAGATCCAACCACTTCAAGGGTGCACTCCCAATGCCATCTTGGTTCAGGCTTTAAGCAAGACAAGGCTTCCCTGAATGCTAATCTCCTGCATATGCTCTATGGCAAAACAGGACTAGACTAAGACAAACTGTTGTAGCTAGCACCTTAGGGACTCAAAACCACCATGTACTTTCAGACTAGACAACGGTTTTGTAATTTCCATTTCCGAGGTAATTTTATCTCAAGAGCACCATTATCTTTTCAGCTACCTGACCTTGGTAATGAACATCTTGACAGGTTTAATTAAATTTGAATTTCAAGAGAAGTATTTGGTTGTTGCAAACCCATTTTTTCACCAAAAGACAGGATATTATTAAAATTTCCCACTTTCTCCTCAACATCCTGAAGCTCCTTATAATAGTTATTTTAAAGTTCTGTGTCAAAGGATCCCACTACAGATGTTTGCTAAATGAATAAATAGGATACAGAAAAATGCATGTATTCAACATCTACTGTAAGGCAATGGGCCAAGTGCTTTGTATCTCATTTAAATTTCACAGGAACACTATTGGGTCAGAGGTAATTTTCACAGGCTTAGGGGAGAAAACTGAAGCATAAAGAGGTTAAGTAAATAGCCTGAGTTCATCTGGGTAGTGTAACACTTTGGACTTTTAAAGCATTGTGGGAGGAGTATATTTCCTCACCCCATTGATTTTGGACTCGGTTATGTAACTTACTTTGCCTGGAGATATTCGTAGATGGGACCCAAAAAGAGGCCTTAAGTATGCCTGTGTGCTTTGGCTTGGCTCTGATGCTCTGGAAATTTGCCATGCAAACAGGCCCCACTAGCTGTTGAGATAAGAAGATGAGACACGTAGTGCTGAGTAAACCCAAACTCTCACCAAAACCAAGCCTAGCTCACTGGTAGCCTGGTGCAGAGTCACCCAGCTGAACCAAGTCTACATGGGCTGAACTTCAGTTGCCTCACAGACCTGGAACCCATTGAGATTCCAAGGTTGTGTTTTCTAAGGAACAAAAGCCAATTATTGCAGCTAGGAAATCACATTTCCCAGATCTCAACCCATAACATCTGAATCTGTGAGCTCATCCATAACTCACCCCCGGAGCATGGCAAGCTCCATCTGTCAGATAGAGAGTGCTAAACCCACAGGCTCCTGATTTCAGAGACGTCGGAAACTTGCAGAGTGAGGGAGAGCCTCTAAGGAATTCTCCAGGCAGAGCTTTGGTGTAGGAAACAAGATCCTTAATATTTATTTCCCTGGAAAAATCAAAGGCCTTGATGCTGGCTTTGGAGAAATCAGGAGTTGCACATTGTCACAGTCATAAAATTCATCCCTCACCTTTGCCTCCCTGAGTTCTAGCAGGAATTGTCAAGGATGCCTTCAGGACTGTTTGCATTGTAAGATGACATGAGTATGAACAGGAGGCTCCGGGGACCTACACTCTCCAGAAGCCTCCATAGGCATCTCGTGCTTCAGGGTGAGTCCTGGAATGTCACAACACTGCTGGATGTGGTTCAGCTGTGAAATGTATTGCAAATAAATTGTTACCAATGGTGAAAAGCACACAGCTCTTTGAAAACAGGACTGTACCACACAGTTTAACATGGATTCTCGAAGCAAAAACTTAATTGGACCCTTGCCTCTCACCCAATTCTTAGTTGTGGATTTCTGCATCCGGAAGTAATCTGAGGTCATGCTTCTACCTATGAATGAATGAAAATTACCTCCAATGTGCTAATCTTGTCCTATGGGAGGTCAATGGACTCACCAAAATTTCCAAGAGTTAATATTGTGAGAGGGACTTGTGGCTTTGCTTTTTCATTGCCGTGGGTTTTTATATTTATAGTCATTTTCTAATTATGGCCTAACTTAAATACAGTCAATTTACTATTTTTAGTTGTATAGATCTGTACGTTTTGACAAACATTGCATGTGTATATATAGCATAACCACCACCATTATCAAGATAGAAAATAGCTCAAGCACCCCCTAAAAATTTCTTCTGACCCTTTCTATAAAACTGGTCATCCCAACCCCAAACTATAGAAACTACTGATTTGTTTGGCCTAATACTTTTGCTTTTTCCAGAATGTCGTATAAGTTGAATGTAACCTTTTGAGTCTGTCTTCCTTCACTTGGCATGATGCATTTGAGATTCATCTTGCTAATGCGTGTATCCATAACTTGTTCCTTTTTAATTGCTGACAGTAATATTTAATTGTATGGAAATGCCACAACATGTTTATCCATTTATCAGTGCAAGGACATGTGGATGATTTCCAGGTTAAGGTGAATATGGATAGAACCAACATAAATATTCGTGTACAGATTTGTTTCTGTGAATTTAAGTCTTTAGTTCTCTTAGGTAAATATCTAGGAGAGGGATTGCTGGTTCCTAGAGTAAATGCATATTTGACTTCAAAAGAAACTGTAGTACATCTGCAGAATAGCGGAGTAAAGAACTCCAAATTCCACTCATCTGTAGAAGCAACAAAACCCCCCAAAAAACCTATGAGAATCAACTTTTTT
This sequence comes from Homo sapiens, assembly GCF_000001405.40. Classification (NCBI taxonomy): domain Eukaryota; kingdom Metazoa; phylum Chordata; class Mammalia; order Primates; family Hominidae; genus Homo; species Homo sapiens. Next base: position 26,532,572 of record NC_000016.10, read on the forward strand.
TGGAACTCTGGAAAATAACCAAAGGCTTGCAGAAAGCTGCAAAGTGCTTATTCAAAAAACAAGCAAACACACTGAAACCAAAGAACAATGCTCATTGTAAGTAAGAACAGTAAACTTAGTCTTGACAGTAGCTGTGAAAATAAGGCCACATTCCTGATACTAAAGAGAGAAGAGACATCATTAGCAAAGAATTGTAATTAATTATTTGTTCTTACCTGTCTAGTGGCTCTGTGGGACCAATTCAAAACTCCTGTCTTTATAGAGCCAGCCTCCTGCTAAATCTGCTTTTGAGAGGGGAAGGGATTTGTCAAAAACATTTATAAGCTAGTGTCTTAGGTTAGGTTGCTGCTGCTTGAGGCAATAGATAACAGCGTGGCAAATAATAACGCCAACTAAAAATCTTGAGAATAAAGGTAGAGAGATGACATGTCCTTAAGGACTTTGAAAAGTTCCAACATATTTCTGGAAATCTGGAAGGCTGCATATACACAGCTCAGGGCCGTGTACCTACTCAGAAAAGATTTGAGAAGGCCCTCAACTCTCACCTTAAGGATCTGCAGAAACAATCAGTAAATGGTGAGGTAGAGTTGTAAACTTCCTGACTGTCAAAGGTGTGTACCCTCCACCCCAAGAACCACTTGGCAAAGACAAATAATTTTTAGTTCAGGCATTTAAGAAAAACTCTGTTCAACCATTAGCTGACCACTAACCCAATGGAACAGAGACTTCAGGGGCCACACATAACAAAGAATATAAACTTTCCAGAAGTAATTCATTAAATAGCATCAGCAATAAGCAGCAACAACAACAAACCCTGGGGAGAGGAGAGAATCTGATTTTCCCAGATGACGCATTATAATATCCAAAATTCCAGTTTTCAACAATAAAAAAAATTACAAGACATGCAAAGAGACAAGAAAGTATGGCTCATACATTGGGAAAAAACAAATCAATAGAAATTGTGCTTGAGGAGGCATAAACGTTCACCTCTCTAGACAAGAATTTGAAGTCAGCTATTTTAAATATATCAGTGATCTAAAGAAAATGTGGCCTAAAGAAAAAAGGAAAGTATGAGAATGATGCTTTACCAAATTGAGATTATCAATAAATAAATTGAAATTATAAAAAGGAAACTAAAAATTTTGGAGTTGAAAAATACAATAATTAAAATGAAAATTCACTTCTTCAGTGAATTTATACTCTTAAAGAGTATAAATCTAGGATTTATATTATCACTTAGACAATAATAGAATAGAATTAAAAATAAATGACAGAAAGGAAACTAAAAAATTTATAAATATGTGGAAATTAAACAACGTAACCTTAAACAACAAATATATCAAAGAAGAAATGACAAGGGAAATTGAAAATACTTTGACGAGTATAAAAATATAAACACAAAATAAAATCTGTGAAAGGCAGCAAAAGCAGTGTTCAGAGGGAAATCAACACCTGTAAACACCTACCTTAAAAAAAGATCTCAAGTCAATAACCTAATCTTCCACCTTAAAAACTGGAAGATAATGAGGAAAAGGCAAACTAAACTCAAAGCAAAAAGAGGTAAGGAAATAATATATATTAGAAGAAAAATCAAGGAAAGAGAACAAAAAATACATATATAGAAGATAAACAAAATGAAAGTTTGTCCTTTGAAAAAATACACAAAATTGACAAACTATACTGACCAAGAAAAAAGAAAAAAAGAGGCTACTGATATTACTAAAACCAAGAACAAAAGAGGAGACATTATTACTGACCTAACAGAAATAAGAAGGAGATTATAAAGGAGTACTATGAACAACTCTGGGCCCACAAATTTAAAGGCTTATATAAAATGGACTAATTCTTTGGAAGACGCAAATACTAAAACTCACACAAGGAGAAATAGATAATCTCAATAGGCCTGTATCTATTAAGAAAATTTAATCAATAATCAATAATTCTTCCATAGAGGAAACACCCAGCCCAGATAGTTTCACTGTTTAATTCGACCAGTCACTTAAGGAAGAAATGATAGCAATTCTCCACAATCTATTTAAAGAAAAATAGCAGAAGCAACACTTCTTATCTCATACCTTAATACAAAACCAGAAAAATACAAGACAGAAAAACAATAGACTAACATCTCTCGTGATCATAGATGCAGAAATCCTCAATAGAATATTACCAAATTGAATCTGACAATGTATTAAAAAAAAACTATTACACAGCACAGCCAAGTAGCATTTAACCCAGGTATGCAAGACTGGTTCCATGTTCAAAAATCAATTAATGTAATCCACTACATCAGCAAGCTAAAGAAGAAAAATCACATGATCATATCAATAGAAGCAGAAAAAGCATTTGACAAAATCCAAAACCCGTTCACGATAACAATTCTCAGCAAATTGGGAATTGAACAGTTAAATAAATGGACAGCAGGTAATGGGAGCTGGGTTTCTCACTGTTGAAGTGGAAATTCACACATCAGCAAGGGGAGGTGAGAGTTACCTGTGTGGTAATGGGTTAGAGTTAGAGACATCAGTATGAATTTACATTGAGTTTAATGTGGATACACATTACTTCATATAGACATAATTACAGATACATGTAAGTACTCAGGCTAGTGTACACACATTTATTTCGTTGCTCCATTGTCTGAGAGAGCCTAAATGTAATGATACTCCAGGGGCGACCAGAATATGCAACTAAAGGTAATGTAATATCCTACATGGTACCTTGAAAGAGAAAAAGGACCCCAAATAAAACCTAAGAGGATCTGAATCATATTCATTTTAGTTCATAATAATGTATGAATATTGGTATTGTAACAAATATACCATAATAACGTAAAACACTAATATTAAAGAGAGGAAATAGGGTATGAGTTATATAAAACTATTATCTTTACAGGTTTTCAGTAAATCTAAAACTCTAAATAAAGTCTATTTTTAAAACAGAAAGGCAAATATTCCTTGTACAAATTTTAAAAGTAAAAAAATTGCCTTTCACAGAACAAGAGGTTTTATTTTTTACTTTTAATAAAGTATATTTGATCAATTCTTATTCCTTTCATGAATTTTTTTGGACTGTTTATGTGATGAGTTACACTGATTGATTTTCTAATTTTGAACCAGGCATTTCTTCCTTGGATAAGCACTACTTGGTCATCATATACTATCCTTATTGAGTATTGATGATTAGGTTTACAAACTTGTATTTAAAATTTATTTGTGTTTATTAAGGGTCTTGGTCTGTAGCTTGTTTTCTTGTAGTGTTATTTCTAGTTTTGGCATTAGCATAATGCTGAATCCATAAAAGGAGTTTAGAAGTGTTCCCTCTTCCTCAATTTTCTGGAAGACTTTGTGTAGAATTGGTATATTTTTTTTCCAAAAATATTTGGCATAATTTGCTAGTGAAACCGTCTGAGCCTGGAGACTTCTGTGTTGGAAGATTTTAAACTACAAATTCAATTATTTAAAGAAAAATAGAACTGTTGAGGTTATCTGTTTTGAGTGAACGTTGGTAGTTTATGTCAAATACATTTTTTAAAATTTTGTCTAAGTAATCAAATTTATTGGTATAGAATTTTTGTTTTATTTTGAATCGTTCTTTCTTTTTTTTTTGAGATGGAGTTTCTCTCTTGTTGCCCAGGCTGGAGTGCAATGGTGCGATCTCAGCTCACTGCAACCTCCGCCTCCCAGGTTCAAGCAATTCTCCTGCCTCAGCCTCCCAAGTAGCTGGGATTGCAGGCATGTGCCACCACGCCTGGCTAATTTTTTGTATTTTTAGTACAGGCAGGGTTTCACCGTGTTGGCCAGGCTGATCTTGAACTCCTGACCTCAGGTGATTCACCCGCCTCAGCCTCCCAAAGTGCTGGGATTGCAGGCATTAGCCACTGTGCCCAGCCTGTATCATTATTTTAATGTGTATAAACTCTGTCATGATCTTTATTTATTGCTGTTATTTGTAATTGATGACTTCTCTGTTTTATTCCTGGTCGGTCTTGGTAATGGTTTATCACTTACACTGGTCTTCCAAAAGAGCCAGCTTTTGGCTTTATCCGCTTCTTCTATTGCTTTTCTGTTTTCTGTTTCAATGATTTCTTCTCCAATCTATAATATTTCCTTTTATGTGCTTACTTAGTTTAATTAATTTGCCTTTTTCAGCTTTTCTAAAGGTGAAAGCTAAAGCATTTATTTGAGACCCTTTTTCTTTTCTAATACAGGTGTATAGTATAATACTTTTTTTTCTAATTTTTGCTTTCGTTGTATCCCACAAATTTTGATATGTTTGGCTTTGTTTTCATAAATATAAAAATATTATCTAATTTCCTTTTTTAACCCATGGGTAATAAAAAAAGTGTGTCATTCAACTTCCATAATTTGGAGATTTCTCAAATATTTTTCTTTTATTGATTTCTAATTCAATTCTAGAGTGGTAAAAGACTGCATTTCACATAATTTGAATCCTTTTTTGTTTATTGAGTCTTATTATATGTCCCAGAATATGTATTTGGAAAATATTCTGTGTGGACTTGAAAATGTTTTGTATTCTCATCCTCTTGGATGGAGTGTTGTATAATTGACAATGAGGTCATTTTGGTTTCCTAACTGACTCTCACCCTAATTGTTAAATTGATTATTAAGAGAAGAGTGGGTCAGGTGCAGTGGCTCACATCTGTAATCCCAGCCAGCACTTTGGGAGGCCAAGGCAGGCGGATCACCTGAGTTCAGGAGTTCAAGATCAGCCTGGCCAAGATGGTGAAACCCCATCTCTACTAAAAATACAAAAAATTAGCTGGGCTTGGTGGTGGGCACCTGTAATCCCAACTACTCAGGAGGCTGAGGAAAGAGAATTGCTTGAACCTGGAAGGTGGAGGTTGCAGCCTGGGCAACAAGAGCGAAACTCTGTCTAAAAAAAAAGGGAAGAGTGGTGAAATCACTAGTAGAATTATACACTTAATGTAATATGCTGTGGTCAAAAAAATCTATCATTTTTCAATTTTTATTCTAATTACCCCATCTGTTCATCATCCTTCTTTTCTCACTTTCTTCCTTCTTTTAAATGAATCAAATATTTTGTGTTCTATTTGATCTTCTTTATTGAGTTATTCTCTCCCTCTTTCTCCCTCTCTCTAGCTTTGTCAACTGGTAATGTAGTTCCATACATATAGTACAAAAACTTGACTACTGAATATTTTCATTATTCTCTCTCTGACTTCTGGGCTACTGTGCTATTGTTGCTGAGCATTTTATTTCTACATATGTTAAATACCCCCACAGTAAATATTTTTTGACATCTATTTACATAATCTTGCATTTTTAGGCTATTAATATAACGTATTACATTATGTAATTTTTTTTTGAGACAGAGTCTTGCTGTGTCGCCCAGGCTTGAGTGCAGTGACACGATCTGAGCTCACTGCAACCTCCACTTTACGGGTTCAAGAGATTCTCCTGCTTCAGCCTCCCGAGTAGCTGGGATTATAGGCACCCGCCACTGCGCCTGGCTAATTTTTGTACTTTTTAGTAGAGATGGGCTTTCACCATCTTGGCCAGGCTGGTCTCAAACTCCTGACCTCGTGATCCACCCGCCTCGGCCTCCCAAAGTGCTGGGATTATAGACGTGAGCCACCCCACCCAGCCTATGCGACTTTTGTTTGTTTGTTTTTGTTTTGTTTTGTTTTTTGTTTTTTAGACAGAGTCTCACTCTGTTGCCCAGGCTGCAGTGCACTGGCACCGTGTTGGCTCACTGCAACCTCTGTCTCCTGGGTTCAAGCAATTCTCCTGCCTCAGCCTCCTGAGTAGCTGGGATTACAGGCGCCCACCACCATGCCCGGCTAATTTTTGTATTTTTTACCGGAGATGGGGTTTCACCATGTTGGCCAGGCTAGTCTCGAACTCCTGGACCTCAGGTGATACACCTGCCTCAGCCTCCCAAAGTGCTAGGATTACAGGCATGAGCCACCGTGCCCAGCCCTGTGATTTTTAATTGAGAAAGAAATCTTGCCTTCCTAGGATAAGCTCCACTTTATCATGTGCTATCCATTTTATACATCACTGGATTCTGTTTCTTAATATTTTGTTAAGGATTTTTGCATCCATGTTAATGACAAAAAATTTTGTTTCGTTTTCTTTTTTGTACATATTTTTACATATTTTGCAAACTTTATTATACATGTCTTATATATACTACACACTAAAATGACCTTTAGTTTATACAATCCATTATCTTTTACATAAATTAAAAATTTAAGAACACTATATTTTATATTTACTCACTTTTTTTTTGATCAGGTCAGTTTCTCCCTATGTTTCCCTGGCTGGTCTTGAACCCTGCGGCTCAAGCGATCTTACTGCTTTGGCCTCCCAAAGTGCTAGGATTACAAGCATGAGCCACCATGTCCAGCCTTTTCCTAACATTTTTTACCTTTTCCAGCGGTCTTCATTCCTTTATGTGTAGCCAGTTTTCTATCTAGTATCATATTTCTCTTGTGGGAAGAATTTTATTTAATATTTCTTATAGTGGAAATCTGATAAAAAGTCTAGTCTCTGATTTTGTGTGATGGAAAAACATTTATTTAGCCTGTAAACATTTATTTATTTAAATAAAAAAACCTAATTAATACAGACAGATTCCCCTTACGTCTGGAGAACACCCAAAGATTCTAAGCTGTAATGCCTTCCCTGGATTGATCCTTAAGAATTTTTAAAGTGGTGTTTTTTGTTTTTTTTTTTTTTTAATTCTTATTATCTTTTACGGTGACCACCCCCTCCCAGTGTTCTGCAAAAGATGTAACCATTTGTATGTCCCATTTATCCTCAGAGAGGCTTGTTTCGTTTTGGAATTCAGTAGTATATATATGTATTTTTTTTCTTTTTTTTTTTTGAGATGGATTCTTGCTCTGTTGCCAAGACTGGAGTGCAGTGGCGCAATCTAGGCTCGCTGCAACCTCCTCCTCCTGGGTTCAAGCCATTCTTCTGCCTCAGCCTCCCGAGTAGCTGGGATTACAGGTGCATGCCACCACGCCTGGCTAATTTTTGTTATTTTTTTAGTAGAGACGGGGTTTCACCATGTTGGCCAAGCTGGTATCAAACTCCTGACCTTGTGATCTGCCTGCCTCGGCCTCCCAAAGTGCTGGGATTACAGGCGTGAGCCACCGCGCCCAGCCAGCCTATGTATATATATTTTAAAAACCTAAACTCTCTATTGGGCTTCAAAAAATGTTAATATGCGGATTATATAGCTTTTTCCAATTATAGAAGAGCAACATTCTCCTATCATTTTAACATCTAAGGGAAACTGCAGAATCATTCTTGATAGATTCTCAAGCTCACACCAGTACCATCTCAGCTCTCCTGAATGTCTCTTGTTCATTGAGTCTCCGGTGGAACAACTTTTTTAACCCTTGATTGGTCCCCAAACCATTAACCTAGTTATATGTGTGTAAAAGACTTTTCTGAAAGTTTGAGGAGCAGTAGAAGTTACATTTCAAAAGGACGAATAACTGAAATGTTAGCATCATCAAACGTTGGCCTAAAGTGTCACCTATTGACCCCACTATTGCCAGGATCTTATATCACCGTCACTTTTTGAAATCAAATTCAGAATTCTGCCATGTTTCCTCGGCAGCCAGACTTCACCCCACCTGCAGACTCTTCTCTCACTCCCTGTTTTCTCGTTTTCTGGGAAATTTTCCTCAGTGTAAGAATGGTGTCTTAGCAATCGTTCAATGCAAGCAAAGAGTAAGCACAATTCAATCTGTAATGCCTCCCCTGACTTGTCTCCAATAGAAATAGAAATTAATTTTTTGGTGCTCTATGTGAGTGCTATGGAGGAATAGAACTGCGTATGGATCTGCATATGAAGGGTGGAACCATGGGAGCCAAAGTTTCTGTGTTAACAAGTGTCTTTCTAATGATTGAATCCGCTTCCTTCTCTATTACCTTCATTCTCAGAAGGGCATTCTCTAGGTGGAGGCAAAGATTAAAGTTAGATTTTCCTTAAAGTGGGAACCTCAGGGAAAGCGGATACCTTCATTACCCATAGCTCCAGCAATGTCAAGGGTACAAACCCTACAGGCTCTGGTCTCAGTCATATGCCTATTCCCAGAGTCAGGGGAAAGGTTCAGCACAGCTAAAATCATAAGCCCAGAGAATAAAGAGGGCTAGTTCCCCGGAAAGGAAACATTTGAAACAGACAAAACAAGTTCCAGATATTGTTACAATCAGCTTTTCTTTTCTATGATGAAGCCAGTGTAAAACAATCATTATTGGTGAGTCACCCTGAGCAGTTTTAGAAATTATTTATTTTAGGGCTTTACTTGCCTACTTTTCTGGCCATAGGGGCAACTCAAACTCTGGGTAGATCCCAGAGTTTATATTACAAATAGGAATGTCATTCTGTGGGTGGGGGATAAGCCTGAGGCTATCAGTGATGAGAACTGTGACCTCGGGGAGGAAGGCGTTTGCTGGCTATAAGCTCCACACCTGGTTGTCTGGTCTGGAATTCTCACTCCGCTTTCCTGGGCCTTGGGCAGCATCCATTCCACCACTGTCACCTGCGTGGGTGCACACTTTACTGCCATCTTCCCTACACTCTGGGCCTCCTCCGAGATGACAGTCTGGGGAGGAATTCTTTACAACTCCCAGCTCGAGAATAAAATCTGATTAGAAGCCAAGCGACCTCAATTTCTTAAGCTTTGAGTGGAATCATGCTAACCTCCTAGTTCAGCACAAATAACTGCTAATGAATAAAGAGTAGGTCGGGGCTGGTACTGCGGTTTGAAAAGTGGGGGAACATTAAGGGACCAATTTTTATGGTCTTGGGAACTCAGTCTTAACAGGTTCACAAGTCAATATTGATCTTTTGAAGACTTCAAAGAAGGGCAACCATTCATCGCACAACTCCTTGAGGTGAATGTGCCCCATGCAATTGTGCTAATTGGAGGTACTGCATTGAAAGACACTCTGGCCTGCCCCAGTATTATAATGGGAAGAAAGTGACTCACTAAACACTTCCCCTAAGGAACATGCCAGAAATCAAGGTCAAGAGCAGAGGTCCAATGTAACAACCAAGTGGGTGAGAACATTTGAAGTCAGAACCTAGAAGTATTTAGAGAAGTTGCACATCTTTGCCCTGGAGAGGAGGGCCTTGGAACCAGTTCTGAGTTCAGATAGAAGAAATATAATTCCAGAAAAAAAGGTATGATGTTTTCTGAATGATTCCAGGGGCTGGAAATAGAAACCTGAGAGAATGAGAAGCAAGAGTCAGATTTTGATTCAAAAGTTGAAAGAAGATTTTAATTCTGCAAGGTATCCACCCCTGCTTCAGCCTCTGAAGGTGGGTGCATTGCCTGTTACATGGTTTCTCTGCCCTCTTATCTTTTCAAAATATCTTCCCCTGAGCAGAAAATCCTTTTGCTCTTGACCCAACTCCCTGCTTCAACCCTTTTGCTTGTTCTTACTTATTTTAAAAACTCATTTTAGGAATCATTTCTCCTGGGCAACTCTCACTAAGTATCTTTCTCTCACTCTCAACTCTATGCTGTTTCCAGAGTGCTCTGTGATTCCTTCTGTGTTTACCACTACCATGATCACCACCACTACCACTACCACCATTACCACCATCATTATCATCACAACTGTCACCACACAACCACTACCATCATCCACCGCTACCACTACCACACCACCATTACCATTTCCACCATCGTCACCACCACCATCATCATAACTACCATCACTGCCATCACAATTTCTACCGTAATCACCACCACCATCATCATCACTACAACCACCACCACCATCAATATCACCATTTCTACCATCATCGTCAACACCATCACCATCATCTCCACTATCACCACCTTCACTATCACTACCAACACCATCAACACCACCATCATCATTACTACCACCACCACCACCACAACCACCATCTCTGTCACCACCACCACCATTATCATCACCATCTGTGCCATCACCACCACCATCATCATGTCCACCATCACCACCTCCACTATCACTACCAATGTCGTCAACACCATCATCATCGTCAGTACCATCACCAAACAACCGCTACTATCATCAACACTACCACCATCACCACCACCACCACCATTTCCACCATCATCACCGCCATGACCACTGTATTATTCAGGGTTCTCTAGAGGGACAGAACAAATAAGATGGATGTATATATATCCATATATCTATATATCCATATACACATACATATATGAGTTTATTAAGTACTAACTCACATGATCACAAGGTCCCACAACAGGCCCTCTGCAAGCTGAGGAGCAAGGAGAGCCAGTCCAAGTCCCAAAACTGAAGAAATTGGCATCCAGTGTTTGAGGGCAGGAAGCATCCAGCATGGGAGAAAGATGTAGGCTGGGAGGCTAGGCCAGTCTAGCCTTTTCACATTTTTCTGCCTGCTTTATATTCTAGCCATGCTGGCAGCTGATTAGATGGTGCCCACCCAGATTAAGGGCGGATCTGCCTTTCCCAGCCCACTGACTCAAATGTGAATCTCCTTTGGCAACACCCTCACAGATGCATCCAGGATCAATACTTTGCATCCTCCAATCCAATCAAATTGACACTCGGTATCAACCATCACAACCACCATCTCCATCATCACCACCATCATCATCATTACCATCTCCATCATCATCACCACCATCACCATCATCTCCACCATCACTACCTCCACTACCACTACCAACACCATCAACACCACTGCCATCATCGTCATCTTCACTATTTATTAACATTACTATTGAGCCTTTTTTAATGTGTCTGTCACTGAGATGAATACTTTTACATGCATTATCTCACAACTACCTTACAAGGTAAGTATATCTCATGCTCTGTCTTCCCAACTCCTCCCAGGATGAAGAAACTGAGACTTAGATAAATAGATTAAGTTCCTTAAGGGATGTGTTGTGAGTAAGTGAAGGAACTCAAATTTGAACTCAGGTCTATCTGACACATTACCATGTGGCTTTGTGATTGCCTCTTCTTACTTGGTCCTTTCCAACTCTGCTAAGAACAACTAAGTGGAGGCTAAGGCACAAAGGAGGAACTCTACAAACCCCAAAAATATTTTACTGCTGATTGAATCGGCTGAATGTTTGAGGAGGTGTCGTCTGCCCATGGTGTAAGGGAAGGAAGTATTGAGAAGAGGAAAGAGTGCTATGACCCCTAAACTGAAAGGACTCAAGCCCTAGTGAGCTTCCAAAGGCCAGGCCAGAGAACAAACCAGTGACAAGATAGCAAAGGGCATAGGCAATGGCCTAAACCACTAGGAGTTTCTGGAAACAGCCACTTCCCCAAACTTGTCACTCTGCCATTTCTAGCTTGTTCCATTTCTAGCTTGTTCCTTCCCAGGAATAAGAGGCACTTTAGCAGTAGAATTGAGGAGAAGAAGTCTCAGACCATGTCCTTCAGGATGGAAAAGTGTGGTCCAAGAACAGAGAAGATGACACCAGAGGAGAGACAATGCTCGTTGGAGTTGACTAGGTGGCAGAAAGGGTCAGGAGAGGCACAGGAGCCACAGCCCTAGGGCCAGGATCTGTTTAGGTTCAGATGACTGTAAAACAGAGCACAGACTTAGGCGTCTTAGGGGTCAGAGTTTAAACCAGGCTCTGCCACATGAAACATGCCATTGCTTTTGCCTCTGTGAATTTCAGCCCCCTCACCTTTAACACAGACTTACGGCACTTCTATTTCACAGAATGTCAAAAGGGGGAGGGTTAAATGAGTTAGTATATGTAAATCCCTTTGCTCAGTACATGGCAGATGGTAATCTCTTACTTCTATCATAATTGCTCTTTTCATAATAAGACTCAGAGTCTGTGATGTCTGCTTAGAATGCCTAGCAGGGAAAAGGGTGCCCATACAGGGAATCAAGGGAGAGTTAGGGGCAGAGAAGCTATAGACAAATTCTCCCAGTCCTAAGGGGTGGGATGGAGGTATAATAAGTGTAAGCAGGTGGATTTGGTATCCAAGGGGTCAGATAGGAGGAACTGTGAGAATAGCCATCACCTTGAGTTGAATGATGACCAGGATTACACGGAGTTGGTCCAGACAAGTTCTGAACAGAAGCCAAAAACCAGTTTGGAATTCCCGTGGTCTGAACCACAAGTCAGAGTCAGGCACTGGAGAGACTATCAAGTATCTAGCAGCAGAACTGGGCTGGTGGAAGACAGAGCCAGAAAAGGCGTTGAGGGTATGAGTAACAGACCTACGCTCTTTGAAAATGGAAAGGAAGACGGTGAGAGGTTGTGGATGGTGGAAGAAAGGGCAAGGTGTCCATTTTTTTGGCTAAAAGACAGTACGGAGCATTGATACACCATGTGGAATCCTAACTGCACCCACTTGCTAGCTTTATGAACTTTGGCAAGATGTTAAACCTCTCTAGGCTTTAGAGTCATTGTCTATTAACTGAGGATGAAGGTAATGATACTACCTAACATTTAGGGTTGCGTGAAGGGAGGAAACACACATTTCAAAGTGCCTGGAACATAATCAGAGTCCAGTTAAGTGTTAGCTGTTGCTATTATTAGACGAACTCCAGCTCTAGGATTTTTAGAACAGGGTTGAAGGGAGCACTTGAAGTTTCCAGTTTGTTCGTTACAACTCATTGGGGTAAGAAAGCAGAGAGAATGGAGAGTAGGGATCCCAGCTGAGAACCAGGAGGATGCTAAAGACGAAGAGTACCTGGAATGGACTGTTAATGAAGAAAGGTAATGGGAAGGAGATGAGAAGCCAGGCCAAGCCAAGAAGAGGTTATTCACATGTGTGCCATTGCCAGAATCTTGGGGAGGATCACCATGGAATTCAAATGTCTGGACACACACACACTCACAATCTACAGTAATATTCCAGAATTGTTCATGCTCTTCCTTATTCTTTAAGAAATAATCAGTATTGATCTGCAATGTGTCAGGGTCTATGCTAGGTGCTGTTGTCTAAGACTGATGTCCTTCCTCCCTCACAGAATAGATGGTCCAGTGGAAGAGAGGAGGCTTCCTGAAGTAGGTAGGATCCTGGCACTGAACAGGAGTCAGCTGTAGGGGAGCCAGTGAGAGAAGTGTGGGGTGGGGAGGTTTGGTTGTCTAGAGAGGGGAGTATAAAAAAGGCAAAGGGGCTGGGCACGGTGGCTCACACCTGTAATCCCAGCACTTCTGGAGGCCAAGACAGGCGGATTACCCGAGGTCAGGAGTTTGAGGCCAGTTTGGTCAACATGGTGAAAGCCTGTCTCTACTAAAAATACAAAAATGAGCTGGGCGTTGTGACACATGCATGTAATCCCAGCTACCTGAGAGGCTGTTGCAGAAGAATCTCTTGAACCCGGGAGGCGGAGGTTGCAGTGAGCCAAGATCATCCCACTGCACTCCAGCCTGAACAACAAAACAAGACTCCATTTCAAAAAAAAAAGGCAAAGGGACATCATGTGCAAAAGGTCAAAGGTGTGAGGCACCATAGCACATTAAAGGGGGCCAGAGTGCCAGTACCAGAAGAAGCAGAACAGGATGCTGGGCACCAAAGGAGCAGGTGCTTCTATATTTATTGGTAAGGAAACCTAAGCCAAGTGAACATGACTTGCCAAGGTCAATCATCAGGTAAATGACAAGATTGGAATTCAAACCCAGGTAGAATGCACTCTGAAATTCCTGTTGTTATTCAGTGTTGCCTGGACCTGCTCAGGTGTACCCAGGGTGAGCAGCCCCTGCCCAGACCAGCAGAAGGCAGGGGTTTCCACAACTAACCACACGTTTTTCTCTTTGCCTAAGGAGGATATTTGGGTGGGAGACGGGGCAGCCATGAGGCAGCCAAGCTTTGCTCCATGAGCCCTTGCTGAACCCTTTTACCTCCCTTTCTGAAAGTGCAATATTGAAAATCAATGGAGAGAAAGTGTCAGAAAGGGGAACTAAATCAAATATCCCAATATGGGGGAGTTAATCATCCAAAATTAACCTTATAACATCTAGTATCAAAGTGATCTATAAAGAAAATCAATGAGAACAAATAAAACCCCAAAGCCTTTTGCCTCCTCCCTGGATGCTACTGTTACTGGAGAGTGGTGATTGTGCACTATTACCTGGAAACAATCTCTCAGCAGTTGATATATTTAGCCACAGGCTTTCAATGGATAGTTTTCATATACATTTCTCCTCCTGCATTTGCTTAAACTGCCAGTCTTAGAGCCTTAAATAAGATGCACTTAGCTGAAAATTGTCCTTCACTGAGGAGACACGCTGTTCCTACTGAGGGAGATAATCCAGCATTGTATATTTTTGTGCACAGAGGAAAGCAAGATACTCATCAGAGACTCAGCTATTCCTCCATTCCGAAGCATCCCAGAGGAATTTCTGAAGGCAGGAGGGAATCCTGAGAGACAGATGAGCAGAACAGAAGAAGACTTCTGTGGACAGATTCAGGAAGGTAATTTGGTCAAGCTACTAGGTTGATGCAAAAGTAGTTGCAGTTTTTGCCATTTAAAAGTAATTCCAAAAGCAGCAAATACTTTTGCACCAACCTAATAGATGTAAAGAAATGATGGGGCCATTGGCTTCATGGTTTGGCAGAATGAAAAGAAAATGCCAGGAGTATCCAGGGCAGGGGCTGGGCACTTAAATCCTATCCTCTCCAGGCTATTTTTAAATTTAAAGTAGGAGTAATTTTTTTTTTCAGATAAAAATATTGTTAGGGGGTTGTTCATTGTCATTCCTTCTCATGAGATGTAAGCTCCATGAGAATGGAGGCCTTGTCTTGTCTGCTGTGTTCACTACTAGAGAAAACATCATTCTAGAGTCCAGAATAATGCCTAGCATTTAGCAGAAATTCTCTGCGTTGAGGAGTAAATGGAAATAGTTCAGCAAAGTTCAGTACCTGGTTTCTAGTAAAAGTTCTTATATAATGAATAGTAGTGAGATGCTATAGGTGATAATATTAATGATAATGACACAAATAAGGAGCCTACTGTATACACTGTACTCATTGCCTGTGTTGTATTTTTATTAGATCTTTATAAAACTCTCTTATGGTAAAATTTTTATCATCCTCACTGTATAGAACAGACGTAAGGACAGGCTTCGTGGTGGGCCCCACTTTACAGCACTAGAGGTAGAGAAAATCTTGATAAAGAAACTGAGTTCTTAACCTCTATGCTATACAAATAATGACAATAATGATGATGATGTTGATGATAATAAGAATGATGGTAATGGTGATGATACTGATAATGATAATTATGATGGTGATGAAGATGTTGGTGATGATGATGGTGATTTCATTGGTGAGTTTGGTGACAATAATGGTGATGTTGATGAATATGGTGATAATGTTTGTGATGATGGTGATAATGTTGGTGATGGTGGTCATGATAGTGATGATGGTGATGGTGACGATGATCACAAAGATCACAAATTTAAAAAAGAAGCAAAAAGAAGAAGCCACGAATTTGCTCCTAAGGCTGGTTCTATCAAAGCAGTTGGGAAACATATAGTTTCTAAACTCCAGTGTGATTTCTGGCCATAGTTGCCCTCTGGCAAGGAGCAGATGCAGACAAGCTATAGGTAAAGGAACTCAAGAAGGAATCAGGCTGTTTCACTTGGTCACCCCTGCTGGGTGTTGCAAGATTCCAGATAGTGGTGAGGCTTCAGGACTCAGAAGCCAGCTTACTAAGGAAAGAGCATGGCAAGATCTGAGCAGAGTATCACAGCCCTACCCAAGTCAGCCTCAGCTTAAGACAGGGCCACAGACTCACCAGAAATGGTAAGCCAAGTAGAGAAGCCAAGGCAGCTATCCAAGTATAAAACATGGTTCAATGGATGGAAGATTTTGGCAATGTCAAAACTGAATAGAACTGTGGATGCCCATGGCTGCTCCTCTCACACACACAAATTTATTCATCCCCAAATATTTATAACACATCTACTGTCTGCTAACACTGGGACACAACAAAAATGAAACCACCTACCTCACACTCTCATGTACTTCAAATTCTAGTTGACCCAATACATACCATCCTGATAAACAAATAAGTCAGCAAGGAAGTGCTGGATTGTGCTAAGAGTTATAGAGTAAATAGACATGGTCATGTGGAAGAATGAGTGGGGATAGTACTTTAGGTAGAGTCATTTGAACATAACTCTTCGAGGAGGTAAGAATTTGATTTGCAACATAGTGCCCTGGATAGCAGCTCCAGAGCATTAGAACAACATAGTTGTTAAAAGCCAATGGTTTACTGCATAGGATAAGTTTCAATTGACAATAAATATTTATTTTGTACTTGCTTTTTCCCCTCTCTGATGCTATGAACAACTGAAAACTGAAGGGCAAAGACTGTCTCTTACATATAAAACTACATCTCCCACCTCCAACATGTGATTTGGCGTCTAGGAAGTATCTATATGTGCTTGAAGAAAGAAGGAAGAGAGAAGGAAAGAAAAGAAGGAGGGTAGAAAAGAAGGTAAGGGGAAGGGAGGGAGAAAGAAAAGGAAGAAATAAAGAATGATCATATTCTTAGTAAAGTGCAAAAGCCTTTGTTAAAACAGCCTTTTATTGGCGCTTGAGTTTAATGATTAAGCTCCATGCTGACAAAACTGTCGGGGAAAATACAGAAAGGAAGAAATAAAATGAAAAGTTACCAAAATGACCATCTATCAACCTGAATTCATTCCCGAAAGATTGAAATTAGACTACTTTGCCATCTTCAAGACTGTCTAAGTCCCACAAAAATGAAATTACTTATAGCAGTGGTTGGACATTGATTGACACAATGACATCTTCTGAAGAAGATGAAGAGCGTTATCAGAGAAGAGAGTCCAAGAGCCATGAAGCAGAAATTATTCTGGGGCCACAGAAGTGACCATCATGGACATGACCTCCTGCTTCCTTTACCGACTCTGCCTAGTTGGGGATGATTATGACATTGAGTGCCATATGTAAAAATTGAGTGGGCATCAGTGAGAGGGAATTTATGACAAACAGGTAGGTGTGTTAGAAGTCAACATTTTATACCTGCTGATGATTTGGCATAAACTATCTTCCTTAAGCATTCCCATTTGTAGAAATAATTTTTACTTTTATTTTCATGTTTCCTGACACCTCAGAGAGCACCAAAAGAAGTTCAGATTTCCAATCCAAAGGTTTTTCAGTTCCCAGGGCTGTACTTTATCCAGACCAGGAAGATAAAAAATAATTTAAGCCTTCCTTAGAGGTTCCCTACCTAATACTAAGAATCCAATGACAATTAGTCTGCCTTGAGCACTTGGGTCAGGCACTTTACATCAATTATCTTTTTTAATTCTCACAACAATGGGATGGGTGAAAAGCGGGCAGAAGAGGAG
This sequence comes from Homo sapiens, assembly GCF_000001405.40. Classification (NCBI taxonomy): domain Eukaryota; kingdom Metazoa; phylum Chordata; class Mammalia; order Primates; family Hominidae; genus Homo; species Homo sapiens. The sequence continues at coordinate 26,549,919 of NC_000016.10, forward strand.
GAGAAATAAGTATTGCTTTTCCACACATGAGGAAATTGGGGCTCAGAAAGCTACATAACCTGTTCTTAGTCATATAGTTAGGAACAGGCAGAACTGAAACTCAAAGTCAGGACTGTTGGAAGCAGGCTCAAACTCACTCCATCACACAATACCATCTCTCACTTTTGGTTCCAGTTCTTCCCTACCAAGAGATGCCTTTGCCAGTCCAAAAATGATGTGCTCTGGCTGACAGAGAAGGGTGAAGCAAGCAGAGTGAGAAGTTTAGAATGTTCTGTCACTTAGAAAAATTAGCATGACAAAAAAATCTTTCCTTGCTCATGATAGCTCTAGTCTCCAGGGAAACAGGGTTATAATGCAATGCCAGAGGCAGCAGACAAAACCTGCATGCAGGTAGATTGCTAAATGCTCAAGCTGGGTGTGCCAGCAAGCACTGCCCTAGGAATGAGAATACAGGATTTACAGCCACAGCTCCACTGTCTTCTAACCGTGAGCAAGTTGCTTAGCCTTTTTCAGTTTCACTCTATTTCCTCCTTTGAAAAATGGAAATGAGAGTGTTTGCTCTGCATATTCTATATTCTATAGTAGTGAAAGAATTGGAGACAGCATAAATCTCTAACAATGGGAGACTGATTAAATTACGTCGTGCCTATGCAATGACATATCATGGTCATTGAGATATATTTAATAATTTGGTAGAATACAAATCCATTTAATGTTTAACTCTATTCTGAGCACCATGTATTACACATATCAGCTCAATTAATTTCCCCCCAAATTTACAAGGTAGATATTATTAAACCCATTTTAGCTTGCCCCAAATCACAGCTAATATGTGGAGAAGTCAGAATTTAAATGGAGGCAGTCTGATCCAGTACTGACTCTAAACCACAGCACAATTACAAAGAAATAGATCTACTTTTAAGCTTAAAAATGCAAATTATAAAATTGTATACATTATCTGTTATTATGTAATAAATCACCCCAAAACGCTGTGGCTTAGCAATCACGTTTATTACAATTTTTAACACTGTTGCAATTCAGCAATCCCAGATGGGTTTAGTTGGGTGGCTATTTTGCCAGTCTTGCTGGTGGTCTTTCTTGTGGGTTCTTCCAGCAGGAAAGTTGGGTGGAGGCTGGGCTGAGCTGGAAGGCAGGACTGTCTGAGCCTCTTTTTCCGTAAAGTACAGGGTCTCTTCTTCCTTGTGAGGTTTCTTCAGCAACACAGTCATACTTCTTGTATGGCTGCTCAGAACTCTCAGGAAAGCTAAAACAAAAACTGCCAGATTTTCTAAGGCTTAAACCTGGAATTGGTGCAGCCTCATTTGGCTGCATTCTTTTCGCATTCTGTTGGTTAAAACAAGTCACAGGATGAACCAAGATGTAAGAAGAGAAAACTACACAATCCTGTAAATTCTGAGAACACGATGCATTGGAGGCCATCAAGTAATATACCACCACAGCATGTGGTAATGGAATCCTCACTATGAGAAAGTATATTTACAGAAGTACCTAAATGGTTATTCTTTAAAAAATTAACAGTGCTTATTTAAGCACAGGGACAGACTATAGGTAGGAATTTTTTTTTATCATATCTGTCTATCTTTATTTTCCAAATTGTCTAAAGTGAACATGGACTTATTTTATATAAGTAAAATAATAAAGGTTATCTTTTGCTTCCAAGAATAAGAAAATAATTTCCGGCCATATTTAACAAAAAAAATTAGTCAAAGCTTATCTAGCATTTACTATGTGCTTACACATATTAACCCTTAATTTCCCCAATGCCCTATGAGGCAGATTCCATTAGTATCCCTATTTTACAAATGCATAAGCTGAGGCACAATGAGGTCAGATAACTTCCCAAGAGCATAGGGCTGGTAACAGCCACAGCCGAGAATCAAGACCAGGCACTCTGGCCCTAGAGTGAACCTTAGTGCTTGGGTTTCCTTGGGCCCTCTGAATGCAGATATCAACATCTGGGGCATCCTGTCCTGTTGTGATTCCTTCCTTTTGCGTGAACAATGTGGCTTCTAGGAAACTAAAAGGAACTAAACTTCACCCAAAGAAGTCCCCATAACTTCAACGGCTCTGCTTGAGTCCAGGGAAACTTGTGTATAAGGGTGAACCTCAAGTTAGAAGTCTCTGAACCCTGTCTGCTCATTTTACCCCATTTTTTATAAACCATATTAGCCAACACACAAACTACACCCCCTCATTACAGCATACATGTATGTGTGGGCACACACATGTGGATAGATATGTATGTTTCCATATTTGTGCATATATGTGGTCTGAGATAGTTTAGGCATGTACAGGTCCCCACAGGAAGGCATGCACATATTTAAATGTATACGCCCATAGACGTACGCATATTCCCAAGCACACACATATCGAACTGAACCCAGGTTCACCTGCTCACTGCTTGAAGGCCAGACACAAGAGATGAGGGTTGGTGGGAAGAAAAGCAGGTTTATTCAGAAAGTCAGCAAAACCAAGAAGATGGTGAATTATAGTCACAAAGACCATTTTAAGTCAGTGCAAATTTTAGTCTCTTTTTATATTCAAGGCAAGGGGAACAGGACAGGGTTGAAATCAAGAGGTAACCAACAACTGCAGGCGTCTGGTGGCAGGCAGGGTCTGAAGAGGTCAGAAATTTCTTTGTCCTTGGTCAGGTCACAATGCTCCTATACATCTTTAACAAAACATAATTCGTTGTTTACATACTTTCCCTTTAATCTCAGGCTAGTTTTAAAAACTATATGATTGCTGTTTTTTGCATATTGTCTCAGTGCTTTAAAATTATCCTAATCTACATGCAGGAATGGGTAAAGGCCTCTTAAACAAAAATAAAGTGAGTTATATTAGTTCTTTTACAGTTTCGCTGTTACACATACAACTATCTGTAGGAACACAAGTGGATATATGTATACATCCATGTATTCCCACTCTGTATTTATATGCACTCATGCATTCACATGCTGTGACCTCCTGTATGTATGCAAATACATATATTTTCACATACTTATAGACCCATGGACACAGCCATGCAAATTTCTATCCTTGCTCACCTTTCAGACCAGGTGAACCCTAGAGAATTTCAAGGAGAAGCAGGCTCTGAGATATTCCTAACCTTCAGGGAAACCAGCAGAAGTCCACATCTGTGTGTGCCTCCAGAGATAATTTTTATAGATTCATTAGTTCATTCATTTAACAAATGTTGGTTGAGTGTCCACTATGCGTTAAGCATAGCTCTGGGTGTTGGGGATTTAATAGTAAATAAAACATACAAAAAAGTTCATCCCTCATGGAGTTTACACTCTGGATTCCCAGACAGATACATATGGAACCATGAAAATTCATTTTAGCTTTCAGAACACAGTGCCATGAGAATTGCCAATGGGAATTCTACCCTCCCAAGATTAGGACCAACTCACCAGGCAGTGTCAATGCTAAACAACGGCACCAGAGACCATGGGAAGCCTAGGTCCATCTCCCATAGCCCTGACATCATCAGTGGATATAACCCAGTCTGCAGAAGGTTTATCCACTTTGCCTCAAGGTGTGGCCTAGGAAGGCTGACGATGCTGGATACACCTGGGCACAGGTAGAGGCCCAGTGCCCAGGTGGACAGTAAGAAGCAGGTAAATGGGGGAAGGGAAGGGAGAGGCAATGTCAAAACTGCGGAAATGGGCAGCACTGAAAACAGAAGTCTGTAACTGGAATCGTGAAAGCAAGAAAGAGGCATTCCCCTTCTCTTTTTCCTCCTAGTGTATCCTATATACCAGGACCCATGGGAGCAGATGGAGAGAAAAAAAAGAGAGTGATGACCAGGCCAGCAACCAGAGCTATGGGTGGGGCTGCTATGATTGACTTCCTGAGACACATTGTACATTTATGCCTGTCTAGAGGCCTCACACCAAACTGACTTCACTTTCCTTGAAAATACCCTTTCAGATCAGCAGCAGACTCCAATAAACCCTGCTTCAAAGAGTCTAGCAGATGCCAAGCATCAGCAAAGATTGTTTAATGAATGAATGGATAAATAAAATGAATGAACAATTTAATAACACTCACTGAGCCCTTATTTTGCACCAGGCACTGTTAAAGTGCTTTACATGAACATCATATTATTTTATTTAATCTTCACATCTGCCCTTTGAAGGTGAAGAAACTAAGACATATGAAGTTTAAATAACTTTCCTGTTTCTACTGAATAGTTAGATAGGTAAACGGATGGATAGATGAAGAAGCAATGCAGGAAAAGTGATAGAGATGAAAACCGTAAGTTGCATCTAGTTAAGATTGCACAATCCTGCTTGTTCCAGAAATACTGCATTCCCTAGTTCTGAAACACTATTTATTTTAAGATTTGCTATGGATTTATATATAGCTTTTCAGGGGAAAACAAGCAACAGATCAACACACACGCAAATCTAATCATATCACATACATACATCAATTGTTAGATAGGTCCTAATGCAGACACTTTAACATGTGGGGACATGTGTGTCTTTGAATCAAGGAGTTGGGGTATTGACAGTGGAAGCCTAATACTCAAACAGCATTGGCAGGTACTCAGCTGAGCGCACACCTGTGTCCCTGCCTCTGTATTCTGCCTGGGACCTGATGGTCCATTCTATTTTCTTTGTTTGCAGCTAATTGCCATAGAATACCCTGTTGATAACAAGGCTCCAGATCTTTGCACTGGCTGCAACCCCGAGAAGATCAGGGTGCAGACAGAAAATGGGACAGAAAAATCACTTCTTCATCTAGTGAATGCAACCTCTGAAAGTCAGGATTTGTGCTTGGATCTCCAAGCACACCGGGTCCCAGCCATTTCATTTGTCATGTGAATCAAGAAATGTCAAAAAGATAAGCATGTCTCCATTCCTGATCCCAAAATAATTATCAGAACCTTCTCCAAAGCTTTAGTCCAGAAATGGGAGCAGAAAGGGATGCTCTAATACTGAGATTTATAAGATACGGAAGAGCCTTAGGTTAAGGAGACATGTCTCCTAAATTTCTAAAAACCAATCCAACCTTGGCTTACTGCAAAAGACTCCAAAGGACAGCCTTAATTGAAAAAGAGGTACTGGTCCCTGTGACATGCTTGATACTTCCTGCATATACAGCTTCAGTTCTTTGTAGCAGCCCAAGAGGACCCTGTTTTCTGACATATAAATTAGAGCATGTATATTTTCTGATGTGTAAATAAAAATATATAATTTTTTGTTAACAATACTTATAATTTAAATCGTCTTTGTATTCCTGCCCTTTTTAACCCTCAAATAAGATTTTATGATGAAATGGTTTCTAGCTAACATCAAATAATTATTTGCATAACAGCCCCTGAGAGCTGTTCCAGTGTCAACCTGTATCCACTTGGCATTGTAATCGCAGTTTCATGGGCTTTATGGGCAAGATTCTGGTGAATATCACAACCCTAGGTGTCTTAACAACTGAGTCAGGCTGGAGAGTGGAGTGACAAGACTCAAAAGATGAAGAAACAACCACCTGTGTAGTCAGCCATTTGGAAGAGCACAGTGTTAAAATTGCAGGTAGGGTCAAGGATTTACAAAGGGTCACCATGGCCTCAGACTCCTTCCAAGAATTCCCAAGAAGGTCTTTCTCATACCATGGATATAAGTTGTCTTTGCTTGGCTAGCATCCAGGCCAGTGGGGAGCAGTACCCCACTTTTTTAGGGAACTACCTTCAAACACACTACATCTAGCAGTATAGGTGGGGTGACTATACTTCTTCCTGGGATCCAGGAGAATCCATGTGACTCAGACCTAGTTCAGTCAGCCAATTCCCCTTCCACCCCACCTTGAGGCTGAGTCCATCCAATGAGAGTCAGCCTTTTGTGGGAACAAGAAGAGACACTCCATAGGATTGCTACACTGGCTTGTTTAATGTAAGCCTGAAGCTACCAGGGGACACTGCATGATACAAACTAAGAATGAAGCCAATGAGAGGAAAACAGAGCCCAGAAATGGAGATACAGAAAGACCAAGTCTACATTGCATGGAAACTTGTCTGAAGTCCATATAAGTGTCTATACTCAATCATGCACCTATTTGTGTGATGTTCATCTTCTCCACCAGCCTAGGGTCTCTCTAATATTCTGGGCTCTGAAAATTGTGGTATCTCCAGGGCCTATCACCTACAAGTTCTTTATAGATATTTGTTGACTGAATGAATCAATGAAAGTGAAGAAACTGTTTAAGGCTCTCCTGGGAAATCTGGTTGAAAGCATGCCAGATCAATGCACCGTTCACACTTTAGACAACTCTAACCATCCACCACGATCAATTTATTGGGCACTACCAAGTATGAATGGGAGAGATGGTCAAGCCAGTTATGCTTAGGAGCCAGACAGCCTTTTGCTGTAATGGTGTATGTCACTGTGTGATCAATTTTTTTTTCCTCCAGAAAACAATAGAAGCCTGGAGCCACACAGCACCCTCTGTAATCCATGCAGCTCATCCCCCAGGAGTTATTATTTAATGTCTCATGGGTGACATACTGCCTCAATCCTGTGAAAACACACCTTCCTACAAATGTAATTAAGTAGAAATGCTAATGGTAGGTTTTGAAGCAACATGGCCCATGGGGGCTTTCAGTAGCCCACAGATGACTTCATAAAAGCAACTGTTCAGTCTGCCTCTGCATAAAGCATCCTTATGGTCAGTGTGTGGACATCTTATTTTCCAGGTCCCTCTCCCAGGTCTTCTCCAGCAGTGAGTCACCGTCTTCCCCAGGTGAGATTAGAGGGAGATGCTGCCCTACCCTTCCATTCCAGCTGTCTCAGATTTCCTGCAACAGCTGAGGTTCTATAGGTCCCTGAGGATCAGCCCACTCCAATGCTAGGTTTTCTACTAGGAGGAATCACTCATACTAATCAGATAGGACCACACAAGGGGAGCCATTTGTGGCAGCCTCTTCACTGTGAATACCCACTCTTTGTCTAACCTCTTTGCTCTCAAAGCTTTTGGTGAATCTTTTCCATTAGAGCAAACATTGAATTTTAATGATAGCTGTAATAATATTAGTAATAGTAGCTCAGACTGATTGAGTGTTTATATTTTGTTGGGAACTCTTCTCAGTGCTTTATTACATTAATTTATTTTCTCCTTACATCTGTTCTGTGAGACAGGGACAATTATTACTGTCACCTCCAAAATACAGAATGTAAACTGAGTTATAGAAAGTTTCAGCATTTGGCACATGGTCACTCTGCCAGTGTTTGGAGGAACTGAAGTATAAAACTGTTTTTAGAGCCATCTTTTCTTTCTTTCTTTCTTTCTTTCTTTCTTTCTTTCTTTCTTTCTTTCTTTCTTTCTTTCTTTATTCCTTTCTTCCTTTCTTTCTTCCTTTCTTTCTTCCTTCCTTTCTTTCTTTCTTCCTTTCTTCCTTTCTTTCTTTCTTCCTTTCTTTCTTTCTTTCTTTCTTTCTTTCTTTCTTTCTTTCTTTCTTTCTTGGAGATGGGTCTTGCTGTGTTGCCCAGGCTAACTTCTGGCTTCATGCAATCCTCCCTGCTCAGCCTCTGAAATAGCTGGGATTATAAGCATGAGCTACGACACCTAGTTTTCTCTTCCTTCCTTCCTTTTCCTTTTTTTCCTCCCTTCTCCCCACCCCCCCTTCTTTCCTTACCCCTCATCTCTATCTCTTTCTCTATCAAAAATATTTAGTAGCATCTGCTTGATACTAAGTTCGGTTTGTGGTGCTAAAGTCTCCTAGGAGTGAATAAGGTTCTGTTTTATAAGATTTAAAGATACTTTTGATGTCAGGACACCACATGTTGACACCTGGGGAGACAAAAGGCAGAACTCTGTGACTTACAGCTCCAGATGAGAGAAGTCTGCCAGGCAGGGTCACACAGGGGTTTGCACCCAGGGACAGAGTAATAGCAAGCTGGAGGAGCTCTAGTGGAGTGGCTTATGTGGAGCGTGTGGTATGGGGTTAGTGAGGATTTGTGGGGATCCTTGTGGATTGGTTAATACTGTGGCAGGCTCCAGGGAACAGGGGCTGTCCCAAGTTGTCTGGGCAATTAGAATAGCTGCCTAGTGACCCTGGAGTGTAAACGTCTGAAAAGGGAAGAGGTTGGGATGTGGACTACATTGTCCACTTAAGAAGAAGACTGATCAGTCTCTAGCCAGAACCCAAAAACTGGGTCACAACAGCACAGTTCAAAACTATATCACAGGTGTTGTCTCTACCTATCATGGGCTTACTACATAGTAGGAAATGCTGGTAGCAAAAGCCACCATCTCCAAGATACAGCATAGCTAGTGAATGTTTGCTCTACTTTTGATCAATGAATGGCTAAAGTCTAGGTATTGGACTACTTGCTCAATATCTTCTTCCTGACAGAAAGAATAATATGATGGTTGAAGGTCAGGCATTGGAATCAAAACCCAGCTCTATCACCTCCTACCTTTGTGCCTAAGGACAAATTATTTAAACCTCCCTCGGCCTCAGTTTTAAGTATAATCGGAGATAATAGTCCCTCCCCAAAAGGGTGTATGGGAACCTAAAAATCCATGAAGAATGTAAACACTTAGGGTCTAGCCCTGCTTAGTAGTTCCTCTGGAGATCCTGTGGCTCTTTCAGGAGAGAAGGAAAAACAGAGAAGTGAGGGCTTTCTCTTTCCTATTTCAGGTTCTGCAGGAAGAAGGCAGAGGCGCTTCTGTGCTCTGTGCACCCGATATGTATAGGCCACATGTGATCGCATTATTTTCTTTCCATCCTGATGCCAACCTGTGAGTCATCAGCTGATCATCAGGATATTAAATGACTTCTTTAAGTTCATGTCCTTTGTAGGGACATGGATGAAGCTGGAAACCATCATTCTCAGCAAACTAACACAAGAACAGAAAATCAAACACTGCATGTTCTCACTCATAAGTGGGAGTTGAACAATGAGAATACATGGACACAGGGAGGGGAACATCACACACCAGGGCCTGTCAGGGGATAGGGTGTTAAGGGAGGGAGAGCATTAGGAGAAATATCTAATGTAGGTGACCGGTTGATGGGTGCAGCAAACCACCATGGCACATGTATACCTATGTAACAAACCTGCACGTTCTGCACATGTACCCCAGAACTTAAAGTATAATAAAAAGAAAATCACAAAGCTACTAAGAGAGGGATCCAAACCCAGAGGTACCTCTCTCTACATCACACTGAAGTTTCTAATTACCTTCCACTACCCACATTTCCGTTTGTCTTCCAAGGGTTCATGGGGGTGATGTCCTTGTTCCTCTGGGGTGAATGGGAGGAGAGGTAGAAACGAATGTTTTATCCACTGCTCTCGTCAGGGCTTTATTAATAATCACTCAGACCAACGAAGTATTCAGGAACAATCAAGAAACATTTGCCACCTGGCTGGGTGCCCTGCCTGCTCAAGGTAGTCTGATCTGTTCTGCAGCCTAGATGCTGACTTTATCCTCACTCTCAATTCCCTGATATCCTGATGCTGCTGCCCATACTATGCAGCTGAAAGGGTGATAGGTCCTTCTCCCTGGGAGACCCCCACTACCATCTCCTTCCCTGGAATCCCTGAAGGCATCCTTCAGCCAGTGGGTGTTGCCTAGAAAAAGGGAGAAATAGAGAAATAGGTGGGACTTACAGCTTCAATTTTCATGCCCCTCAGGACTGAATCAAGAACAGCAGTGTAGCCTCCTTCCCCTCTTCCCTATCCCCCCTCAGACATATATGCATTGGCTCTCCCTTGAGCCAATCCACAAGAATTGATTTAACCCCCTTCCTGATGCATGATGAAGAGAGAAAGAATGGCATAGTAAAAATAAGACGGATTTATAGTGAGACAAATATAGATCCAGCCACAACGCTACTACCTCCTACTTTAACCTCTCTGAGCTTTAGTTTCCTCATCTGTGAAGTGGGGATAGTAAGAGTACCTACATTACAAGTCTGTTGTGAGGATTAAATGAGAGCATGCGTATCTTTCAGGATTGTGTCTATCTGAATGCTACAGTAGCTTAACCACAATAGGTGAATTTTTCTCATAAAACAAGAAATGCAAAGGTAGGCAGTACTTGATGCCATCACCATCAAAACCCAGATTATTTTCTTTTCCCATGCTGCCATGCTGAGCATAAGTTTCTTTTCCTCTTGGTCACAATATGGCTGCTGCATCCTGATCATTGTATCAACATTCCAGGCAGAGAAAGAGGGAAAGTGAAGACAAAGATCAGCTTTCCCAGAAGCATCATCAAATCAACCTCTAACTGCATCTCATTGGCCAGAACTGTACCACAGGACCACCTTCAGCCACGAGTCATCCTGGGAATTTTTCTGAGCTTTTTTGCCATTCTGAAAAAACCACAGATCTGTTAACAAAGCAGAAGGGGAGACGAATATAAGTATGCAGTTAGCAAAATCTGCTATAGAAGCAAAAGCACTTTACACAGCTTCTGACACATAGTAAATGTCTAATAAGGGTTAGCTATCATCATGATGATAACAATTTATGATTTTTATGTAATCCTCGCTCCTCTTGGGACTGGAATCTAACCCTGAAGTCGCATTCATCCCTTCTATATCCAGGGTCTGTCATCCTACTGAGCTCCTGCCAGCATCATCCAATGCTTTTTTCTTTGTCCCAGTCACTGCTCAGAATCAGCCTTCTGTGGTTTTCAGGGTCTCTAAGAACCACTACATAGCCCTTCCTGGCCTCATCATTTGTTGCCATGCTCTGCCTCCCTGACTAATGGGCCCAGACTGTATCCCGCATTATCCAATGACTAGCCAGGTACATACATCCTCCTGGGAAGTTGCTAACAGAGCCTAGATGAGGAACAGGGACTCCTTCCAGTGTTACTTGCCCTTCACATCCCTGGAGTCCCATAGAAGCTGGCAGGTCTCTTCTTACAGACCCCCTCAAGTCTCTGTCCCAGCCACATGATTCCCTTCAGTAGGAAATCCTCTTAAGGAACATTGCTGAGAGAGGGTGGATCTGTGCTCAATTTCAGATGCTAAGGGAGCCACGTCTTCCACTAAAGCAGCCCCCAGACAAACACAGCTGCAATGAACTTCAACATCCAAGTTTCCTTGCGCAAATGTATAAGACTTTCTTTAAACGATAAACCTAGAAATGAAATTGCATGGCCATTGGTTATGCCTATTTTTAACTTCACTATATATTTCCAAATTGCCTACCGAAGCTGTTGTTCAAATGTACAGTTCCACCAACTGTGGATAAGATTTTCAGTTTCTCAGTATCCTGACCACCACTTTATAATGTTTGACTTTTTTAATGTTTTGCAATTAAAGGAGTATAAAACGCCATTTGGTTGATGTTGTACTTTGCATTTTTATGATTGCTGAGGAGATGGGCAGCTTCTTACATCTTTCTTAGCTGTTCATAACCCAGAGAATCTTAAAGGAACTGCTCATGTATAACGATGTTTTCCAATGTATAGCTACGAGTTTGATCTATGGAAGAGAAAAGTCCATTCATCGGGTACAGTACGCACAGTTTGCAACAAAGAGCCTGTGGACCTTCACTAGGGTCTTCTGAGCCAGAAATCAGGGATCAAGTTCCGTGGAAAGAGAGCCAGGTGTAAGCCAGGTGGAGAGATAACAAACAGACCAACATTCTAAACCAGGAGCCACCAGCAGAGCAGGACTCGCATTATTCATATTGGACTCCAGCCAGGTTCCAAACAGGATTCTGGGGGTCCTAAACTGGAGTTGAAAAAAAAAAGTGATTTACCAGAACTGAACACAAAAAACACATGATTATTTCAATATATGCAGAAAAGGCTTTTGATATGATTTAATATCCCTTCATGTTAAAAACTCTCAATAAACTGTGTATTGAAATAACATACCTCAAAATAATAAGAGCCATCTGTGACAAACCCATAGCCAACATCGTACTGAATGGGCAAACCTGGAAGTAGTTTCCTTGAAAACCTGCACAAGACAAGGATGCCCTCTCTCACTACTCCGATTCAACTTAGTATTGAAAGTCCTGGCCAGGGCAATCAGGCAAAGGAAATAAATAAAAAGCATCCAAATAGGAACAGAGGAATTCAAACTATCCCTGTTTGCAGATACCATGATTCTACATATAGAAAACCCCATAGTCTCAGCCCCAAAGATTTTTAAGCTGATGAACAACTTCAGCAAAGTCTCAGGATACAAAATCAATGTAGAAAAAATCACTAGCATTCCTATACACCAAAAACAGTGAAGCTGAGAACCAAATCAAGAATGCAGTCCCATTCATAACTGCCACGAAAAGAATAAAATACCTAGAAAAACAGCTATCCAGGGAGGTGAAAGATTTCTACAATGAGAATTACAAAACACTGCTAAACGAAATCAAAGATGACACAAATAGAAAAACATTCCATGCTCATGGAAAGGAAGAATCAATATTATTAAAATTGCCATACTGACCAAAGGAATTTACAGATTCAATGTTGTTCCTACCTAACTACTAATGACATTCTTCACAGAACTAGAAAAAAACTACTTTAAAATTCATATGGAGGCCAGGAGCGATGGCTCATGCCTGTAATCCCAGCACTTTGGGAGGCCAAGGCGGGAGAAGCATGAGGTCAGGAGTTCGAGACCAGCCTGACCAACATGGTGAAACCCCCTCTCTACTAAAAATACAAAAATTAGCTGGGCATGGTGGCACACACCTGTAGTCCCAGCTTCTTGGGAGGCTGAGGCAGGAGAATTGCTTGAACCTGGGAGGTGGAGGTTGCAGTGAGCCAAGATTGGGCCACTGCACTCCAGCCTGGAGTGCAAGTGTCTGTCTCAAAAAAAATAAATAAATAAATAAAATTCATATGGAACCACAGTAGAGCCCGAATAGCCACGACAATCCTGAACAAAAAAGAACAAAGCAGGAGGCATTATGCTACCTAACTTCAAACTATATTATAGGGCTACAGTAACCAAAACAGCATGTTACTGGTACAAAACCAGACACATAGACCAATGGAACATAATAGATGACCCAGAGATAGAGCCACACACCTACAACCATCTGATCTTTGACAAAGCTGACAAAAACAAGCAATGGAGAAAGGACTCCCTATTCCATAAATGGTGTGGGAATAACTGGCTAGGCATATACAGAAGATTGAAATTGGACCCTCTCCTTACACCATATACATAAATCAACTCAAGATGGATCAAATACTTAAATGTAAAACCCAAAACTATAAAAACTATAAAAACTCTGGAGGACAACCTCGGCAATATCATTCTGGACATAGGAAACATTTCATGACAAAAACACTAAAAGAAATTGCAACGAAAGCAAAAATTGACAAATGGGATCCAATTAAATTAAAGAGCTTCTGCACAGCAAAAGAAACTATCAACAGAGTAAACAGACAACCTACAGAATGGAAAAAAAAATTGCAAACTATGCATCTGATAAAAGTCTAATATCCAGCATTGATAAGAAACTTAAATTTATAAGAGAAACTCTAACAACCCCATTTTAAAGTGGGCAAAGGACATGAACAGACACTCTTCAAAAGAAGACATATATGCAGCCAACAAGCATATGAAAAAAAGCTCAATATCACTGATGATTAGAGAAATGCAAATCAAACCACCATGAGATACCATCTCACACCAGTCAGAATGGCTATTATTAAAAAATAAAAAACTAATATATGCCGGCAAGGTTGCAGAGAAAAGGGAATGTTTATACACTGTTGGTGGGAGTGTAAACTAGTTCAGCTATTGTGGAAAGCAGTGTGGTGGTTCCTCAAAGAGCTAAAAACAGAACTACCATTTGATCCAGCGATCCCATTACTGGGTATATACCCAAAGGAATATAAATTGTTCTATTACAAAGACACATGCACATGTATGTTCACTGCAGCACTGTTCACAATAGCAAAGACACGGAATCAACTTAAATGCTCATCGATAGCAAATTTGATAAAGAAAATGTGGTACATAAACACCATGGAATACAATGCAGCCATAGAAAGAATGAGATCATGTTCTTTGCAGGAACATCAGGGAGCTACAGGCCATTATCCTTAGTAAACTAATGTAGGAACAGAAAACCAAATACTGCTTGTTCTCACTTATAAGTGGGAGCTTAATGATGAGAACACATGGACACACTGAGGGGAAAAACAGACACTAAGGCCTCCTTGAGGGTGAAGGATGGGGTGAGGGAGAGGATCAGAAAAAATAACTATTGGGTACTAGGCTTAGTACTTGGATGATGAAATAATCTGTACAACAAACCCTGAGACACAAGTTTACCTATATCGCAAGTTTTAAAAAATATCACAAGTTTAAAAAAATAAAAATAAATGTTGGGTTGCAAATTAGGGTTCTGACAAAGGAGAAACTTGGAGAACTGGGGGCTAGGTTGCCAGCAGCAAAAGACTCTGCCCAAGTTAAATCCAAATAGGACAGGATTTCTGAAGCGCAGAGTAAGAGCTCACAAGGGAAACTGGAAGTGAGAGGAAAGACGGTCGGAGCAAGAGAATGGCACAGGTCTTACAGGCTGTGCATAGCATGGAGGAGCAGGGATATGAAAAGACCAGGATGACAAGGATGTCTTAGTTAGACTAGAGGAGGGCAATGTGGCAGAGGTTGCTGTTTGCCTGCTCAATATTAATTCTCTCCTCTTCCTTTAAAAGTAAACCCCTATTTTATTTGGGGTCATCCTGTGCCCAGTGAAAACACTATTTCTTCAAGTCTCTCTTTTTAGTGAGGCTTTGCCAATGATTTGCTAGCAGAAGTCATTGAGTAGAGCTTCTGGGAAATCTCTTTAAAGGAGGATGACTGAGGAGGAATAGACTCGTTCCTTGCTCTTTCTCTTCTTCTTGCTTGGAGGATAGTGGAATGGAAAATAGAGGAGCGTGGATCTCTGATGACTCTGGGAACCATCAAACCAGCTCTGAATTACTTATGTCTGGATTTTCTTTATGTGATCGAATATGCCCCTACTTTGTTGAAAGCACTGCAATGGGATTCTGTTACCACTAAAAGCAGAGTGAAGTATTTAGAGATCTACTGGGATCCCAGAACACAGACATATGTGAAAAGAGGAGGTGTTAATAAGAGTCACAGCAGTACAGAGTTTCATTAAACATCTGAAAGATGCATGTATAAAGCCTGCAGTTCCTGTCTGGGCTTTGCATCTTTAAATGTGACATCACACTGAATCTGTTCAGTAGCAGTCATGGATCTCTAAAGAGACATAATCACTGGCTTTAGAAGTAACTCCAAACTTCTAATTCCAATTTCCAGGTCCCATTTAGAAATATTCCAAGCCAGGCACAGTGGCTCACACTTGTAATCCCAGCACTTTGGGAGACTGAGGTGGATGGATCACCTGAGGTCAGGGGTTCGAGACCAGCCTGGCAAACATGGTGAAACCCCATCTCTACTAAATACAAAAAATTAGCCAGAAGTGGTGGCACACACCTATAATGCCAGCTACTTGGGTGGCTGAGGGAGGAGAATCGCTTGAACCTGGGAGGCAGAGGTTGCAGTGAGCCGAGATTGCACCATTGCATTCCAGCGTGGGCAACGAGAACAAAACTCTGTCTCAAAAAAAAAAAAAAATTCCAGCCTTCCCATTTTGCAGATGGAAAAACTGGGTTACAGAGACAGGACATTATTTGTCCAAGGTCCAAGGTCATAGAGCAGCATCCCAAACCAGGTTACCTGACTCTTTCCAATGTCCACGCTCGCCCCCTTTTTTGTCCCTCAGACTCCCTACCTCTAAAATAAGAAGATTGGAGTGGAATGCCATGCAAATGCTACGACTTTATTATTCTAAGAAATCCACCTTCTGGGTATCAGACAAATCATACATATCTAGCACTGTTTCCATAGATATTGCACTCCCATTGACATAGAAATTTTGGCATGCCTTCAGGTTCATTAAAATGGGATTTTTGCTGCATTTACCTTGTTCCTGAGCAATAACCATTTTCTCTCTGGGTCATTGATTCTCAGGGAATTTCCATAATCTATTTTATGTTGAATGTAATGAGCTACCCCTGAATGTGGTGCCAAAAGTTTGCTTATGTATGAAATAAAAAAAAGATTAAAGCATTTGCCTTGAACTTCTTTGGCCTCTACCCATGCCCTTCTGTCGTGGTGAGCAGGAATACCTTGCCCTGCTCCTGACCCACCCTCAACCCTGAAACTGTTCAGGTCACCTTGGAGTATGTCCTTCCACAGCCAGCTTGAGGGCAAAGTTCCCTGGGACTGGTCAGGACAGACAGTAAGGATGGTGTTAGATAGGACTATGCTGGGTTGGACAGGCATCCACAGAAGACACCTGTGTGGTCTGAGAACTGAGTCCAGAGGGAAAAAGACAATCCCAGTATTTGTTTTACAGGTCATTATCAAGATCTGCAATCAGGCAGGGGCTACCATATCTGGGCCTCTGCTGAAGGTGAAGCATTCACCCTGAGAGGCAGTGTGGATAGCTCTGGGAGATCTGCTTTTCAACAGTGACTTGAAAGAATCAGAGACAAGGTCAAGAGTGAAGGACAGGGTGCTGTGAGATCCCTGGGAGCAGCACTGACTTGTTCCTGTTCAGCCTTTATTGATCATCAGCTGCAAGAGGGCTGGAGGAGGAAAGATGGAAAGGAATTGGGACTAAACTATACAGGAGCATACAATGGACTAGGACTGAAGCCAAACAGACTGAGACCTATATGGATACCCATGATCAGGTGTGGGGGCCTGAATTCCAAGTAGAACAGCCTATTAGGACCACTCATTGATGGAGAGGGGTGAGGGTGGGTCCTGTCCTATCACAGATTCCAACTCAGATGACTGGAGTGTGCAGGAAGGAAACAGAAATGATTGGGGAATAGCTATAAGATGATGGAGATTGCAATGAACTGGAGAATATGTGCCCTAGTCCAAAAATTGTCCTAGTCCTAGTCCAAAAATTGTCAAATTAGCTGTTTGCCAAACATCAATCTGGCTAGATAAAAGGCAGCTGCAAGCGATATTTGGCATGCAGGCTAACAAATGGCAACCTCTGATGAGGCGCATAGTTTGAGACAGGCAGGAAAACTTGCAACTTGAAGGCCACTTCAGTCTCCAAGCTTTGCATTTGGATTCAGCCTCTGATGAGCATCAAGAGGTCCAAAGGGCAAGATGGATGTCCAGCACCGAATACTCATCAATTTAACCAACACGTATTGATCAGCTACTCTGTGCTCGGCTACACGCCTGGCACTGGGGACCCAGAGATGAACAAAGGTCTTAGTTATAGCAGGGACAATGAATGTGGGTTTGGGGGAGAAGGATGACTTCATTCTAAGCACCTTTGGGTAAAAACCAAGACTATTGATTAGTATTGGCTCAGGAATGGCAAGAGCGGATAAATGCACCATTGAGTCAGCCTCAGGGAGATGAGAAAGCCTGAAGCAGGAGCCCCAGACTGGATACGAAGCCGGAGCAGGGCTGTGCAGCCGTGATTAGAGAAGTGAGGGAGGCAGGTCCAATTAAACTGGCCACTGCAGGCATTTAATAAGCACGGGAACTTTTACAGAGACGGCTCCCGATTGGAGAACCTGGCCTCATTTCTGAGCACTGAAACGTTTGATGTTGGACATTTGGCTCTCTTCCAAGTTCCCAGCCAGCTCTGTAGAGGACCCACATCCCGGGGAGCAGCCTTTGAAGGAGCCAGGGCTGTCAATGGAGTTATACTAATTAGGCAACAGGAGCGGCCTCAAATGCCTGTCCTCATTTGCAATTCAGTGTGTCTTTAATTTGCCAGAAATATACATATATATATCCTCTCTGGATATAAAAAAATATATCCAGGTTGGTGAGAGAGACTAACTTGACTACCATTTACAAAGTGCCTAAAGTACCAGGCAGTTGCTAAATCTCTTACGTCCGTAAGGTAGGTAGGCACTATGTTTTTCATCCCCATTTTACAGGTAAGGAAACTGAGGCTCAAGAAAAGGAAGCACTCCCCTAATGGTCACAAAGCTGGTAAGGGGCAAATCTGGGTGTCTGTCATTGTATTTATAGCAACTGTTCTTAACCAGGGCGACTTGGTCCTTCAGGGGACATTTGGCAATGTGTAGAGACATTTTTGGTTGTCACAACTTGGGAGTGGGAGAGGTGCTCCTGGCATTTGGGGAATAGAGACCAGAGATGCCAATGAACGTCCTTCCCTGCAAAGGACAGCTTCTCAAAACACAGAATTATTTGGCCCAAAATGTCAACAGTGCGGAACTGAGCTTAAGAAACCCTGATATATAGAGAAGATTAGTCCTAAATAGGAGGTTTTAAGTCTGTGGACCTGTCATCAACTGTGGGATTTGGGAAAGTCACTTAACTTCTCTGTGCCTCATTTATCATCATCTTTAAAATAGAAAGTGTGAAGACTACAGAAGATAACATATGTGAAAGTAACTGCCACATGCTCTCTGCCTTTCTATCTGTCTCAGTCTCTGTCTCTCTGTGTTTGTCTCTGTCTCTGTCTCTGTCTCTCTCTCTCTATATATATATATAGAGGGAAGTGGGACTAAACTATATAGGAGCGTACAATGGACTAGGACTGAAGCCAAATAGGCTGAGACCTATATGGATATCTAGGACCAGGCGTGGGGGCCTGAATTCCAAATATATATATGCATATATATGTGTGCATATGTATATACATATATACAAATGAATTCCAAATATATACATATATATGTGTGTGTATATGTAGAGAGACATATATATGTGTATATATATGTGTGTGTGTATATATATGCGCGCACGTGTGTGTGTGTGTGTATACACACACACACACACACACATATATATATATACACACACATACATATATACAGTTGGCCCTCTCATCCAGGGGTTCCAGCAACTGTAGGGTCCACAGCCACGGATCAAAAATATCTGGAGGCCGGGCATGCTGGCTTATGCCTCTAGTCCCGGGACATTGGGAGGCCAAGGCAGAAGGATCACTTGAGCCTGGGAGTTTGAGACTAGCCTGGGCAACATAGTGAGACTTAGTGTCTACAATAAAAAATAAAAAAAAATTAGCATTAGCCGGACTTGGTGGTGCACACCTATAGTCCCAGCTACTTGTGAGGCTGAGGCAGAAGGATTGCTTGATCCCAGGAGGCAGAGGTTGCAGTGAGCCAAGATCATGCCCCTGCGGCCCAGTCTAGGTGACAGAGCAAGGTTCTGTCTCAAAAAAAAAAAAAAAAAATCCCACAAAAACTCTTATGGGAAAAAAAAAAAAGGCAATTAAAAATACAAATAAAACATGCAGTGTAAGAACTATTTACATAACATTTACATTGCATTAGATATTATAAGTAATCTAGAGATGACAAAGTATATGGGAGGATATGCATGGTTATATGCAAATACTGTGCTATTTTATGTCAGGGACTTGAGCATTGGGAGACTTGTTATCTGCGGGGGTGTGGAGGGGCGGTTCGTGGAATCATCTTCCATAGATACAAAGGGATGACTGTATAAATATAATCTTTCTCTCTCTCTGGAACCAATGAGGCACACTACCAGCAATTAAAGACTTGGGAAAGTTAATTATTAATTGGTCACTTCTGCTAATCACAGCCATGACACCGGCTGCCTTGCACCAAGCATTCCTTCAGCATCAGGGCCAAAATCATGCAATCTTAGTGTTAAAGAGAGGGTATCTTGGAGTTCAGCATTCAACCCAAATCACAGGTGGAGACCCTGAGGCACAGAATGTATGTCACAGATAGCGACTGATGCCTTTCCAGCATCCAGTGCCCCTTCTTCTGGTGTCAGTGCCTTAACTTCCCCCGGGGAGGTATCCTCCCTGAGTTATGGCAATGTGATTTGGGTGGGAGTGCTTCCACCCCTGATTCCAGGAGTAGATACATGACACTGGTCTGCCCAATCATAATACTCCATCTCCCTGGCTTTGTCAGTTGGCTCAGCAAGGTGCACATGAGCCACTTTTAGCCAATGAGGTAAGCATTCTCCTCTTTTGTGGAAACAAAAAGATGAGCTCTCATTCTGCTGGACATGTCAGCAGTGAGGAAGTAAGAGTGACACCCAGTGGAGAAAGTCAGCCTGGAGTCAAGGCAGCTCAGAGGAAAGCAGTGGCAAGAAGTAGAGAAAGAGAAAGAAAATACCAGAGATCCCACCTGGGCACATTGTTGGAATGTCTGGATCCAGCCATGCCTGAGGACTGATCTTTTCATTCAAATGAGAGTCCAAGAAATTTTTTTGTTTTTTGCTTAAACCAGTTGGAGTTGCACTTTTGTTTCTTGGAAACAAATTAGCTCTGAGAAACACAGGTAACAAAGAGCCCAAGTTCTTTGTCTAAGTCAGGGACTAGGCTATATAAGCTATATGGGAACCAAGCATCCAGATCTTAGGCTAGTATGTTTTTTCTCTTTTTAATGAAGTGTAACACATATGCACATATCTCTCTCTATATATATATATATGTGTGTGTGTGTGTGTGTGTGTATAACTTATCTATTGAAAGTGCACAAACCATCAATGTACAGCTCAATAAATTTCTACAAGTTGAACATACCTATATAACCAGCATCCAGGCAAAAGCACAGAACATTACCACCATCTCTCCCTCCACCCACCAGAGCTTCCCTTTCTCTGATTCCAGTCTCTCCTCCTCCAGGGGTAACCACTATCCTCATTTCTAGCATCACAGGTTAGTTTTGCCTGTGGTTTGTTTGCTGGTTGGCTGGTTTTGTTTTACTTTGTTCACTAATCTGCAGTCTGGGCAGGTGGGAGGATCATTTGAGGCCAGGAGTTTGAGATCAGCCTGGAAACATAGCAAGACTCCATCTAAAAAAATTTAGCTGGCCAGGAGTGGTGGC
This sequence comes from Homo sapiens, assembly GCF_000001405.40. Lineage (NCBI taxonomy): Eukaryota > Metazoa > Chordata > Mammalia > Primates > Hominidae > Homo > Homo sapiens. Next base: position 26,570,781 of record NC_000016.10, read on the forward strand.
TCATGCTTGTAATCCTGGCACTTTGGGAGGCCGAGACAGGTGAATTGCCTGAGCTCAGGGAATTCTTTCTTCACTTGTATCTCCTTTTGTATTTTAAAATTTGGAAACACGTATGTCATTAAAATACACACACATATATATATAAAAATATCAGGGCCAGCCAACTATGGTTTCAGCTTTTTCTGGGGCAAAGCCCCCTGCTATTTATGATTGCATCTTAAATTTTCACCATAGGGTCTGGCATGAAGCAGGCAGTATTGTGTGGTGGTTAGGAATGCAGCTTCAGAATCAGACAGACCTGGATTAAAAACCTGTTGCCACCAGTTACTGCCTGTGTGGACACAAGCATGTTTATTTCTCTAAACCTCAGTTTGTTCGTTTGTAATGTATCATAATATTATGACCTATGTCATAGAATTGTTGGAAAGATGATGTCTTAGTCCATTTCGTGTTGTTACAAGACAATAGCACATTATTAATAAGGTAATGAATAATGAACAGAAATTTATTGGCTCATGGCTCTGGAGGCTGGGAAGTCTAAGGTTGAGGGATTAGCATCTGGTGAGGGCCTTCTTGCTGCATCATAATATGTTGGGAAGGGTAAAGACAGGGTGGGAGAGAGAGAGAGCAAGAGTAGGTGAATCTGCTCCCACAATAATGGCATTAGTCCATTCATGAGGGTGGAGCCCTCATTACCTAAACACCTTTCAAAGGTCCGACCTCCAATGGCAATTAAATTGCAACGTAAGTTTTGGAGGGGACAAATATTCAAACCGTAACATGACTCCTGGCTTCTCCAAAGTCATGTCCTTCTCATATACAAAATACATTCATTCCAGTCCAATAGCCCCAGTCTTAACTCCAGCATCAACTCAAAGGTCTACAGTCCAGAGTCTCATCTAAATCAGATGGTGAGATTCAAAGCATGATTCATCCTAAGGCAAAGTTTTCTCCAGCCATAAGCCTGTGAAATAAAAACTTATCTTTTTCTAAAATACAAGGGCAGGATAGGCATGGGATAGACCATTCCAGAAAGGGAAAAATAGCATAGAAGAAAAGGTACCTGGTTCCACATAAGACCAAAACCCAGCAGGGCAAACAACATTAAATCTTAAACTCCAGAATAATCTCCTTTGACTTCATGTCCTGCCTTCCAGGTACACTAGGGTAGGAGTTGGGCCATCAAAGCCTCTATGGTGTTGTTGGGCTGAGTCCACCCAGTAGTTCTCATGGGTTAGGGTCTCCTATCTGCGGCTCTCCCAGGCTGGTGCTACACGTTGATAGCTCTGCAGTTCTGGGGTCTTGTTGGTGGCTTCACCCCTACAGTTCCACTGGGTCTAGTAAGGACTCTCTGGGGCAGGTCTGATCTTACAGTTATGCCCAGATATTGCCCTGATGGGGGCTCTCTGAGGTAGTCCTACCCCTTTAACAAGTATCTATCTGGGCCGCCAGGCAGTCTGCGACATCCTTTGAAATCCAGCTGGAGGCTGTCACGCCCCCCACAGCTTCACTCTATGCACCTGCAGATTTAGCACCACATGGCTGCCACCATGGTTTACTGCATGCACTCTTCTGAGCAGTGATCCAGGGTGCATCCACAGTCATTTGAGCCACAGCTGGGGCAGCCAAGGAGTGCCATGCTGGAATGTGAAGAGCAGAGTGCAGAGGTGGCCCTGCACAGGGAGCCCACTGGGAGGTGTCCCGGGCTCATCCCCTGAAACCATTCTACCCTCCTAGAGCCCTGGGCTTGTGATGGAAGGGGAAGCCCCATTTTGGAGGAGACAAACGTTCAAACTATAGCAGACCATATGAGACACTGGGTGCCAGCACAGTGCATGACATGGAGTAACTGCTCAACAAATGTTGGCTATCCTAATTAGACATTGAGTAAATGTTTTTTGAATTCCTGTTGAACTGAACAGCCAGATCCTGTTTAAAATTAAACAAACAAACAAAAAATAACCCAAACATCCATGCATCCTGAATTAGTGCTGTCTAGGTTAGTTTGTCTGAATTTATCTAGACTGTAATACAATCAAACAGCCACAAAACAGTGCTGCAGAGGTCTCTCCTCTACTCTGCCCTGTTCATCCTATTTGATGGTTATTGATAGCCATTTAGAAAGAATGTTTATTTCCTACACAATAATATTTTCAGAAAGAGTGAACAAGGAAGGAAAGTGGATCATAATGAGGAAATTTTATTAAGAAATTATTTAATGTAATTGATGCTTTGCACCAAGAGTCAAGGAAATGCACCTATTGATAGATGTCCACATTCTTGCTTAATCTACTTTTAGTCCTTTGCTGGGATATGTTGTATGTATTTATTTATTTATTCGTAGGAGGGCAGGATCTTGCTCTGTCACGCAGGCTGGCGTGTAGTGGCACAATCGTAGCTCACTGCAGCCTTGACCACCTGTGCTCAAGTGATCCTTCTGCCTCAGCCTCTTGAGTGGCTAGGACTACAGGTGCATGCCATCACGCCTGGCTATTTTTTAATGCTTTGTGGAGACGAGGTCTCCCTATGTTGCACAGGTGGATCTCACATTCTGTCCTCCAGTGATCCTGTTGCCTAGGTCTCCAGAAGTGCTGGGATTACAGGTGTGAGCCACTGCTTCTGCCCTGATGGAGTATTTAATTAGCTTGTGATTTGGAAAATCACATGGTATACACATGGCAATGAACATTCTGGAACTAAAAGCGGAGTGATTGCTTTGCTTCCAGCATCTTATGAAAAGGAATAACTGGAAAATGTAGCGATGTGTAGAAAGCTTGAAACAGGCAAGATAAAAGTGAAGAGACTGTAAAGTGAAAGCTTATTTGGGGCTTCTTATTTACTCAAATGTACGTTTGTGTCATTTAAATCTTGCTTCCTCTCTATGAGGTTGCTTGTTGTTTTTATTTGGTAGATAAGGAAATAAATATTGGCTTAGGGATTTAAGTAGCTTGCTCTGAATTTTGCTATTGGTAGGGGTATTACCGACATCACTGCTCTCTGCTGGATCAGTTCCTTCTACTTTGGAATGTCAAGGTTATTAACTCTGAGATCTGGAAAAGGTTCTCTGAACTTCTGTTTTACCCATCATGGTCCCAGGGAATGGCAGGGAGCAGAAATGCTAAAATATTTATTTTTGAGGGCTGGGAAAAGTGATAGGTGGAACAACAGCCTCTCAACCTGGAACCTCTGCATATATTACGTTATGAGGTAAAGGGAGATTGAGATTGAAGATGGAATTAAGGTTACTAATCAGCTGACTTTGAAATATCGTCCTGGATTATCCTGGTGGGCCCAGTGTAACCACAAAAGTCCTTGTAAGTAGGAGAGGGAGGCAGGAGAGAGAGCCAGGCTGATGGAAACATGACATGGAGTTGGCCTGACGTTGCTGACTTTGAAAATGGAGAAAGGGGCCAAGAGCTGAGAAATGTGGGTGTTCTCCAGAAGTTGGAAAAGGCCGGGGAACAGATTCTCCCCCAAAGCCTCTAGAAGGCATGCAGCTCTGCTGACACTTTGATTTTAGTCCAGCGAGGCCCATGTGGGACTCCTGACCTTCTGAATTGAAATAAATTTGTGTTGTTTTAAGCCACTAAGTTTTGGTAATTTGTTATAGCAGGGATAGCGTACTCATACAAGCAACATCATTTGAGTTGCTCTTCACACAGTCCTGCCCATCTCTCAGAAAGAGAAATGTCTAATCTGATCAGGTCCTAGTCTAGGACAGTGGCTGGGTCATGTTTATTAGTTAGTGGGCTAAAAGGAAATGAATGCAAGTCTCTGATGCTTGTTTCAGCCTCTATTTCTCACAGAATATAAGTCTTAAGGATGTAAACCAAAAACAAAATTCCAAGCCTTCGAACATTTGAATGGACCCCTCTTCTCAGCAAGGGCATTCCAAAGCTAACCTGAAAGACTAGTTCAGACCGTGATGGGAAGAGGGAGCTGGACATGCCTCCTTTTTGGAATTACTGACAGAAAAGGCACGTTAAGTCTGAAACAAAACATTTGCAATCTATTCTCTCTGAAGCCTGCTACCTGGAGGCTTCATCTGCATGATAAAACTTGGACTCCACAATGCCTTATCATAACCCAGACATTCCTTTCCATTGATAACCCTTTTAACCAATTCCCAATCAGAAAATTTTTGAATCCATCTATGACCTGGAAGCCCCCACTTCCAGCTGTCCTGCCTTTCCAGACCAAACCAATGTACACATTACATGTATTGATTTATGCCTTATGTCTCCCTAAAATGATAAAACCAAGGTGCTGGGTGCTGGGTGCGGTGGCTCACGCCTGTAATCCCAGCACTTTGGGAGGCCGAGTGGGGGTGGATCACATGAGGTCAGGAGTTTAAGACCAGCCTGGTCAACATGGTGAAACCCCATCTCTACTAAAAATACAAAATTAGCCAGATGTGGTGGTGCATGCTTGTAATTCCAGCTATTTGAGAGGCTGAGGCAGGGGAATCACTTGAACTCGGGATTCAGAAGGTTCCAGTGAGCTGCACTCAGCTGAGTTAGCCCCACTGCACTCCAGCCTGGGCAACAAGAGTGAGACTCCATCTCAAAGATTAAAAATTAAGGTGTACGGGGACTGTTGTGGGGTGGGGGCGGGGGGAGGGATAGCATTAGGAGATATACCTAATGCTAAATGACTAGTTAATGGGTGCAGCACACCGACATGGCACATATATACATATGTAACAAACCTGCACGTTGTGCACATGTACACTAAAACTTAAAGTATAATAATAATAAAATTTTTTTAAAAAAGGAAAAAAATAAAAAAATAAAAAGCTTAACAATTTCAGTTCACCATGTAGATATATTTGAAAGTTTATCAATAGGTTTTACATATAGTAATTGCTCATCATAGCTTTCAAATTCTATGCAATATAGATTTTATTCATTTAACATTTTTGCTCATTAATTATAATTTTACTCTTTATTGTAATCTTATAAGTTTAAGTGAGCAATTAAAATAAGATTTACTAATAATTAGGAATATATACTAATCAATAGTACGTATTTATTTTTATATCTAAAAAAAAAAAAATTAAGGTGTAGACTGACCATCTTGGGCACATGTCATCAGGACCTCTTGAGGCTGTGTCATAGGTGCATCCTTAACCTTGGCAAAATAAACTTTCTAAATAGATTGAGACCTGCCTCAGACACTTTGGTTTACAAAACGTAGTCCTACTTGGGAGAAGTTATGCCCAGTATGCATGTGCTCACTCTCTCTCTCTCTTTCTCTCTCTCTCTCTCTCTCTCTGTTTTTCTGCCTGTGTGCACTTTCACCCCTTAAATCTACCATCCTAGATGTTGACAAGCTGATGGCATTATTTGAACTTAGGTTGAAGGAAGATGACAGGCCTAAACTACATGCTCCAGCTAGTTTACTCACATGATCTGCTCTGGCATTTCAGGTTCATGTCCTATTCATACTGAAGCGTGCCCTGATTCCAATTTTTCTTTATCCTTCGTGTTTATGGTTTTCTTGGGGCTCTCATGGAAGAAGAGTTTGTGGTTTGGGACAGTGCCCAAACTATCTCAATGCTATCTTAATGATTTTTATCTTAATGCTATCTCAATGCTATCTTAATTTCACTGAGATCCCACCTTAATCCTAAGACATACTCACTCCTTTTTCCCATTTCCTTCCCTGATCAACAGCTAATGAAGGAGGCTGCCATGTTGGCAAAGGGCCTAGGGTGTGGCTTTATTATGAGAAATTAACTTACGTGATTACGAAGGCTGGGAAATCCCACTATCTGCAGCCTGCAAACTGGAGACCCAAGAAATGCAGTAGTGTCATTCCAGTCTGAGTCTGAAGGCCTGAAAGCCAGGAGCCGAGCCAATGGGATGGTGTAAATCCCAGTCCAAGAGTGGAAGATTGATGTCCCAGCTCAGAAAGAAGGCAGAAAGCGAAAGAGGCACATTCCTCCTTCCTCCACTTTTTGCTCTATTCAGACCCTGAATGGATTGAAGGATTCCCACCACAACCTTGCGGAGGGGAGGGGAATCTACTTTGCTGAGCCCACCAATTCAAATGCTAATCTCATCCTGAAACACCTTCAGACACAGGTCTTTATCTTGGCACCCCATGGCACAGTCATGACACATAAAATTAATCTAGCAGCCAGGTTCTTGGAGGGGGTTCAAAGTGACAGTGGCATTTCCCATGATATTCTCCTACCTTACAAGATGGTATTGTAACTTTCATCACCCACCTGTTTATATCCAACCTGTCCTTCCAGACCAAACTCAGCTGTCACCTCCTCCAGGAAGCTCTCCTAATCCTCTGGTCAGACACATGCTCTCTCCCCTGCAAACCACTCTCCACCCGTAGCCCTTTTTGCTTCCTTTGAAACAACACTAATCAATGAGAAATGATATTGCCTGAATGGTTAGAAACAAACACAAAAAATAAAAATCAGGCTTTGCAGTTCCCTTGCCTAGGGCTGACTTCAGGCTTCATCCCTCATCGGTTGTGTGTTCTTGGGAACATTACTTACTATCTCTAAGCAGTGGTTTTCTCATCTGTAAAAGGAGGATATCGATATTGTGAGAACAAAATGATATGACGCATAGTAAGTTGAGTGCTGCAGGAGACGCTTAGTCATTGTCAGCCATTAGAACAAGTATGATTATATAAGGAATTTGAAAACAGTCGAGGCTGAGCACGGTGGCTCATGCCTGTAATTCCAGCAATTTGGGAGTCCTAGGCAGGTGGATCATTTGAGGTCAGGAGTTTGACACCAGCCTGGGCAACATGGTGAAACCCTGTCTCTACTAAAATTACAAAAATTAGCTGGGCGTGGTGTCAGGCACCTGTAATCCCAGCGACTCCTGAGGCAGGAGAATTGCTTGAACCCGGGAGGCAGAGGTTGCTGTGAGCTGAGATCTCACCATTGAACTTCAGCCTGGGTGACAAAGTGAGACTCCATCTTAAAAAAAACAAACAGCAACAACAAAACAGAGTCCAAACCTTACTATGTTTCTTCTCTGCCAAACAAAATGTGTTTAAGTGAATGAATGCATGTGATCACTGCGATTTTCATGTGCCACATCTGGGGCTTACCGGGGTGCCTCAGCTCACCTGCTGAGTACTTGCATGGGGATGGGGGGCCCTCCTCTCTTCCTAGGCTCCCTGGCATGACCCTTCATCCCTGAGCATCTTTCCTGCTGTTCTCCAGGTGCTCCTCCTCACTGCCTGTGGGGCTGTTAGATCTCCAATGCGATCGTCTCCATCACTGTGGCAAATTACCTTTTTCCCATGCTCTTCGTCAGCCAGAAGGATTTATGGTGGGGATAGAGCTCTTCTTGGAGACTTTCATCTTGCCGTTGCTCACAGGCTCTCCACCACCCCTCCTCCCAGTTTCCATCCATCAGTGGCTCTGAGTGTATATATACATTATCCTACCTGCGTCCTCTGTTACCTTTTCTTCCTGGCTTGCTTGCTTTGAGCCAAACACAGGTAGTGGGTGGCGGAGAAGATGCACAGCCTGGTTTGCTTTGGCAGGAGAAGTCTCTGAGACTCTTTAGGAATGAGCCTTCTTCTCATTCACGGTTCTTTGGGGCTGAAATATGGTTGCGGGGAGCTTGGGAAATAGGCCCCATCCTCTTCTCCCGATAGAATTGAGCCATCTTTTTCCTAGTTGCTGCCTGCCACCTGTGCTGAAAGGTTAATCTGTTCCTCTTCTCAACTAGTCCATTTATCATAGGGAAGTGGTCTGTTGCAGAAAATATTGATCAAAGGCCTGCCAGGTCCTCTGCTGGGTTGAAATTGAGTGTTGCAGTCAATCAATGGCTTGGCATTTGGTGGAGTGGAGAGAAGGCAGTGGCCTCTGCATGTGGCAAGGCTGATGAATGGAGGGAGGCCATTGGCAGGGAGGTCTTTCTTCCAACTGCCCCTCCTGGTTGGTGTAAAGGGCAGGTGCAACCACTGTAGCTGGTTAGGATTGGGAATCACTGGCGGGTGGTCTTGAGATCCTCAATGTCCTCTCAGATGGGGACAGGCTCTGTGTGTTGGAAAACTGTCTCAACAGAGTCTATGGAAATAATGTCTTGATGTATATGTGATGCTTAGAAAATTAAATTCATTTGAGATGGTAGGAGTGGGTTACACTCTCTACAAGCAAGTTTTTGTTTCCAGAAACCCTGACAAACTCCTTGCACAAATTATGCTGTAATTTAGTATTAATTTTTGCCTCCCATCCCATCAATAATTTCAGTCTCTCCGTCCCTCATTTCCCTCCCTCCCTCCCTTCCTTCCCTCCCTTCCTTCCCTCCCTTGCTTCCCTCCCTCCTTCCTTCCTCCCTTCTTTCCTTCCCTCCCTCCCTGCTTCCTTCCTCCCTTCCCTCCCTCTCTGTTTCCTTCCTCCCTTCCCTCCCTCCCTCCTTCCTTCCTCCCTCCCTCCCCTTCTTCCTTCCTTCCTTCTTCTTCTCCTCCTTCCTGCCTGCCTCCCTCAGTACTTGCCACCAAGTAGCTGCTATGTGCCAGGTACTTTGCTATACTCTAGGAACAGAGAGAATGACTGGAGGCATTGCCTTTCCTTGAGTTTCTCCCATTCTTAGGTGGAGAAAGACTCTTGAATAGGGTATTGTCTTACAATTCACTAAGCTCTCTAGTTGAAGGATGACCAAGGTGAGGCAACTGAGATGAGAAGGCATACCCTGCTAAGGGGAGTAGCATAGCTGGGAGGGCTTCAGAAAGGAGGTGGCTTTGGATCAGTGCCTGAGAAAAGGGCAAGGAATGCATCAAGGAAGTAATGTAGGGTGGAGATGGGAGTGTGCAGATAGATGGAACCACCTAAGTGAAGAAGCCAAAATATAAATTTGGTGTGGCAGGCATAAAGACAATTGGGCCATAGAGGTAAATAAAGCCACTTTATGAAGGTCCGTGTGACAAGCTAAGGGATCATGTAAGTGCAGGGCTTAGCACAATGTTGAAATAAAGGAGGTACTTCAACTATATTTCCTGTAATAATTGGGATTGTTGGTTTTAATGACAGAAAACTCTCTGTATCAGTCAGGAGCTCAGCAGAAAGTAGATGGAACACTCAATTTGGTTAATATGAATAGAGTTTAATAAAGGATCTACTTACAAAACTGTGAAATAGCTGTAAAAAGCCAGCACAGGGATAGTGCAGCACCCCAGAGAACATAACAATGGGGCACCATTACTACACCAAGTCTGAAGTAGCAAGAGAAAGAGCTGTTACTAGATCCATCCCAAAGAGAGAGAAGGGAAAGAGACAGAGAGAGAGGAATGAGAGTAGAAGTGAGAAGCGGGCTGTCTGTGACCTTTGGTTGAGGTCATCTAGCTTACCCTCAGTGATGCCATGGGAATCAAGGAATAAATGGCCTCACTCTCCTCCCTCCCTCCAGGCTCTGCCAGTGCTCCCTGTTGGCCAATCCTGCTGGAAGCCGAACGCCTTGGGGACTGCTAGTGAAGTCATAGCTCAGCTTCCTGGGTAGTGATTCAGTTGAAGTAGGGAAGTATATAAATCCACAAGGCAAACAGGAGATAGGCAGCCCACCAGCTCAAACTGAATTAAGTCAAAGAGTAATTCATCAGGTTATGGGTGTAGAGCTGCTTCAAGCATTGCTTGTTCCAAGTCATCTTGTAGCCCTGCTTATCTTGGAGCTGGCAGAATTTTCAGACAATATAAGATGGCCCAATACCTAGGACATAATCTATATCCAACCAGCTTAGCAACCCAAATAGACAGAAGTCATATCTTTCCTAGAAATTCCAGGACTAGCTTAGGTCCAAGTTGGGTCCTACTTCCACTGGTGAAATGACTCTCACTTAAATATTCTGAGCCTCAGTTATCTCATCCTTAGAAAGAAACAATACTATCTTCATCTAGTGGTGGAAAGGAAGTAGAGAATCATTGTTAAAATTATGGACTTCAGAACCATACTGCCTATATTCAAATCCCAGATCATCCACCTGCAGGCCAGTGGCCTTGGCTGTGTCTTCATTTTTGTAAACCGTACTTTCTACATCCATAAGGTAGGGATGATAATAGTAGCTACTTCATTAAGTTGTTCAACAGCAGATTAGGTAAGACAAAGCATTAGAACTCTTAATAGAATGTCAGAAATCTAGTAAGAGCTTGATAAATGTTGGTTGATGTTTTTGTTCCTATTATTATTATCCACACATAGATTCCATTCCAGTGAGAAAAACCCTTTTCTTTTGAGTTTTCAGAAGGAGGATCCTTCCAGCTATCCTGCAAGAGACTACCCTATGCTGCATTGAGAATAATACTCAGGTATAAATTTCTTTCTTTCTTTTTTTTTTTTTTGAGACAGAGTCTCACTCTGTCACCCAGGCTGGAGTGCAGTGGCACAATCTCGGCTCACTGCAACCTCTGCCTCCCAGGTTCAAGCGATTCTTCTGCCTCAGCCTCCCGATTAGCTGAGACTATAGGCGCCTGCCACCACACCTGGCTACTTTTTGTATTTTTAGTAGAGACAGAGTTTCGCCATGTTGGCGAGGCTAGTCTCGAACTCCTGACCTCAAGTGATCTGCCCACCTCGGTCTCCCAAAGTGCTGGGATTACAGGCATGAGCCACCGCACCCGGCCTCAGGTGTAAATTTCTAAACTCTAGTTATGGGAGGAAACAATGATGTTGATTTGTTTTGCCTCTCTCATCCCACTGCTACCGTCTTCTGTGAACTTATTTCCTGTTGATTCTAACTCTCCCAAGTCATTGAAAAAAATCTTCTCAGCCATAATGGTTGGTTCCTCTTGCCCTGTGTAAGCTAGTGTTTTAGTCTCTTTTGTGTTGCTATCAAGGAATACCTGAGGCTGGGTAATTTATAAAGGAAAGAGGTTTGTTTTGGCTCATGGTTATGCAGGCTATACAAGAAGCATGGTGCTGGCATCTGCTCCTGGTGAGGCTTCAGGAAGCTTCCAATCATAGTAGAAGGCAAAGGGGTAGCTGGCATACCACATGGTGAGAGGGAGAATAAGAGAGAGATGATGAGGTGTCAGCTCCTTTTGAACAACCAGCTTTTGCATGAACTCATTGCCACAGGGACGGCACCAAGCCATTCATGATGGATATGCCTCCGTAACCCAAATCCCTTATATCAGGCCCCAACTTCAAATTGGGGGTCACATTTCAGCATGAGATTTGAAAGGGACAAGGCTTTAAAGCATATCAGGCATGTAGCAGTGACCTGCTGGTCCATCCATAGAGCCCACATTTTCAATGTTCCCTGTTGGAGGTGCATTCTTGATAGCATCTAGTGAGAGCCCAGGTGTATGTGACATTCACACTAGTATCATTAGCGAGAGTGGAGAAGGACTCCGGGGTTGGGCTCCCGCTCTATAATGGACTTTCTTTCTCTGGGAAATGTCCGTGCTGGAAAGAAGGGGAAATAGTTTTTTATTTTATTTTGCTTTGTGAAAGAACCAATTGTCCATGACGTCAAATAAAGGTGAAATACATATTAAAATACTGTGGGTCTGCTAATATCAGTTAGATGAAAAAAATAAAAGCTCCCATAATGCCAGTCCATGCCTCTGAGATTTATAATCATATTACATTGCTTGTAGTTTGGTAACAACAACAACAAAAATATAAGTGTTTAAGTTTAAAATGTGATTCTAAGCAGTAATGTGTATTGTAAAAAATAAATAAATAAACAAACAAACAAACAAACAAATCTCTCAAGCAGAAATCGTGGGGCCAGATTCCATTCTGCATCCATCTAACTCCATGCCGAGACATTATAGTCCCCTCAAGACTCAGTTCTTCCAACCATAAGATTTGGGGATGAGGCTTGGCACAGTCTAGAGACCACCCCAGCATCTACATTGCTTCTCCTATTATGGTTTGTTTGCTGAGAATGTTCAATAGGATTTTTTAACTTGAAGAGTAAAGTGATGGATGAAGCCAGCTGAAAGCTTTGCAAACCCACCTTGCTTCTGTAACTTTTTAAAGCTCTAATGCTTACCAGTTGCAAAAAGGTGGCTGCCCACCATTGCTCCAGAAAGGGTAATATATTGAGCTGGGCTTGTTTTTCCCACACAGATGTAGGTAGGGTGGAAGCTGCTTTTAAGTCCCTGCCTCATCAGCAGCCCAAGCCCAGCCTTCAGCTCACTCTCAGAGATGGAGTGTATGATCTCCCTAGGTTATAGAAAGGTGACCCACACAGAGCCCAGCTAGGTGTGGATTGAATCATGGAGTAGATGGGTGTCAATACTGTTAGAAGGTCAGTTGGTCATTGGATGCTGCTGAGAGTGAAAGGTCCTACCCAATGCCAGTGCTCTCAGAAAAACCCACAGCAATGAAGTCTGGAGAGCTGGGGGCAGTGACTCAGCCCTACTTAGCCCTGGCCTTGGACAGCCCTTCCTTGAGAGATGGTTGGGTGGCATGGGCTGAAGGCTCTTTCCCCTCCATGGAAACATTCCATGTCTTGCTTGTTTTCCCCCTTCTGAGTTCTACTTACCTCTGCCTCTGAATTAGTTTCCTATTGTTGCTATTATACATTAGCTCAAACTTACTGGCTTAAAACAACATAAATGTATTGCCTTGTAGTTCTGGAAGTCAGAAATCCAAAAGGGTTCTCAGTGGGCTAAATCAAGCTGTTGACAGGATTGCATTCCTTCTGACAATTTTTGGGGAAAATCTGTTTCCTTGCCTTTTCTAGCTTCTAGAGGCAACCTGTTTCCTTGGCTCATGGCCCCTTCCTCCATTTAAAAGCCAGCAGTGGCATCATTTTGACCTCTGCTTCTATCAACAGCCTCTGACCCCTCTGTCTTCCTCTTATAATAAAGATCCTGGTGATTACATGGGGCCCACTCAGATAATCCAGGCTAATCTCCCCATCTCAACATCTTTGACTTAATCACATTTACAAAGTCCCATTTCCATGTACAGTAACCTATTTACAGGTTGCAGGGATTCAAAGATGGACATCTTTGGGGGATCATTATTCTGCCAACTGGAGTAGCCCTCATCCCAGTCTTTTCTGTTTGTCACCTATCCCCAATCCTGGAAACTTCTATTACTCTCGGAGAAAAAGAGATTTTATGGATCTTTTAGTCTTCCAAAAGCTCCAGGCTTCTGGTTTTTGATCTAAAAGCATTTTTCTCTGCTTTTTCTGCTCTGAAACCCTTCCCTGAGGCTACTGATGCCTCACAGTCTAAGTTTAAAAACAATGACAGGCAAATAATTACCGGGAACAGAAAGGGTGTGAATACATGCATTACCATATTATCCCAACAAGAAAAAAGTCCATCAGTCAGTGACTCATATTGCCTACTTCTCATTTGCTTCTCTGCTGGAAAGAGAAGGAGATTGGGGTCTAGAAGTTCATGTTGACAGTTCTTGCAGCAGTCCAGGATACTTAAGTCACAACCACTGCACAATGCCGCCTGCTTCACGCCAGACCATATGGTGAAAGCTTAAGATGCAATCATAAATAGTAGGGGGCTTTGCCTCAGAAAAAGCTGAAACCATAGTGGGCTAGCACTAATATTTGTGTGTGTGTGTGTGTGTGTGTGTATATATATATATATATATATATATATATATATATATATATGTATGTATATTTTAATGAGATACATGTTTCCAAATTTAAAAATACAAAAAGATATGCAAGTGAAGAAAGAATAAGTCTTCCTTTAATTCTTATCTTCCAGTCCTAGTTAATTACCTTCCCATTAAATACAATACCTTTTTGCCCTTTCTAAAATAATAAACACTTTCAAAGCAAATTGAACAGGTAAACAAGATTAAAAGGAGGTGTTTAATGTTCTGTCTTCATTATGCTCTATTTTATCAATGCTGAGCAAAGAATGACCAAGCAGAAAGCCAGCTGCTATACTACTTGGTCAAGCCAAAGAAAAGCACAGGTAAGCCATCAAATTCAAGCCCAAAGGAATAAAAGATGAGGTCTGTTAATCAGGATATACTAACTGCTGTAACAAGTAATTCAGAAATCTTAGTTGCTAAACAAAATAAGTTTATTTTTCATAGCACATGTTCATCAGCAGAAGGAAGTGCTCCACACAGTCCTTCAGAAACTCAGGTGTCTTCCATATTGTAGCTTTTTCTTCCTCTAGGTCCTTTGGAATCCTCCTACTTTGGCAGCAGGTTTCCCCAGAGTATGTGGATGTTTACATGGAAGGAGTCTATAGGGAGGTCAAAACACAGTATGCATCATTTCTGCCCACTTTCTCTGGAACATATTTTAGTCTCAGGGACCTAGCTAACTGTAAGAAAGGCTGAAAAGTGGAATCTAGCTGTGTGCCCAGAAAGAAAATGTACGAGGATGAACACAGAAATTCATGGATCCTGTTGAGGAGCAAATCCTGTGAGAGCAAATAGCAGGTGAAAAGTTTAAATGGAGTCTATTGCTGAGGCTGCAGCTATGGGGAACACAAGCAAATTCTACACATGCTTTGTAATTTCCATCCTAGGTCCCATAGAATCAATTCTTCACACAGTGATAAGTTAAAAATGTGAATTTGACCATGTTTTTCTCCCAAGTTAGTACCCAGCTCACTAGTCTCTTATGCTTATATATTGTGGGTGTTCAATGGTATCAGCACTTTGGAAAACAGTTTGGCAATTACTTATTAATTAAACCTACACTTACCATATTGCACAGCAATTCCACTCCTAGATATTTACCCAAAATAAATGAAAACATATGTTCATAAAAAGACCTATAGTGAAGGTTCTTAGCAGCAATATTCATAAAAGCCCAAATCTCAAATACCTATCAACAAATACATGGAACAACAATTTTTGAAATATCTATGGCATAAAATACTCCTTAGAATAAAAAAGAACTCAAACTGATATACACAACATGATGTATGTCAAAAACATTATGTTGAGTTTAAAAGAAGCCAGTACCAACAGGATATACACTGTATCATTTATCGGAATATCTAGAAAATGCAAACTAATCTATGGGGACAGAAAGCAGATCTGTGGTTGCCTAGGTGGAATGGGATTGACTGCAAAATGGTTCAGGGGGACATTCTGGAGTGATGGAAATATTCTATATCTTGAGTGGTAGTTATGGAGGTGTGGTCATTTACCAAACTCATTAAACTATATGCTTAAAAGGGGAGCATTTTATTGTATGCAAATTATGCCTCAATAAAGATGACTTTAAAATATTTTTTAACTCTCCTCATTTTTTAAGTCTCATTCAGAATAAATTCCAAAGTCGTCACCACGGCTCCACAAATCCCTTTCCTCTCTTGCCCCTCTTCCCCTTGCTTCCCATGCCCAGACACACTGGCCTGCTCTTCCTCACACACACCACGCCTTCTCCCACATGCACTGATGCTCCCAATTCCTTCTACGTGGACACCTAATTCCCTAGATGTCTTCCTGGCTCCTGGCCTTGCTGCACCCAGGTCTCTGCTCAAATGTGGCCTCCTCAGAGAACCTCCCCTGATCTCCCCTTTCCATCCCTCACAATATCTTTATTTTAATTTTCCTTCTTGTAGCTGATCATTACCTGAAATTATGCCGTAAGTCATTTATTGCTGGAAAGGAAGTTTTGAGGGCAGGAATTTTGCTCAGCCATCTCCATAGAGTCAACGCCTATTATAGTGCCTAGTATGCAATAGCTTCTTAGCAAACGTGTGTTTAATTTACAAGAATATATTTGTGTGTCTGTATACATATATCTATAGACACATACACATATATATACACACACGTATTAATATATACACACATATATCCACAGGTACATATTACATAAAGCACTAAATGCTATGAAGAAAAATAAAGCAGGGTGTGAACATAGGGAGTGATGTGTGTGTGTGTAAAGGGGGATATTTTGGATGGTGTAGTCAATGAAAATATCTCCAAGAAGGTGAGTTTTGAACACATACATAAATATAATGAGGGAGCAAATTATGCAGATAGCTGAGTGAGAGCATTCTGGCAGAGGGAACAGCAGGGGCAAAGGCCCTGGGGTTGCCACTTGCCTGAGGTATACAGTAACAATAGTGAGACCAGTGTGTCTGGAAAACACAAGATGCAACACCCCCCCATCCATAGTAATATTTTCTACCACTGCATCCGATTCCTTTCCACTGTCACACTTTTGACCATTTGAAATTATACACATATTTAAAGTTATGGATTGCTTGTCTCTTCCCCAAGACTGTAAGTTCCATGAAGGAAACCCCATGTCCATTTTATTCAACAGGATATATCTGCACCTATCATTAAACACCTCCTTTTAATCTTGTTTACCTGTTTCATTTGCTTTGAAAGTGTTTATTATTTTAGAAAGGGCAAAAAGGTATTGTATTTAATGGGAAAGTAATTAACTAGGACCAGAAGATAAGAATGAAAGGAAGGCTTATTCTTTCTTCACTTGTATATTCTTTTGTATTTTTAAAATTTTGAAACATGTATTTCTTTAAAATATACATATGTACAGCTCCTGGAACAGAGTAGGTGCAAACTGAAGCATGTATTGAAGGCATCAATTATGTAATGAAAGAATGAGAGGCAGAGAAGAGGAGAAAAGCACCAAGTTGGCCCTGGGCAAGGAACTCTCAGATTCAAGGCTCCAAATGAGAATACTGGTGTTATGCTGGAGGCAGGGTCAATTTGAAATCTTGTGACAGAGGGGGCAGTAGGAATCAGGCAACCTCCTGGTTTTGTCAGACAGTTTGGGTAGATGGCAAACAAATCCACTTCCCTCTCATCTCAGAAGCATGGCTTCTGTGGACACCACGGGTTCTGCTGTTCACCTGATCTTATTTGGTTACACGGGGGACAGCTGAGAAGATTTTTAAAGTAATTTATGAATCCTTGATGCATTTTTCTGAGAGACAAATACACCATCCTACTTCTGACACCTGTATTCCTAGCACTAGAACTTTCTTACCTGAAGAATTATTTTCCTGATGGCCAAAAAGTAACAGTGTGTTACTATAAAACATACAGACACAGACAGACAGACAGACAGACACACATATCACCCATAATTCACCAAACACATATATCACCCATAATTCACCAATTGAAAGACAACCATCATTTATATTTTGTTGTATTCTAGTCCAGCTTTTTGGTATATTGAAAATGCATAATTTTTTAGCAATGTAAACATCATACTATAAATGCTATTTTGTAACAAGTTTAAATACAGCAACTAATTTTAATGATTTCTCTTGTCATTGAGTAGTCCACTAAAACTCAAATTTTGAGGCTACTTTGAAAGGAGGTACTGTAATTTTATCTCACCCTGGTATTGAGCATTAAGATTTTTTATGGTTGTTGTTGTGCTTATACAGAGCTGCAAGAGAAGTCTATGTGCGTATCTTTTTTGTCACCATCTGTGAATTTCTCACCTGGGGATATGTTCTGAGAGATTTGCTGGATGAGAGGAGGAGAAGAATTATATGTGTCGTTGATGTGCTGCCATTTTATCCTCCAGAAATGCTGGATCCCCCTTCCACCAAGTGTGCATAAATTTCTCCTACGTCCAAATCTTTTGCAAATGTATTACCTTTTTATTTCTTAATTACTTACACCAGGGCTAGTCATTGAATGATTTATTTGTTAACCAACATTGTCATTTTTATCGACACGATGCATGAATGAGAAGACAGATGAGAAGAGTCAACGACAAAAAAGCTAACATCTCCCACCCCACTCTTCTGCATCCCAAGTTCAATGACCCATGGATGCCTCTTAAATCATCAAGATTTTATTTCTTCTGATGATTACTTCCATACAATGGGATGATATACAGCACTTCTATTTATTAGAAAATAGTTATCCTCTCCTCGATACTAAATGGTACTGCTTATATCATTTACGATACATCATCTTCTTCCCCTCCGGTGCTTCCTATATTTCATAGTTATATATTCCTTCTTATTCTTCTGTTGGCCACATTTTTGAAATTTTTGCTGTGAAATAATCCCAAATTTACAGAAAAGTTATAGACCCACTAAAGGAATGTCTGTATATTCTTCACCCAGATTCCCCAAACAACATTCTCATTCTTTCTAACAATATAAATTTAAACATGCATATAGATACAGATGAGGATATATATATACTAATAAATAATAGTTATATATATACTAATAATTTAAAGTTATGTATATGTAAAGTTATATATAAATATAATTTAAAGTTATATATGTAGTAAGAAATAATAGTTTATATATATATATATATATAAACTATTATTCTGAAGTGTTTGAATTGAGTTGCAAATACGATGCTCCATTACTTCTAAACACATCTGTGTGTACTTCATGAGAATCAGGACATGCTCTTATACAACCACAGTACAATGATCAAAATCAAGAAATTACATTGACACAATACTCTTATCTAATCTACAGCCCTTATTCAAACCTTTCCAATTGCCCACTACTGTCTTTTATACTACAACCAAAAAAATAATTAGCTGTCTTTTAAATTTTGAATGTTAAATACAGATCACCATCTCCAGGTTCATTTGCTTTATTCATGTCATCTTTTATATCCCTTAATAAATGTAGTACATTTCTTATTGTAGGTCTCGTATAATGCTGGTTAAGTGTATTCCTAGACATTTTAATTTGTTTTTGCTGATATTATTGTAAATGGTATCTATTAATTTTTCATAATGTACCTTACTGAACTCTTAATATTAGTTCAAAGTCTGTTTTACCCAATTTTCTAAGTAGACAGCCATATTATCTGCAAATAATAATTATTGCATTGCTTCCTGTCTAAAAATTTAACTTAATCCTTTATCTGTCCTTCTGCACTGGCCATAATGTCCAGACTATAAACTGTTCTTATTTATTTTCTCAATTTTTAAATTTAGAATGACTACAGAATCACAGGAAATTGCAAAGAACTGTACAAGGATGCCCTGTGCATACTTGACCTTGCCTTGCCCACATTGCCGTCTTCCCTAACTGTAGGACAGTAACAAAATCAGGAAATCAGCATTGGCATAATCCATAGAGTTAGGCATATTTTACCATTAACACATGCACTCACACACACATGTGAATATGTGTGTGTGTGGCTCTATGCATAGACGGAGTCTTACTCTGTCGACCAGGCTGGAGTACAATGGTGTGATCTCGGCTCACTGCAACCTCTGCCCCTGCATTTCAAGTGATTCTCCTGCCTCAGCCTCCTGAGTAGCTGTGATTACAGGCGCCTGCCACCAAGCCCAGCTAATTTTTGTATTTTTAGTAGAGACGGGACTTCACCATACTGGTCAGTCTGGTCTCAAACTCCTGACCTCAGGTGATCCACCCACCTCAGCCTCCCAAAGTGCTGGGTTTACAGGTGTGAGCCACTGCACCCGGCAGGTTCTATGCAATTTTATGTGTGTAGCTTCATATGACTAACTCTGTAATCCATTTTCTTTTTTAAATAAAGAAAAGGAAAGCAGAAATTAAGCCAGAGACCCTTCCAAAGATATATCAAAACATCTTATGAGGTGTACAACCAGCCCCAGAAATTTAGAAAATCTTGAGTTAAATACGTGCAGTTTTTTGATAAGTAAATTTTTTCCTAAATTAATGCAAACTTATGAATAAACTCATCCAGCCACAGTCTAAGACATAAAAAGCAAAATAATGCCATCTTATCAACAATGCAAATTAACGTGTAGAATTGGGTCAATTTTACTGAGCAATTTCCAAGGAAAGAAAAGCAAGAAGTAAAGGGCATTTGGGAGAGCTTCCTCTGAACTAAGGAAGATGAATTGTTATTTCCACTTCTGCTATGGGTTTCTGATTCTTACTCATCAGTCCTGTCTCTCATTCTCCCAGCTTTTTCATCCTAATCTTCCAATCCTGTGAGACAGTATGTAAAAGACACAGAGTCACCTATGAAACATTCTGGGCAAAAAATGTTTAAGTTTTTAATTTTAATTTTCAGTTTCTAAGAAATACAAAGAACAGAGGAACAAGTTAAAGACTCCCACAAGGAAGTATGTAGAGAAATCCAAAATGTAGTTCATGTTATAAGATAAGAGGGAGAGATGCTGTTCCAGATTAAAAGGAAAATAAAAACCAAATGGGAACTGTCACAGCTAAGAGGAGTCTAAGGGGACATGATGACTAAATGTAATGTAGGATCCTGGGTAAGACCACAGGACAGAAAAAGGACATTAGGTAAAAACCAACAAAATCTAAATGAAAAATTGACTTTAGCCAATAATAATGCATGAATGCATCAATATTGGTTCAATAACTGTGACGAAAGTTCCATACTAATGCAGGATGTTAATAATAGGGGAGGCCAGGCGCAATGGCTCACACCTGTAATCCCAGTACTTTGGGAGGCCGAGGCAGGTGGATCACCTGAGGTCAGGAGTTCAAGACCAGCCTGGCCAACATGGTGAAACCCTGTCTCTACTAAAATACAAAAATTAGCTGGGTGTGGTGGCGTGTGCCTGTAATCCCAGCTACTTAAGAGGCTGAGGCACGAGAATCTCTTGAACCTGAGAGGTGGAGGTTGCAGTGAGCCGAGATCGTGCCACTGCACTCCAGCCTGGGCAACAGAGTGAGACTCTGTCTCAAATCATCATCATCATCATCATCATCATCATCATCATCATCATAGGGGAAACTGGGTATGTGGTATATGAGACCTCTTATGCTATCAATTATTTCTGTAACTCTAAAACTATTCTAAAATAAAAAGGTTATTCAAGAACAAATGTAGATACTTGGAAGATTTTTTTAACGTGAACTGGATGTTAAATAATATTAGAGCATAGGTATTATTAGATGGGAAAAATCTGTTGAGTTATAAGGATAATGCCCTTACTTTTTGGCAATTTGTGCTGTAAGTATTTAAGGATAAAGTGGCTTGGTATATGAACTTACTTTAAAATGATTCAGCCCAACTCCTGGGGAATGACTGTCTGTGAAAACCTATTAGGTTAAAAGCTGTCAGGGACTTTA
Source organism: Homo sapiens (assembly GCF_000001405.40). Lineage (NCBI taxonomy): Eukaryota > Metazoa > Chordata > Mammalia > Primates > Hominidae > Homo > Homo sapiens. The sequence continues at coordinate 26,591,731 of NC_000016.10, forward strand.
CAATGGGTAGATTAAATGATGCAACACCGGAACCTACTTAATATCACAAAAGGAGACAACCAGACATTATGACCCTCCTAATGGAACCACACGGACGCTGCTTATAAAATACTCTGGCCCAAAATCAGATGTGGATCTGATGAAGGCTCAATAGCTAAATCCCAGTTTACAGGAGATAAAAGGAAAGGAATAACATGTTAAATAGCACCAAAAGTCTAACTCTGCAAAATTTCAAAAGTGGGGAAATTGTACAGGAGAAACAATGCAGATTTTTCAACAAATATATTGCACTAGGGGAAACAAAATAATAACAAACAGAAAAACAAGAAGACAAAACCCAGGGACTTAAACAATTATCAACCAAATTCACTGTGGAGATTTTTGTTTTAATCCCCATTATAAGACAGCAATTATAAAAACAAAAGAGAGAGAGAGAGGGAGAGGAAGAGCAGGAATCAAGAAATTTACACACTGACTAGGTATTTGGTGATATTCAGAAAGTGTTCATTATTTCAGATGTGAAAGTGACATTATGATTATATAAATAAATAAATAAATAAATAAATAAATATATATATATATATATATATATATATATAGAGAGAGAGAGAGAGAGAGAGAGAGAGAGAGAGAGAGAGAGAGAGAGAGAGAGAAAGACGGAGTCTCGCTCTGTCCCCCAGGCTGGAGTGCAGTGGCTGGAACTCGGCTTACTGCAAGCTCCGCCTCCCTGGTTCATGCCATTCTCCTGCCTCCAATTAGCTGGAACTACAGGCACCCGCCACCATGCTTGGCTAATTTTTTGTATTTTTAGTAGAGATGAGGTTTCACTGTGTTAGCCAGGATGGTCTTGATCTCCTGACCTCCTGATCTGCCCTCCTCAGCCTCCCAGAGTGCTGGAATTACAGGCGTGAGTCACCACGCCTGGTCATGATTGTATTTTTAAAAGAGTCCTTATCGTTCAGAGAGACAGACTGAAATATTTACAGATAAATATCTGGGATTTGCTTCAGAAAGAATCCAGAGCTGGGGAAGAATAGGCATGGAATGACTGAGAGAACAAATGAAATGAGATTGTCCACACATTGAAGATATTGAAGCTGGAATGGATCCACTTTACCAGTCTCTCTGCTTTAATATATAGTTGATATTTTACAAAATAAAATGCTTAAACAATGGCTAAGCAAATAAAAATATGGGCCAAATAAAAGCTAAACATTAAAAAGTTGTTGAATCCAGTTGTTCAATTATAGGTATACCATATTCAATAGTACTATCCTTTCTAATTTTCTGCATGTTTGATAATTTTCATAAAATATTAAAATGAATGACTGCATGACTGAATAAATAAAATAATGCAAAATTCAGGAAAGCAGCATCCTGCAGAGAGAAGGGGCAAGATGGAATTAGAAAGAAACACACAAAGCTACTAAGCTATAGCTAAAATTATATTTCTTATAAACGATGGTGAACTCACAGATGTTCATTTTATTAATGGCTCATAAACTATGAATGCATGCTCTATTCAACTTTATGTATGACACAAAAAGAAATGACAAGAGTCATCTTTTTTTTAAGGTTATAGATGCTTTGAGATCCTCTCTGCAAAATCTTTGCCTTGGCACTTGGCTCCTGGGGAGTCTCATTTATGTGTCCCACCATAAATCATGGCTAGCTTAGAGACTAGAAGTGGGAACTGACCACATCTCTACCTGCTTTCCTGGAAGAAGATGAAGCAGAGTTATCAGCCGTGGGAGTCAAAGAGAACTAACTAAAGAAAGGAATAAATATCACAGACATGTCAAACTCCAGTTTGTGATTTGTCCTTCCTTCTTTTCTTTCTTCCTTCCTCCCCTTTCCCTCTTTTTCTCTTTCTCTCCTCTTTCTTCTAAGATGAAGTTAAATTTTAAAAGTCTCCACTAGCTTTCCATCCTCCTAAGAGAAAAGGTTCAACCCTTATTCATTTCGAGGTATTTGACAAGAACAAGGCTTTCATATAAAGTGTTAAAATAACCTGCGAGCAGGGTAGCCCCTCTTGGGGTGCTTAAGTAGAAACGATTTGACCCAGAGAATGTGACCCACCAGGAGGTTGAAGTAGGTCAGCCATAGAGGAGACAGCAAGGGACAGAGAGACACAGGACGTCAGAGAGCCAGATAGCTCTGTCTCACGATATAAATGAGTGCCTGCCAGAATGACGTTTCTTTAGGCTTGCTGTGTGACTTCTGACCAGTAACTACTCCTCTCTAAGCAGCAATTTTCACTCCAGTAAAATGGACTTAGTCAGTGGCTGCCAACTGCAGGGGCCAGGTAGAGAAAGTAAAGGAGCAAAGTGAGCTAGGGCTGGGGGTGAGGGAGGGAAGGGGTCTGAACTAGAGAACAGTATGTGCACCTGATCTAACTGAAAGTCAGGACTCAGCTCCAGGTGGGAATGAAGCCCCCCCTTTTAGTCAGAGCACCCATTTCTTTCTGAACAACATGAAAGTCTGATATTTGAAAGTGCAGTCTCCCTATTTTCAAATGCTGACAATAAATTCAATCTAAAAAGGAAAGAGAAGCAACAATCAAAGAAAAAGCAACCATAAACCCATTGTGCAGCTCCGAACTAAAGTTATCTGGGAGTTGAAGGTGGGATAGTATCTTCAAATACCATCTAATACAGAGATTAGATCTCTGTATTAGATGGTATCTGAAGAACCTCTGAAGTGTTAACAGTCTATGTTAAAAGTCTGACTTAGGGGTTAGGAAGATATACTTCAGATTCAGAAAGAACTGTGTTCAAGCCCATTTCAAGCTCTTTCTCTTTCTGCATCTGTGATATTGGGCAAGTTTCTTAACCTCTCTTAGTTTCAGCATCCTCCCCTGATATTGTGCATCTGCAAGTTCAGAATGAGAAACCCCCAGCCCTAGCTCACTTTGCACAAAATGTAACCCCCCGTGCCTACCACAGTCCTCAATAAATGACAATCATCATAATTCTCTACCTTCACCAGTATATGATAGCTGCATACTTTTACATCCGGATGACTCGAAGCAAATAAATAATTGGATGAACTTCTGGTTGCTTGGGTTTCCCAGGAACACAGCAGGAAATTCCACTGGGGAAGCATCAGACAAGACACCGATGACGCAGAAAGGCTTCATGTCAGCCACTGCAGGCAACGGGCTGCTCTTGAGTTCATCTCCTGGATCTCTAAGTCTGGGGACCTTGTGGGTAAAAAATGAAACTGATGCCCACAACTAAACTAAGATTAAATCAAAAGCAATTCAATATTTTATTTTGAAAGCTGTGTTTTAAGTATTTCTTTCTTGTGTAGTAATTTTAGATTTATCAAATGGCTTTAAAGATAGTTCGGGAGGTTCCTATATACCCTCGCCAAGTTTTCCCAGTTAAAAAAATTTTTAAGGAGAAACGATTTGACCCAGAGAATTTTACTTGAGATGGGATCTCACTATGTTGCCCAGGCTGGTCTCTAACTCCTGAGCTCAAGTATTCCTCCCACCTCAGCCACCCAAAGTGCTGGGATTTGTTAACACAAACTAAATATGGACTCTGTACTTCTATATTTGAGTCCTTGTGGACAAACTGCAACCTAACTTAATAGGTAGACAAAATTGAAAACCGAACATAGGAGTACACACCTGTAACAACAGCTGAGTCGTGGCCAATCCCAGGAGCTATACTTCAACCACTCATACACCGATGAGTGTTGAAGCTGTGTTCAAATGAGGCAAACGCCAACCTGTAACCAATCCAGCTGTTCTGTACCTCACTTCTGATTTGTGTACATCATTTCCCCCCACTTTCTTTTTTTGAGACAGAGTCTTGCTCTGTTTCCCAGGCTGGAGTGTAGTGGCATGATCTCTGCTCACTGCAAGCTCTGCCTCCCGGGTTCACGCCATTCTCCTGCCTCAGCCTCCTGAGTAGCTGGGACTACAGGCGCCTGCCACAACGCCCGGCTGATTTTTTGTATTTTTAGTAGATGTGTGGTTTCACCGTGTTAGCCAGGATGGTCTCGATCTCCTGACCTCTTGATCCACCCGCCTCAGCCTCCCAAAGTGCTGGGATTAGAGGCGTGAGCCACCGCGCCTGGCCCTCTTTTTTTGTCTATAAATCTTCCACTACATGGCTGTGCTGGAGTCTCTTTGAATCAGCTGTGATTCTGGGGGATATCCGATCCCTGAATCGTTCATTGCTCAACTAAACTCCTTTACATTCAATTTGCCTGAAGTTTTTCTTTTTTTTTTTTTCCTTCAGATCGAGTCTCACACTGTCGCCTGGGCTAGAGTGCAATGGCATGATCTCAGCTCACTGCAACCTCCGCCTCCCAGTTCAAGCAATTCTCCTGCCTCAGCTCCCGAGTAGCTGGGATTACAGGTGTCCACAACCATGCCTGGCTAATTTTTTATATTTTCAGTAGAGACGAGATTTCACCATGTTGGCCAGGCTGGAGTGCAAAGGTCAGGTCTCAAACTACTGACCTCAGGTGATCCGCCCACCTTGGCCTCCCAAAGTGCTGGGATTACAGGCGTGGGCCACAGCACTTGGCTGAAGTTTTTCCTTTATCAGATGACAGGCATGAGCCAGTAGTTTTGCCCAGCCATTTTCTCCTCTTGTTAACATCTCACATAACCTGAGTAAATTTGTCACAACTGAAAAACCAACATTCTTACATTATTATTAACTAAATTCTGGACTTAATTACAATTTCATCTGTCTTTCCATGTATGTCCTCTTTCTGTTCCACCATCTGATCCAAGGTATCACATTGCATTTAGTTGTAGCATCTCCCCAGTCTCCTCTGATGTGTCCATTTCTCAGTCTTTCCTTGGTTTTCATGACCCTGGAAGTCCTAGTGGGGATACTGGCCAGGTATTTTGTAGAATGTCCTCCACTCTGGGTTTCTCTGGTGGACTTCTCATGAGTAGACTGGAGTTTGGGTTTGGGGGAAGAACACCACAAAACTGAAGCATCTTCCTCTTCACATCTTTTTTTTTTTTTTTTTTTTTTTTTTTTTTTTTTTTTTAAGACGGAGTCTCGCTCTGTCGCCCAGGCCGGACTGCGGACTGCAGTGGCGCAATCTCGGCTCACTGCAAGCTCCGCTTCCCGGGTTCACGCCATTCTCCTGCCTCAGCCTCCCGAGTAGCTGGGACTACAGGCGCCCGCCACCGCGCCCGGCTAATTTTTTGTATTTTTTTTTAGTAGAGACGGGGTTTCACCTTGTTAGCCAGGATGGTCTCGATCTCCTGACCTCATGATCCACCCGCCTCGGCCTCCCAAAGTGCTGGGATTACAGGCGTGAGCCACCGCGCCCGGCCCCTCTTCACATCTTATCCAAGGCTGCATGAGAGCCACCAGGCTTCCTCAGTGAGGTTGGCATTCATCACTTGGGTAGCATTTGCCAGGTTTCGCCACTTGCTTTTTTTTTTTTTATTTTGAGATGGGATCTCACTCTGTCACCCAGGCTGGAGTGCAATGGTGCTATCTCGGCTCACTGCAACCTCCACCTCCCAGGTTCAAGCGATTCTCCTGCCTCAGCCTCCTGAGTAGCTGGGATTACAGGCATGTGCAACCACGCCTGGCTAATTTTTGTATTTTTAGTAGAGACTGGGTTTCACCATGTTGATCAGGCTGGTCTCCAACTCCTGACCTGTGACCCACCCACCTCGGCCTCCCAAAGTGCTGGGATTACAGGCGTGAGCCACCATGCCCAGCCTCCACTTTCTAATTAGTGTATTTTCCCTTCTCATACTTTATTCTTTGGAAGCAAACCACTAAGTCAAGCCCACTTTTTGTGGGACGTGGGAGGTGATGAGGAAGATTAAGTAGCTCCTCCCAGAGTGGGAGTGCCTACACATATTAAATGTAAGCAGCAACTGGCCGGATGCTGGGGCTCATGCCTGCAATCCCAGCATTTGGGGAAGCTTTGGAAGGATTGCTCAAGGCCAGGAGTTTGAGACCTGTCTGGGCAACATAATGAGACCCCATCTCTACTAAAAAAATTTAAAATTATCTGGGCATGGTGACATGTGACTGTCATCCCAGCTACTCAGGAGGCTGAGGCAGGAGGATTGCTTGAGCCCAGGAGTTGGACGCTGCAGTGAGCCATGATTGTGCCACTGCACTCTAGTCTGGGTGACACTGCAAGACCCTGCCTCAAAAAATAAATAAATAAATATATATATATATATACACACACACACACACACACATATATATATAATGATCTTTCATTCTTGTGTGGTACTGTACCCCTACTTTACAAAAGTGGAAATGGAGGCCCAGCAAGGTTAAATGACTTGCCCACAGTGGCTACATTTATAGATAACAACGCTTAGGTTCAAACCTCCATCTCTCTGCCCGCAAAGCCCATCTTCTTAGTCCTGCATGGGATGCCAGACTCCACCAGCACTGCCTCCGCCCCTCTGCCTCTGGTTATCTCCACAGGAAACCATGAGTCTTTGATGATCTCATCTTTGCCATCTCCTTCAGGTCTGAAATGGTTGGTTTCTACCATCTATGGCATGAGTTAAATCACTGACGTAGAAGAACAACCTGGCCCAGTCTTTCTCAGAATTGCTGTGCCCTCGTGGTCACCAAAACTGAGTCAGGAGTGAGTCATACTTATTTCCAGGTACTGGTGAAATCTTGTGGGGGCAACTGTCATCACAGCCTCTTAACAGCTCAGCAAGGTGCAAACTTACTTACGCAAGCCTCTGGCACTCTAGAAAGTAAAATGCACAAGAAAGGATAGAAACACTTGTTTTTTTTACTACCTGGAATTCAGAAAAACAGCCGTGTTTTTCTAGACTCTTGACTTTCCAATGGAGGCACATTTATAACTCATTACTTTTCACAATACTCTACATTGAAAATACATCTACTGATCAGGACTCTATGATAACCTGGGGTTAAAAATCCAACGTAAGTTGACTGTAGCAAGAAACATAAGGTAGCATTCAGTTCATTTAAGTGAAAAGTCTAGTTTAGTTGTTACAGGAATGGCTTGACCCTGGAACTCAAAAAAACATTGTTAGAATTCTTCCTTCTTATTTGTAAATTTCTACTCTTCTGTGTTGGCATCAGTCTCAGACACCCTTTCTCCAAGGTGACATGGCATCTTCCAGCTGCTCTAGGCTTAGAGCTTTTCAGCACAAAAGTATCAGTAGAAAAATAAATGTCTCTGTGCTAATTGTTCTAGCAAAAGTTTCAGTTCTAACTCTGATTGGCCATAAGTGTGGTCATGAACTATATCAATTATCTACTGCCACAGAAAGAGTGAGCAACAAAGCCTCAGTGGTATATAAAAATAAATGTGTTCCTCATGCAGCTGGGGTCATTGGGGGCCCACTGGTGGCTTTGCTGATCTTGGATGGTCTTGCTCACATACCTGGGAGTTGGTTGGCTACCGGTTGAGGAGACTGGAGTGAGTTGGCTCTGCTCCACACGTTTTTCCTTCTCCAGCAGGCATGTTCCCATGGTGAATGCATAACTGTAACAGATCCATTGCCAGATGTGTTCTGCAAGTCAACACCCCAAGACACCAGGTTGCAGCAGAGAAAGAGGTTTAATCGTAGGCTACCAAACAACAAGATAGGAGGAAACCTCAAGTCCATTTCTGAGGGATTTGGGGTAAGCGTTTTTAAGGGTTTTGGAGTAGGCTAAAATGTGGAGCTCATTGATTGGTCAAAGAGTACAGGGCGAAGTCATTGGACAGGGGGATGAAAGAAGCTGTATTCATGTGTCGATTTGGTTCCTCCCTGGGAATCTTCGAACTGGTGGGCTTCAGCTATTCCACTGGAATTCAGGACCTGAAAAACATCTAAAGTGATCTTTAAACAAAAGCCTTATGATTCTAATGCCAGAGATCCTGTCTATAGGAACAATGGGTATGCAAATCAATTCTTAAACAGCCTGTGACTCTCATGTCAGAGATCCTGTCTATAGGAATGATAGGAATGCAATGGTCAGTATCTAGTGCTGTGACTTTAATAACAAGGAAATGGGTAAGAGTGCAGCCTAATGAATGCTGAATTATATTTCTCTCCAGAACCCAGCATGCAATTTTTGTCACTCCTATGGAGATGGTAGGGATGATATCAATAGCAAAGCACAACAGTAGCCAGTGGAAACTCACCAGGCAGGTCTCAGCACCACAGTGACTCACCCCCACTTCCACTGCATCTGATTGGCAACTCCAGTGTCAAGGATGGAGAAACGGGCTTCCTCCTTTTTAGTGAGAGGAATGCAACAGCATGCATGCGGGGAGCAGGGTGAAGAATTAATGTCACAGATGCAATCCATCTCACCCACTAGCCCTTACAGAATGAAAGTGAGGCAGACATGAGCTGTGTGCCCTCCTGAGTTGGGATATGAGAAGTAATTTTTTTTTTTTTTTTTTTTGAGATGGACTCTTGCTCTTTCATCCAGGCTGGAGTGCAGTGGCACAATCTTGGTTCACTGCAACCTCTGCCACCTGGGTTCAAGCCATTCTTCTGTCTCAGCCTCCTGAGTAACTTGGATTACAGGTGCGTGCCACCACACCTGGCTAATTTTTGTATTTTTAGTAGAGGTGGGGTTTCACCATGTTGATCAGGCTGGTCTCAAACTCCTGACCTTGTGATCCACCCGCCTCAGCCTCTCAAAGTGCTGAGATTACAGGCGTGAGCCACCGTGCCTGGCCAAGAAGTGACTTCTTGTGGGAGGATGAGTGGAGTAGGGTTGTTTCCCCAGAGGAATACTGTAGGGGCAAATCCAGCAGAAGTACACTGCAGTATCCCTAAACTGAAGTTCAGATGTGGAAACAGACTCAACCAAGACCCGTGATTTTGGGGGTCACAATCAGAAGCTGTCCACATTGTGGGCCAGGTGCAGTGGCTCACGCCTATAATCCGGCACTTTGGGAGGCCCAGGTGGGTGGATGCCCTGAGGTCAGGAGTTCAAGACCAGCCTGGCCAACATGGTGAAACCTCATCTCTACTAAAAACACAAAAATCAGCTGGGTACAGTGGCACACCCCTGTAATCCCAGGTACTCGGGAGCCTGAGGCAGGAGAATTGCTTGAACCTGGGAAGCGGAGAGGTTGCAGTGAGCTGAGACTGCACAATTGCACTCTCCAGCCTGAGCAACAAGAGCAAACTCCATCTCAAAGAAAAAAAAGAAAGAAAGAAAGAAAGAAAGAAAGAAAGAAAGAAAGAAAGAAAGAAAGAAAGAAAGAAAGAAAGAAAGAAAGAAAGAAGGAAAGCAAGCAAGCAAGCAAGCAAGCAAGAAAGAAAGCAAGAAAGAAAGCAAGCAAGAAAGCAAGCAAGCAAGAAAGCAAGAAAGCAAGCAAGCAAGCTATCCAGGTTGTTTTTGCAGCCTAGACCTGTCTTCTACCAAAGCCAATTCGTTTGATGTCTCATCTTACTTTCTCTTGAGAATCTTTCACTCCTACAAACACTTTGGCTTTGACATTTTTTTTTACTCCACTTGGGCACCCTATTAAAGTGAAACTGTCTTACTTGCCTTTTATGTATGATTTTATTTTGTCACCAAAAAAAAACTTTTTACTAAAGCTGATGCATCCATTATAAATTATTTGCTATTATTCTTAAAAGGCACTCTTTAGCTTAATGCATCTCATCATGTTAATGCTTTATAAAACTGACTTGATTTTAAATGGGAACTAGGAAGCCTTGTTGTCAGGAAGTTGCAAAGACTCACACCTCCAACATGTAAACCAAGGGGACAGCACCATCTTCCCCTTGGTGAATTTTGTTCCCAGGCTATTTGAGACACTTGGCAAAGATGTGCCAAGACACTTGGCAAAGATGTGCCTTGTCACTGAATGCCCGGGCTTCCTTGCCATATTCCTGTGAATCAATCTTCCATGACAGGCAGTGGCTTCCTGAAGCCTGCAAAAGTCTTCTAAACAGACAACTTGAATTCATTCCTATCTCTGAGCCTGTGTTTAGATGGGAGCTGATATTGAAGGGTTTGGCAGCATCTAATCTCTGCAATAAATTCTCCTAAGAGCTGAAATCTCTCCTCTTGCAGGGAGTGGTGGCTTCTTGAATGGCCTATCTTGTAGCTGCTGAAAGGAGAATGAGGAAAGACATAGCGGATGAGACATAAGGACCCCTCTCCCAGGTCCAGAGAATCAGAGCTAGAACCTAAATCCATCAGAAGAGATTGCAAGAGAAGCAGTTATGCCCTGGCAACATTTTAACCCAAAAGCAGTTCCATGAGTAGCCCAAAGGGGGTAAGGACACATCTGTTCATATCCACTGGCAGAGATGAGCTCAAGCTTCTGTTGTCCATGGATTGCACGACTGATTTTTAAAAATTCATTCAACAAATGTTTACTGAGCACCTACTAAGTGCCAAGCACTAGAACACCACAATGGGCAAGACGCAGAAGATCTCTGCTCTCATGGAGCTGGGGATCATGTCATCCCCACAAGGAAGAAAGCATGGAGTATGTCTGGACGGTCCTGACTAGGGAAGGAAAAGCAAATTGTGGGACCTTCAGGGAACCTGGAGGTTACTGGAAAGGTCTGCAGACAGACAAAGGAATCACAAGTAATGGTCAAGCTGATAAAAGTCAGGAACTGTTGAAAAAGGTTGAAGGAGCCTGGAAATCACTGGATGGGGTCCAGAGCAAGAGTAATTTTTATTTTTATGTTTTTATTGTTGCTGCTTCTCTTTTAGAGACAGGGTCTGGCTCTGTCACACAGGCTAGGGTGTAGTGGTGCAGTAGGATCATTGCGCACTGCAGCCTCAAACTCCTGGGCTCAAGTGATCCTCCTGCCTCATCTTCTCGAGTAACTGGGACTACAAGTGCATACCATCATGCCCAGCTAATCTTCTTCTTAAGGTTTTTGTACGGACAGGGTCTCACTATGTTGCCCAGGCTAGTCTCAAACTCCTGACCTCAAATGATCCTCCTGCCTCAGCTTCCCAAACTGTTGGGATTAAAGGCATGAGCCACTGAAACCAGCTCCCATTTATATGTTCAGCAAATACTTTCTGAGCATCTTTTCTTTGCAAAGCATTACTGCGCGTTGAGAATACAGCAGGGACCAAGATGGACATGCTCACTGCCCTCACAGAGATTAGTTAAGTGAGGGCCACAGAGAAGAAAACAAGCAATTCTAACATAGGCAGGATCCATGCAGTGACTGAGAAAGCCATAAGGATCTGGGAAAAGGGGAGGGACAGGCTCCTGATGTGGAAGAAGAGGTGGGAGAAGTTAGTGGGTGAAGACAAGCTGAGGTGAGTAAGGTGCAGGGAGCGAGGGGGAAGGGTTTCCCAGCTCAGGCTCACCCTAAGCAGAACAAGCATAACACATCAAATGTCCAGCTCCCAGTTCCATCCAGCTGGACGTAGAACTTATCGTCAACAGATGAAACTAGACAGTCAAGCAGCAGCCCAGATAAGACAGCAGTCAGATAAGACAGCAGTCAGATAAGACGGGTCTTTTACACTTTACCAAGTGGCTCGAACTTTACCCTCAGGTCATTGAGAAACAACAGGGAAGGGAGACTTTATTTATTTTTTTAACTTACTTTATTTTTTAATGTTTTGTTTTAATTTGTGTAGGTACATAATAGGTGTACATGTTTATGGGTACATGAGGTATTTGAATATAGGTATGCAATGCATAAAAATCACATCATGGAAAATGGGGCATTCATCTCCTCGAACGTTTATCCTTTGTGTTACAAACAACCCAATTAATCTCTTTTACTTATTTTCAAATGTATAATTCTATTATTGTTGACTATAGTCACCCTGTTGTGCTATCAAATACTAGGTCTTATTCATCCTTTCTAACTATGTTTTTTGTATCTATTAACCATCCCCACCTCTCACACACCCTCCCACTATGGGAAGGAGGGTTATTTATTTATTTATTTTTGAGACAGAGGCTTGCTCTGTCACCCAGGCTGGAGTGCAGTGGCATGATCTCAGCTCACTGCAAACTCCACCTCCTGGGTTCAAGCAATTCTCCTGTCTCAGCCTCCTAAGTAGCTGGGATTAGAGGTGCCCACCACCACGCCTGGCTAATTTTTATATTTTTAGTAGAGATGGGGTTTCACCATATTGGCCAGGCTGGTCTTGAACTCCTGACCTCAAGTGACCCTCCTGCCTGGGCCTCCCAAAGTGCTGGGATTACAAGCATGAGTCACTGTGCCCAGCCAGGAAGGAGGATTTTAAATAGGCATGTGACACAGCCCAGTTTGTAGTTTAGAAGGATCCTCGTGGCTTTGGTGTGACAAGCAGATGAGAGCTGGGCAAGACTAGAGATTGAGAGCCAGGTGAGGAGAGTCTACTTAGCCAGGCAGGAGGCCCTGCCCTGGGAAGCTGCATGATGCTGGGGCCATGGAGAAGCAGGAAGCCTAGAACCTACAGCATCGTTGTTTTAAATGGGGCAATGCAGAGATCCACAAGAGATGCTGCAAAAGGCCTCCCTGGAGGGACAGATAGGTTAGGAATTAGGAGGGTGGAGGGTGAGAGTGTGATATGGTTTGCCTGTGTCCCCACTCAAATATCTGTTATTTGAACTGTAGCTTGTTACTTGAATTGTAGCTCCCACAATTCCCACGTGTCATGGGAGGGACCCAGTGGGAGGTAACTGAGTCATGGGGGTGGGTCTTTCCTGTGCTATTCTCATGATAGTGAATAAGTCTCATGAAATCTGATGGTTTTATAAAGGGCAGTTCCCCTGCGCACACTCTCTTGCCTGTCGCCATGTAAGACATGTCTTTGCTCCTCCTTCGCCTTCCACCATGATTGTGAGGCTTCCCCAGGCATGTGGAACTGTGAGTTCATTAAACCTCTTTCCTTTATAAATTACCCCTGTGTCTTTATCAGCAGTGTGAGAACAGACTAATACAGGATGGGACTTGGTGCTAAGCAGGACAGCACTATTAGCTCCCTGGCATGCCTGTAACCTGAAGGGCTTGACTTTCATCTATCTTACGTAAAATTTGGTTGGAATAAAAGATTCAACTACTAAAAATGCTGTAGGACAGAATGAATAAAAGGCTACATTGGGAGACTCTTAAGGGTCCTTCCACCTTGCTCCTGGATTCTGTGAATCGGAATCTCTGTGACAGAGTCGGCCTGGGCTCCCAGAACCTGCGCAGGGGGCAGCTGGGACCTTCAGAGCAATCAAGAAGCCCAAGTAAATGAAAGAGGCCCTGAAAAATGCTGTCAGGGCTCCATGTAAATGATGATTTAAAATTTCACAGGAAAGAGAAAGGACACTTCAAGCAATTTCTTAACAGGCAAAGCCTCCCAAGGCAATATTACTCGCTAACAGCCCAGCATCTGGTGATGATGTGAAAATGCCTGTATTAGAAAACTGGAAAATGGGACCACTGGAGTTTCCAAGAAGTGGTTGCATAAGCTCAAGGATTTCTTCGGAGCTGTTCTGACTAAAGATGAAATTGGGAAGAGGCACACGAGGAAGAAAATCACTCACTGCTTGAGGCTGCCAGGTTCAGCTGACATTTTCTGTCTCATCGCGTCTACCTAGAAATACCGGGAAGGATGTCGTTTTAGGGAAAAGCCATCTCTAGACCCCTGGATATTGGAAGGACACCCCCCCTCCACTATGCAGGGCATTACAGCATGGCATTTAACAGCCCCAACACTAGAGCGAGATGGCCTGGGTTGAAGTCCCATCTTTGCTGCTTTTGTTGGCAAAGTAGCTTAATCTCCTGTGCCTCAGTTTCTTCAGCTACAAAATGGATTTGTAATAATAAAATCTACCTTATAGGATTGGTAAAGAGTTCAATTGGTTAATTTGATGTACAATGCTTCGAATAAAGCCCGGTACTTGGTGCTAGTAATTGGTAGTTACTATTGAATCAAAGGCTAATGCCAGTATATATTTAGAATAGGGAATATGATAAATACTGCGTTTTGTGGTTTACAGTTGGGGAGGGGGGCTGGCATCTCGGTACTGGATAGGAAAAGAGGCACATCCTTCTTTCTCCAAACAAAAGGGAGATTGGGCCAAAGAGTCTAGCACAAACCAGGGTTTTCAAACAGCTTCATATGGCCGTGCGGCAAAGCCAGGCTGATTCCCCAAACACAATATGCCTGCAGTTATGTTACTTTACATACCTAATAAACGGACATGTGTTTGTTTTCCTCTGTCTACAGAAAGAAGACTCTCATTGTCTGAAGGAAAAAAAAACAACATGCCAGGCTTACTGACAGAAGCTTTTACAGGAAACAAAACCCACGACAACTTCTCTCGTCAAGGGCTCTTCAGACTGTTTCTAAACACTCACAGGAAGGCCAGGCTGACATTTTACACATGATTGACTGAGAGCGCTATGCTTGCTTCTGGATATGTGCGTGCTTGTATACGTGTGCAACTGTGTGTGTGCACGCATATGCCTGCATGCAAGCCTACGGGTGCTTACCTGGTCCTGTAGCTCAGCCTAAACAAAGATTCAGACTTGCTTATGCATAAATAATGAGTTGGCGGGGCCAGAAGCTGCCTAGGGTCTATTTATATAGATTGATTTGCATGTGCCAAGGGGAATTGGGAAGATACAGTGGAGAAGACAGCCTGGTGATTGGTTCAGGGGCCAGGATAGCAGCTGAACCCATGCAATCCTCCCTGAGACTTTAGTGAGTCTGCAAGGAATGAGCCCTCTCTGTTTGCAAGACCTCCAAGGCCAGCAGGATAAAAGCTTGGCAACCGTGAAGTGAGAGTCATCCTTAGAATGAAGCCAGCACAGAGGAGAGCAGAAGAAGGATGGAGAGAGAGACTAGTCCTAATGTCCTTGTGTGGTGGCTTGGCTAGCACCTGCTGTGCCTATCTTCCCACTGGGAGCCTTAGTCTCATGCCCAGTTGATCCCTCCCCTGGTGTCAACTAAGCTTGAGTTGGATTATCTGCTACTTGCTGATGCTCCACTCACAGTCTCCCTGCATTATCCCAGCACCTGAGACATTTCTGATTAGATTGGCATCCATGGGGGTGTGAAAGTCACATTCTCAGAGAAAGAAAGTGATGAACCACCTGTACTGCAGAACCCACCAGTAACAACCCCACCCTACACCCTAGTCCAGGTTCCTCAGCTGTCTGTCAAATCCAGGAGCCAGGACACCAGGTGGAGTCCTGCAACCTTTTGCAATCTCTGTGTCAGAGGTATTAGAACAAGAATGACTCCATCTTGAAAACAGGCTGGGTAGAATGAGGCTTAGACTTACTGGGCTGCATTCCCAAGAGGTTAAGGCATTCCTAGTCACAGAATGAGATAGACGGTTGGCACAAGATACAGATCATAAAGACCTTACTGATAAAACAGGTTGCAGTTAAGAAGCCGGCCAAAACCCATCAAAACCAAGATGGTGACAAGAGTGACCTCTGGTCATCCTCACAGCTCATTATAAGCTAGTTACAATATATTAGCATGCTAAAAGACACTCCCACCAGTGCTGTGACAGTTTACAGATGCCATGGCAACATCAGGAAATTACCCTATATGGTCTAAAAAGGCTAAGAACCCTCAGTTCTGGGAGTTGTCCACTCCTTACTGTGAAAACTCATGAAGAATCAACCTCTTGTTTAGCATATAATCAAGAAATAACCATAAAAATGGGCAACCAGAAGCTCTTGAGAATGCTCTGCCTAGGGAGTAGCCATTCTTTTATTCCTTTACTGTCTTAATAAACTTGCTTTCACTGTATGAACTCACCTCGAATTCTTTCTTGTGCGAGATTCAAGAACCCTCTCTTGGGGGTCTGGATTGGGACCCCTTTCCTGTAACACCTAGGCATGATCCTTGTACCTACTGGATTAGTCTAGGCCATGGGACAAAGCTTTTGCCAAGTTTTCCCTTTCCTTGTTGCAACTAGCTTCCATGCCTGCATGCCTGTGGTAATACTCTTTGTTCGTGGTTCCTGGCACAAAACTCTTAAAACCCTCGGAACTTCCTAAATGATAGGGTGAGAGGAGCATCTTTTGTTGTTTCTTATAGGACCATTTCAACCATAATAGCTGAGTTTATGCTAAAGAAGCCACTTGGTGGGTACCAAGATAACTTCAGGACCTGGTTGCCAGAAGAACCATCAATGTGATCAAAAGGGCTGGAATTTTCAGCCCCACCCCTCAGTTTCCTGGGTACAGGGAGGGGCTGAAGATTGAGTCCAATCACCAAAGGTCAATGATTTAATCAACCACGCCTACATACTACAGCCTCCATTAAAACCCCTAAATGACAGGGTTTGGAGAACTTTCGAGTGGCTGAACACATCAAGGTTCTGGGTAGGTGGAGGGTGATGTGTGGTGGGGAAGGCATGGAGCATCACACACCCGTTTCTCCCATACCTCACCCTGTACATCTCTTCCATCTGGCTCATCCTAGTTGCACCCAGTATAACAAACCAGTAAACGTAGGCAAAGCATTTTCTTAAGTTCTGTGAACGGTTCTAGCAAATTATCAAACATTCGGAAGGGGTCATGGGAACCCCCAATTTATAGCAGGTGGGTCAGAAATACAGGTGGCAAGGGAACTTGCGACTGGCATCTGAAGTGGGGGTAGTCTTGTGGGACTGAGCCCTTAGCCTGTAGGGTCTGCACTAACCCTGGGTGGGTAGTGTCAGAATTCAGTTGAATTGTAGGACACCCAGGTGGTATCCAGAGAGTGGAAGGACTAGTTGTTGGTGTGGAAAACACTCACACATTTAGAGCAAGAAGTGTTGTGTGTGAAAATAGTGCAGACTGCCCCAATATTCCAAGTTGCTGCAGCTCAGATGAAAGTCTCCCTCAGTTTCCTGCCTGGGACTTCACTGCCTGCCCCAAGTGCCCAACCCCTGAATCCAGGAACTGGGCCCTGTCATTGTGTACTTTTTTAATGGCTGATTTCAATATCTTTGCTGGATAGAGCTAAAACTAGGAGGAAATGAAAGGAAGGAAGGAACAGGAGAAAAAAGAAAGAAGCTAACACTCATTGAGCTCCTATATCGTGTTATTTAATGCCTCACTGCAGTGCTGTGAAAACAGTATCATGATTTCATTTTACAGACTGACATACTGAGGCTCCAAGAGATTCATCTCTTTCCCATGGTCATACTGCTACTGGAAAAGGGATCCCAATCCAGACCCCAAGAGAGAGTTCTTAGATCTCACACAGAAAAGAATTCAGTGTCAGTCCACAGAGTAAAGTGAACGCAAGTGTATTAAGAAAGTAAAGGAATAAAAGAATGGCTACTCCATAGACAGAGCAGCCCCGAGGGCTGCTGGTTGCATATTTTTATGGTTATTTCTTGATTAGATGCTAAAAGGGATGAATTCTTCATGTCTCCCCCTTTTAGACTGGATTGGGTAACTTCCTGCTGTTGCCATGGCATTTGTAAACTGTCATGGCGCTGTTGGGAGTGTCACAGTGAGGATGACCAGAGGTCACTCCCGTGGCCATCTTGATTTTGGTGGATTCTAGCTGGCTTCTTTACTGCAACCTGTTTTATCAGCAAGGTCTTTATGACCTGTATCTTGTGCCAACCTCCTATCTCATCCTGTGACTTAGAATGCCTTAACCATCTGGGAATCCAACCCAGTAAGTCTCAGCCTCATTTTACCCAGACCCTACTCAAGATGGAGTTGCTCTGGTTCAAACGCCTCTGACAATACCCTCTACTTGGTGGTGGAGTCAGGGTGTGAACCCATGTTGGGTAACCAATCAGAAAGGACTTCATTACAGCCCAGTGCTGTCCCAAGGAAGCCTGGCTGCTTGATTCCTGGACTCCCCACTTAGGGGTCCCACATCCTGGTCAGCTGTCCCCAAGCTGAGCACCCACCACTGCGACCACTGCTGGCCCCTGGCTCACTTCAGGTCCAACCCCTGTAACCCCCTTGGCCTTGAGAGTAGTGCTCTGACCACCGCCAAAGTCTTTCTCTTACCAAAGAATCCAGCCAAGGAATCAGCCTGCCTGATACTCTCGTCTCCTACCCTGAAGGCAAAACAAAGATGAGGTTTATATTTTTCTAATGCCCCTTCTAAACCCTTGGACCTTGAAGTTCGAAGGACCTATCTCAAGGTGAATGCCAATTTCTTCTTCATTTCAGCACTTTCCAGAATGATTTTTTCTTCTCTAAAATCCATTTTGATCTCCCGCTCAATGCAGAGCACCTTAGAAGAACAACAAAAGGGCCTCAGATTCTTTATCTACATCATGCAGTCTCGCCTGAAGGTAGAAAAGATGCAGAGGAATGGAACACGGATGGAGCCCAGGACATTATTTGTTTTTTTTTTTTTTTAATGAACTAGCTTGTTGTCAAAAGAAGGCAAGATATGAGGATTTTGGATATGTGGGTTTCGCTCATTCAGTGCAATTAGCTTTTTTTTTTTTTGTAACAGGGTCTCACTCTGTCACCTAGGCTGGAGTCCAGTGGTATAATCATAGCTCATTGCAGCCTCGAATTCCCAGGTTCAAGTGATCCCCCAACCTCAGCATCCCAAGTAGCTGGGAAGACAGGTGCATGCCACCACACCTGGCTAATTAAAAAATTTTTTTGTAGACATGAGGTCTCACTATGTTGCCCAGGCTGACCTTGAACTCCTGGCCTCAAGCAGTCCTTCTGCCTCAGTCTTCCAAAGTGCTGGAATTACAGGCATGAGCCACTGCATCTGGCCAACAACCTCTCTTAACTTCTCTTTCTTCGTGGGATTGGGATAATTAAAATAATTAGACAAATTATACAGGTGGCACTCCATCCTGGGGCCACCAGCAACATCAGACTAATCCTAGCTTCAAGAAGTCAACACATCAAATTCACTTGGAAAGAAGGATGCCCATGTTCTTGACATTGGCATGACTTCTTCATGGCTGCTGCTTTCGAGCCATCTGAGAAGGGATCTTTGCCTAGGGTGCTTAATCAGGGCACCCCCAAAACTGAAAACCAGTGAGTTATGACAGTGGCTGCTCATTTCAGCCTTTCCTATGATGCCCTGCCTCAGGGTTTCTCAGACACAACACTGTTAGCATCTGGGGCTGGGTTATGTTTTGTTACAGCAAGCTGTCCTGTGAGTTGCAGGATGCTTAGCAGCTTCCCTGGCCTCTACCCATTTGATGCCAGTAACAACACCTGCTACCCAATTGTGACAACCAAATCTCTCGCCACATTGCCAACTCTTTCCCCTGGAGGGCAGAATCACCTCCTATTGAGAACTCCTGTTCTGAGCAGAAAGGGGTGAGCATGGTCCTCTTCCTCACCAGGATTGCCCCCTATCCCAGAACCTCTGTATCTCAAAGATAACCCCAGTTCTCAGTCATGCCCCTCATCTCCTTGGGGCTCAGCCCACAGTGGCCAACAAGTACCACATGCTGTCTCCATATCCACATCTTACTCTCTGAGAGCCCACCTCCCAACTTCCTCCTATCCACTTCCTCATCTCCATTCAAGCACCCCAGCCCACCTTTCCATCAGGGAGCTCAAGATTCTGAAATCCAGCGGACGCCATCTGGGACACTCATTGCTGACACACATCCACTTCTCTTGCTCTCTGATCCCTTAGCAACCAATGGCCCACATGGATTCACATGCCTTTGATTTGTGATTTCAAAAGTATCCACTCTTCAAAAGCCTCTGGTGAATAACATTTGTTATATATAACAATACATATATAAATAATAACAATAACTACATATATTTATGTAGATATGTATTTATGTAGTTATTGTAATAAATATATAACATATATATGTTATATATTTGTGTTTATATTTAAATATTTTTAATTACATATAAACATATTTATGTTTACATTTAACATAAATATATTTTTTATTACATATAAACATATATTTATGTTTACATTTAACATAAATATATTTTTATAAATATAAACATAAATATATGTAGTTTTTGTTATAAATATATAAATGTAAAAAATATATAAGTGTAATAAATGTAAATAACATTTCTTATGCCTTTTTGTTGAACACCTACTATGTGCCCAACGTTTTAGATACCTAATGTCATTTAAGCTTTGAGCAAACTTACAAACACAGACCCATGGGCACTTCCTAGCATTTCATTATACCATGTAGGTTCACCAGCATATATTTTTTAGATCTCATTTCAGCAAAATGTAAGATTCTAGGGGCAAAAAGTGCAAAGTTGTTCCCCACCACGTTGTGAAGCTCAGGGCTAAACTTGCCTTTTCTTTTGTTTAAAACACTTTTTTTTTTTTTTTTTTGAGATGGGTCTCACTCTGTCACCCAGGCTGGAGTGCAGTGGCACGATCTCGGCTCACTGCAACTCTTCCTCCTGGGTTCAAGTGATTCTCCTGCCTCAGCCTCCCAAGTAGCTGGGACTACAAGTGCATGCCATCATGCCCAGCTAACTTTTTGTATTTTTAGTAGAGACGGGGTTTCACCATGTTGTCCAGGCTCATAAAACACTTTTTTATTCTGATCTCTCCATTTGTGTAACTTTTTTCCTACTTTCTATGCCTCATCTTCAAGGTAGCTTCCTCAAGAAGGCCTCCCTTACTCTCCAAACTAGGCCAGCATATACTTTGGGATAAATTTGGCTGCGAATAACAGAACTCTAAATCACTAAGCGATAAAGAAAATAAATTTGTAAATTACGTTATTTTAAAAGCCCAGCAGTATGGTCAGCTTCAGGTAAAGTTTGATCCAGCAGGTAAGCAATATAACTGAGACATAGCTCTTTCCCTCTGTTTCCCAGGCTTGCTTCACATCTATCTATTCCATTTACAACAGGCTTTCCCTTCGGGTCATAAGATGACAGTCAAGAGTTCCCTTGCCTAACTTCTTCCAGATGTAAGTCCAACAAAATAGACAATTTCCACTTTTTCAGTGTTTCAAATATCCTCAAAGTAAATCTGGTTGGCCTCTATGACCAGACTTGCATAATGTGTTAATCTCCAAACAAATCACTATGGTTATAGCCAAGAAGAGCTTACCTGTGGGGTTGAAAAGGAGGATCAACACCCTCAAAACCACAAGGCTGGGAAATTTAAGGTGCTGCTAAAAAAGGGGGGAGATGAAATAAATTCTGAACAGGTGACAAGTATCCATTAGAATCTCACCTTTTTTTTTTTTTTTTTTTTTTTTTTGACAGGATCACACTCTGTTACCTAGGCCAGAGTGCAGGTGTGCAAACACAGCTCACTGCAGCCTCAACCTTCTGGGCTTAAGTGATCCTCCCACCTCAGCCTCCCAAGTAGCTAGGACAACAGGCATGCACCACCACACCTGGCTAAATTTTGTATTCTTTGTAGAGACAGGGTTTTGCCATATTGCCCAGGCTTGTCTTGAACTCCTGGGCTCAAGCAGTCATCCCGCCTTGGCATCCCAAAGTGCTGGGATTACAGGCATGAGTAATTACCAGTCTAGAGGCTCACTTCTTGATTTCAACTTTCTAAATACTGACTGACCCTCAGCTGTGACTCCTTGTTCCATGCAGGAGTCCTCCACCAGAATGTAATACCCATGAAGTCGAGGACTGAATCCCTCTCCTGTGCCGTATACCATCCCTTATACCTAGCACAGTGCCTGGAACATACTGAGTGCTCAATAACCACCGGTCTAATGAATTCATAAAAAGGCAAGTGAGTAAATGAATGAATCTGCTGACTGGATGTGATCTGTGATGTCTCGGGGCCTGTTGCAGGGGGTAAGAAAGAGGTGAAGCTGGTAGATCCAGGAGTCTGCAAATCCCTGCTTAAACCAGATCGACACATCGCATACCTGTTTTGCATTTTGGAGGGCTCTTCTTAAGATTTCATTGCTAAAAGGGTTTCATTGCTTTGAAAAAAGATATCTTTGAAAACCATTGCTGTAATGCGAAAAGCAAGGCTTTGAAATCTGAAAACCTTGGGTGAAATCCCACGTTTTACTGCGTTTTATGTCAAAAAAATGCAAATTCACTACCGTGGTCTACAAGGCCTTGTGTGCTGGCCACTACCTACCTCCAGGCCATTCCCACAGCCACATAGCCACAGGACTTCCTTTCATGTCCTTGGGTTTCTCAAGGTCCTTCCCCTCTCACACCCTGTGCACACTGCCGGGAACGCTGTCCTCCACTCCTGCTCCCAATGCTTTATATGACTGGCTGCCTCTCCATTTCTACTCATCTGCCCAATAGCTTCTCAGAGAAGCTATCTGGAACATTCTGTCTAATGTAAATATTCACCTATTTTCTACCTTTTCAGCCCCGTGATGTTTGCTTCACAACTTTATTTTCATTAGTTTTTTCATTGCATTTTTAGCTCCCCAAGTACGATATGTCACCCCACAAGGGCAGAGGTAGTATCTGTCTTGGTTGCCACTGTGTCTCCAATGCCTAGAATGCTTTCAGGCATAATTTTGCATCAATACTCGTTGAATAAATGAGAATAGTTACATGACGTCAATAGGAACCTACCTGAACCTCCGTTTCCTCGTCTCTAAGTTGGGGATGATACAAATTACCTCTCAGAAAGTGGTAATTATTAATTAAGCGGGATCCTGTCTGCAATGCCTCTGGCACTGGAGGGCCACGTTAGCATTCACTGCCTGATTTCCTGCCTGCCTGCCAACTCTAGGCTCAGCAGCCTCAGCCTGGGGAGCCTCACTTGGAACTAAATTACATCTAAACCCAGAGCCATCCTTTAGCTGTGAAGCTGACAGGGGCTTGCAATCCTGCCTGTCAGCCTTAAGCTGCCACACATCTGAACACACAAACTGAAAAATTAATGTCCCTGGAAGGCATTGTCTCCCTTCCCATAGACACCACTGACCTTGCCTCTCTGCACAGCAGCGGAAGCCGGAGCTCCTGCTTTCACTGTCTGGGTGAAAGCCTCAGCACTGCAGGGCTGGCAGGAAACAGGAAAGAGGCTAGCATTCTCCTTGCATCTGAGGGCAACGGCAGGACTTAGTGTCTGGGCTGAGAACTCATTAAGTCAGTACGGGAACTGGCAGGCACATTTGAGGTGAGAGCAAAGGCTCAGGCGACCTCCACATTCAGTGTTAGAGTCTGTAACCCATCTCTCTGGGACATCAGCAGGCCAGCTCCAGACAGGGCCAGATGGGAGTCACAGGCTGGGAAGAAAGGGGCTCAAGGAGTGCACCAGAGTGAGGGAGAGAACACCATTAGACCGTGACTGTAATCTTGTAGATTCTTAAGAGCAACAGGCTCTTTCACGGCCTTGCAGGCAGACCAACAGACAATCCACTGCAGTCCTTCCAGCATGATGGCAGAGGTAAGCTCAGCATTTTATGATAGACCTTGGTTTTGGCTTGGACCATTCCTAGGGACCTAGACTTATCATCTGCTTCTTCCTTCTTTTGTCATCTGAGACCAGTGTTCTAAAACTGGCCACCCAGAATGTGGTCTGCAGATGAGCAGCAGTGACAGAACCCTTGGATGTTTGCTAAAAAGCAGAGTCTCAGGCTGCACCCCAGAACTGCCACTCAGAATTGCATTTCAACAGGGGACTTGCATGTGTGTTGAAGTTTAGGGGGCTTTCTGTGAGCTGCAGGGATGGTTAATTTTATGTGTCAACTTGACTGGGCAATGGGGTGCCCAGCTGGTTGACATTATTTCTAGGTGTGTCTGTGAGGGAGTTTCCAGAAGAAATTAGTGTTTGAATCAGTGGATTGAGTTAAGCAGATCTCAATGTGCATAAGCGTCATCTGATCCATGGAGGACCTGAATAAAATAAAAAGGTGTAGGAAGGTTGGGGTTGCTCTTAGCCTGGCATCTTGAGCTGGAACATCAATCTTCTGCCCTGAGTGCTTCTGTCTTTCAGGCCTTTGGACTTTGACTGAAATCTGCAACACTAGTCCTCTGGCTCCTGCTCCCAGGCCTCCTTCAAACCACAGTACCAGCTCTTCTGGGTCTCCAGCTTCCAGATGGCAGGTTGTGGGACTTCTCAGCTTTTATAATTGCTTGAACCAGGCCAGGCACAGTGGCTCATGCCTGTCATCCCAGCGATTTGGGAGGCTGAAGCAGGCAGATCATTTGAGGTCAGGAGTTTGACACCAGCCTGGCCAACATGGTGAAGCCCCATCCCTACTAAAAATACAAAAATTAGCTGGGCGTGGTGGTGAGTGCCTGGAATCCCAGCTACTTGGGAGGCTGAGGCAGAAGAATGGCTTGAACCCGGGAGGTAGAGATTGCGGTGAGCCGAGATTGCAACACTGCACTCCAGCCTGGGTAACAATATAATATATAATAATATATTATATTATTATAAAAATAATAATGAAATAAAAAATAAAATAATTGTTTGAACAAATACCTTATAATGTACAGACATATACCTTCTATTGGCTCTGTTCCTCTGGAGAACCACAGCTGTGGCTTTACAACCCAATGGTGTTGTCCATTGTGACATGTGTTTTGTAGTAATCCGTTCTCACACTGCTATAAAGAACTGCCACAGACTGGATAACTAATAAAGAAAAGAGACTTAATTGACTCACAGTTCCACAGGTTTTACAGGAGCCATGGCTGGGGAGGCCTCAGGAAACTTATCATGGTGGAAGGGTGAAGGGGAAGGAAGCACACTTCACATGCTGGCAGGAGAAAGAAAGCAAAGAGGGAAGTGCGACACACTTTTAAACAACCATATCTTGTGAGAACTCACTGTCACGAGAACAGCAAGGGGGAAATCCACCTCCATGATTCAGTCACTGCCCACCAGGTCCCTCCTCCAACATGTGAGCATTACAATTAAACACATGATTTGGGTGGGAACCCAGAGCCAAACCATATCATGGTGTGAGGGTGTGTGCAATGCAGTGGTTATAAGCTTGGGATTTAGGGTGGAAAAACGAGCACTTGTATTCCAGCTCTGCCATGCTGGTGGACTCTGACCTCTCTCCAAACCTTAGCTTTCCTGAAAACGTGAAAGACAAGAGAACTCCTGGCCAGGCACAGTGGCTCATGCCTGAAATCCCAGCACTTTGGGAGGCTGAGGTGGGCGGATCTTGAGGTCAGGAGTTCCAGACCAGCCTGACCGACATGGTGAAACCTCGTCTCTCTTAAAAATACAAAAATTAGCCAGGTGGGTGGTGCATGTCTGTAATCCCAGCTACTCAGGAGGCTGAGGCAGGAGAATCACTTGAACCTGGGAGATGGAGGTTGCAGTGAGCCGAGATCGCACCACTGCACTCCAGTCTGGGCGACAGAGTGAGATTCTCTCTCAAAAAAAAACAAAACAAAACAAAAATGAAAATAAAAAAAAATAAAAAGACTCCTTTCTGGGACTGTTGGGAGGATGAAACCAGCCAATAGAAGGAATGACTCATTCATCACAGCACCTGCCACATGCTGGGTGCCTTGTGCCTATTATTATCATTTTTATTAATTTTTTTATTTCCATAGGTTATTAGGAAACAGGTGGGGTTTGGTTACATAAGTAAGTTCCTTAGTGGTGATTTGTAAGATTTTGGTGCCCCCATCACCCAAGCAGTATACACTGACCCAATTAGTGGTCTTTTATCCCTCACCCCCTTCCCACCCTTTCCCCCTGAGTCCCCAAAGTTCATTGTGTCTTTCTTATACCTTTGCATCCTCATAACTTAGCTCCCACATGTGAGTGAGAACATACAATGTTTGTTTTCCCATTCCTGTGTTACTTCACTTAGAATAATACTCTCCAATCTCATCCAGGTCACTGCAAATGCCGTTAATTCATTCCTTTTTATGGCTGAGTAGTATTCCGTCCGTATATATACCACAGTTTCTTTATCTACTCATCGATTGATGGGCATTTGGATTGGTTCCACATTTTCGCAACTGCAAATTGTGCTGTTACAAACTTGCCTGTGCAAGTATCTTTTTTGTGTAATGTCTTCTTTCTTTCTGGGTAGATACCCAGTAGTGGGATTGCTGGATCAAATGGTAGTTCCACTTTCAGTTCTTTAAAGAATCTCCACACTGTTTTCCACAGTGGTTGTACTAGTTTACATTCCTATCAGCAGTGTAGAAATGTTCCCTGTTCTCCACATCCATGCTCACATCTATTATTTTTTGAGATTTTATTATGGCCCTTCTTGCAGGAGTAAGGTGGTATCACATTGTGGTTTTGATTTGCATTTCCCTGATCATTAGCGATGTTGAGCATTTTTTCATATGTTTATTGGCCACTTGTATATCTTCTGTTGAGATTGTCTATTCATGTCCTTAGCCCACTTTTTGATAGGATTGTTTGTTTTTTTCTTGCTAATTTGTTTGAGTTCACATTGTAGATTCTGGAAATTAGTCCTTTGTCAGATGTATAGATTGTGAAGATTTTCTCCCACTCTGTGGGTTGTCTGTTTACTTTGCTGACTGTTCCTTTTGCCATGCAAAAGCTCTTTAGTTTAATTAAGTCACAGCTATTTATCTTTGTTTTTACTGCATTTGCTTTTGGGTTATTGGTTATGAAATCATTACCTAAGCCCATGTCTAGAAGGGTTTTTCCAATGTTATCTTCTAGAATTTTTATATTTTTAGGTCTTAGGTTTCAGTCCTTGATCCATCTAGAGTTGATTTTTGTATAAGGTGAGAGAAGAAGATCCAGTTTTATTCGCCTACATGTGGCTTGCCAATTATCCCAGCACCATTTGTTGAATAGGTTGTCATTTCCCCATTTTATGCTTTTGTTTGCTTTGTCGAAGATCAGTTGGCTGTAAGTATTTGGGTTTATTCCTGGGTTCTCTATTCTGTTCCATTGGTCTAGTGCCTATTTTTATGCCAGTACCATGTTGTTTTGGTGCTTTATAATATAGTTTGAAATCAGGTAATTTGATGCCTCCAGATTTGTTCTTGCTTAGTCTTGCTTTAGCTATGTGGGCTCTTTTTTGATTCCATATGTATTTTAGGATTGCTTTTTCTAGTTCTCTGAAGAATGATGGTGTTATTTTGGTAGGAATTGCATGCAATTTGTAGATTGCTTTTGGCAGTATAGGCATTTTTACAATATCAGTTCTACCTGTCCATGAGCATGGGATGTGTTTCCATTCGTTTGTGTCATCTACCATCTCTTTCAGCAGTGTTTTGTAGTTTTCCTTGTAGAGGTCTTTCACCTCCTTGGTTAGGTATATTCCTAAGTATCTTTTTTGTCAGCTATTGTAAAAGGGGTTGGGTTCTTGATTTGATTCTCAGCTTGGTCACTGTTGGTGTATGGAAGAGTTACTAATTTGTGTACATTAATTTTGTATTTGGGAACTTTGATAAATTATTTTATCAGCTCTAGGAGCTTTATGGAGGAGGTTTTAGGTTTTTCTAGGTAAACAATCACATCATCAGCAAATTGTGACAGTTTGACTTCCTCTTTACTGATTTGGATGCCCTTTATTTCTTCCTCTTGTCTGATTGCTCTGACCAGGACTTCCAGTGCTATGTTGAAGGGGAGTGGTGAGACTAGGCGTCCTTGTCTTGTTCCAGTTCTCAGAGGGAATGCTTTCAACTTTTCCCCATTCAGTATTATGTTGGCTGTAGGTTCGTCATAGATGGTGTTTATTACATTAAGGCATGTCCCTTGTATGCCAATTTTGCTGAGAGTTTTAATCGTAGAGATGCGGGATTTTGTCTAACGATTCTTCTGCATCTACTGAGATGGTCATGCGATTTTTGGTTTTGATTCTGTTTATGTGGTGTATCACATTTATTGACTTGCATTTGTTAAACCATCCCTATATCACTGGTATGAAACCCACTTGATCATGGTGGATTATCTTTTGGATATGTTGTTTGATTTGGTTAGCTAGTATTTTGTTAAAGATTTTAGCATATATGTTCATCAGGGACATTGGTCTGTAGTTTTCTTTTTTACTTATGTCCTTTCCTGGTTTTGGTATTAGGGTGATACTGGCCTTATAGAATTATTTAGGGAGGGTTTCCTCTTTCTCTATCTTGTGGAATAGTGTCAATAGAATTGGTACCAATTCTTCTTTGAATGTCTGGTAGAATTCTGCTGTGAATCTGTCTGGTCCTGGACTTTATTTGTTGGTAATTTTTTTATTACCATTTCAATCTTGCTACTTGTTATTGGTCCATTCAGAGTATCTAATTCTTCCTGATTTAAGCTAGAAAGATTGTATGTTTTCTAGTTTATGTGCATAAAGGTGTTCATAGTAGCCTTGAATGATCTTTTGTATTTCTGTGGTGTCAGTTTTAATATCTCCCATTTCATTTCTAATTGAGCCTATTTGGATTTTCTGCCTCCTTTTCTTGGTTAACCTTGCTAATGGTCTATCAATTTATTTATCTTTTCAAAGAACCAGCTTTTTGTTTCATTTATCTTTTGTATTTTTTGTTTGTTTGTTTGTTTGTTTGTTTCAATTTCATTTAGTTCTGCTTTGATCTTGGTTATTTCCTTTCTTCCACTTGGTTTGGGTTGGGTTTGTTCTTGTTTCCCTAGTTCCTTGAGTGTGACCTTAAATTATCTATTTGTGCTCTTTCAGACTCTTTGATGTAGACTTTTAGGGCTATGAAGTTTCCTCTTAGCACCACATTTGCTATATCTCAAAGGTTTTGATAGCTTGTGTAACTATTGTCATTTCAGTTCAAATAATTTTTTAATTTCCATCTTCATTTCATTTTTGACTCAATGATCATTCAGAAGCAGGTTATTTAATTTCCACATATTTGCATGGTTTTGAAGGTTCCTTTTGGAGTTGATTTCCAGTTTTATTCCACTGTGGTCTGAGAGAGTGCTTGATATAATTTCAATTTTCTTGAGTTTATTGAAGCTAGTTTCGTGGCCTATCATATGGTCTATCTTGGAGAAAGTTCCATGCACTGTTGAATAGACTGTCTAGTCTGTGGTTGTTGGGTAGAATGTTCTGTAAACATCTGTTAAGTTCATTTGTTCAAGGGTATAGTTTAAATCTATTGTTTCTTTGTTGACTTTCTGTCTTGATGACCTGTTTAGTGCTGTCAGTGGAGTATTGAAGTCCCCCACTATTATTGTGTTGCTGTCTATCTCATTTCTTAGGCCTATTACTAATTGTTGTATAAATTTGGAAGCCCCAGTGTTAGGTGCATATATTTTTAGGATTGTGATATTTTCCTGTTGGCCTTGTGCCTATTATTAATTATTGTTACAGCTACTGAATTGCTTCTAGTAACAAAGTATCCATGTTTGTGAATTACTTACTCCCTCTTTTCTTTATTGAAAACTTTGAGCAGATTCAAGTTAACCTTATACTAGGTGCATTCCCACCTGCATTGGGAGGAACACTGCAGGAGGAAAGTGTGGACACAGAGAGAGGAACCTGGAGCTGCAGCTCTCTCCACCCTCCCTGAACTGCCACTCCTGATGATCCGGGAGAAACTCAGCACTTTCATAGAATAACAGAGCTGTGTTTTTTTCTAACTACAAATGGGGTCACGGTTTTTTCACAGTCTGAATCCCACCATGGTAGAGTGCTGGACAACTGAAAGTCCTCTGTTGTATGTATTGCAGAAAAAACACAGCCGGAAATCATTGATTTAGTCCAAAGTTAAGCAGCCCTGAGAGTGGACAGGATCCAAGCGGATGGTCATTCTGGATCTGCATGAGGGCAGGAAAAGGTGACAGAGAAGAAGGAAAGAGGGACAGGACACAGGACAGGAGCCAGAGGGCACCACATATGGGATGTGGACAGCCCTGGGGCTCAGGTTAGAACTGGGATTGAGGTCTGGCACAGTGGCTCATGCCTGTAATCCTGGCACTTTGGGAGGCCGAGGCAGGCAGATCACCTGAGGTCAGGAGTTTGAGACCTGCCTGACCAACATGGTGAAACCCTGTCTCTACTAAAAATATAAAAACTGGCTTGACGTGGTGTTGTGTGCCTATAATCCCAGCTACCTGGGAAGCTGAGGCAGTAGAATTGCTTGAAACCGAGACGCACAGGTTGCAGTGATCCAGGATCATGCCATTGCACTCCAGCCTGGGCAACAAGAGTGAAACTCTGTCAAAAAAATAAAAATAAAAATAAAAAAGAACTGGGATTAGGCTGGGGTTAGAGCCAGGGCTAGGGTCTAGGTTCATTTTAAAGCCATGGTTCTCAGCTTGGGTTACATTACAGTCACCTGGGGGACATATTAAATACCTGGGATCCACCCCTTGGAGACTGTGATTCAACTGGTGAAGTCTGGGCATGAGTCTTTGTTAAAAGCCTGCGGGATTGAGAACCCATGAAGAAGATGTGAAGAGATCCATGCAAGAAGCAAGCGGCGGAGACCACATTCAGAATGAAGAGTCATCCATCCTTCCATTCAGTCCTCTCCTGAGCAAAATTTTTGCCCCCTGATATCAGAGGGCCCAAGCCAATTCCAGAATAATGCAGTAGTAAGTACTCAAACCAGGGAACTTAAGTTCCCTTTGATTTATTTAATTAAGTCAAGAAAAAAAGGCAGGGTTGGGCCCAGGTCTTAGTTGGAACACGCTTCCAGTAGCACTCATTCAGAGAAGGATGCAGCTTAGACACAGACCTGGTTGATGTCAGGCCTGGATACATAATTGATTTCTGTCTTTGTGCCTCTTTCTCTCATAACAGGGCTGTTGTTAGGACAGGCTGGCACCCCTAGAAAGCTCCAGTTGGCTTGCGCAGATGGCTTCCCTCCACTTCCAGTGGGAAATTGACCTTTGGAAAGACAGGGTTTCAGTCTTGAAGAAGATTTTTAGCTCCCCAATGAAAATTCTCAATACTATATAAAGAGACAAATATTTATATATGTGTATGCACATACATATATATTAACTTTCAATCACACTTAACATTGATGGAAATCCTTAGCAATTAGTGTCTAAGAAAACATCCTCTGTTAAGGCTGTAACTGACTGTGTTGGTTGCCCTGCTCCTCTACCCATATAAATAGCTCCAACCAATCAAACAGAAACTCTAAAATTAAGCATAAAAATGCAACATCAACTGCCAATTTAATAGTATTTCCTGGAAAGTGAGTAGATACATATGGTCCCATTTTGCAGATGAGGACATTTAGCTGCCATAGGTTAATTGATTCATTTACAAGGTTGAACTGATCTCAAAGTCTATACAGCCCCTACCTCTGGCTTTAGGCAAATGTTTGTTTCAATTTTAGGAAGAAGGTCAACTTTAAGGGTACCATAAAAGGAAAAAAACGACTGAGAAAACATGGTTGCTCCCAGTCTCCTGTGTCAGTCTAGCTCCTGATGGGCACCAGGCTGCAATGAAGTTGGCACAAGATCAAGATTACAAAGGCAGAAACATGAATTGCCTACCTCATTCCTCCCACGTGCCCATGATGCAAACAGGGTCTGCACCCAAGCCCCAACCCCATTTCCACCTGTGCCCAGCCTGGCAGTGTCTGGCAACAAGTCACCACATATTGATCTCTCTTAACTGATATTAATGAATCATAGGGTACTTCCTATGTGGCAAGGGCCACAGGAAGTCTCTCGTTAATTTATTTATTCATTTATTCAACAAATATTTACTGAGCAGCTACTACTTTCCAGGCATCGTTCTGGGAACTTTTTGTGCATGACTTAATGGAATTCTCATTTAGAAAAAGAAAACCCTGGCCAGGAAATGTGGCTCACACCTGTAATTCCAACACTTTGGGAGGCCAAGGTGGGAAGATCTCTTGAGCCCAAGAGTTCAAGACCAGTCTGGGCAACACAGCAAGTCCCTGTCTCCACAAGAAATTAAAAAATTAGCCAGGAGTAGTCATCTGTCATCGTCTGTCTCAGCCGATGTCATCGTCTATCTTAGAGGATCCTCCTGCCTCAGCCTGCTGAGTAGCTGAGACTACAAGTGTGCACCACCATGCCTGGCTAATTTTTAATTTTTTTTTTGTTGTAGACACAGGGGTCTCACTATGTTGCCCAGGCTGGTCTCCAATTACTTTGACCTCTTATTGCTAGACACTGTACTAAATATTTTGCATCATTTAATGCTCCCCTCAATGCTATGAGGTTGCACAGATGTTATCCCCATTCTCCAGATGGGAAAACTGAGGCTCAAGAGTTTGTAATCCCAGCTACTTGGGAGACTGAGGTGAAAGGATCGCTTGAGCCCAGGAGTTTGAGGCTGCAGTGAACTACGATCATACCACAGCACCCCAGCCTAGGCAACAGAGCAAGACCCTTTCTCTAAAAACAAAACAACACAAAACAAACAAAAACCTGAGGTAGGGATTGTTATCAGGTTCATTTCACAGTTAGGGAGATGAATGCTGATGCAGATTGTGGCTTGCAGGAAACAGCACCAGAAAGCAGCAGCGTTCACACTCATATCCACCTTTATCCTAAGTCCCCAGACCTAACTAATGCCTTCTCAGTGTCACCCAAAGCCTAGGTCTTCCCTTATTCCATGGGATAACTGCACACAAAACCAGGATCTTCCAGCTGCAGATAGAGCAGCTCAGCAATTCCCAGCCTTAATTACAGGAAGGGCGGGGACTCCTGCATGTCCAGGGAGGAAAAGACCTAATTATAATTGTCTAACGAGAAACCACTACATCCTATGGAGACAGACGATGACAGAGACAGGGGGACAACGAGGAGTGAAGGAAAAGACAAAAATAGAGGCAAGAGACAGGGAGGGGAGAGATGAAGAATGAAAGAGAAAGAAGAGGGGATAAGGGATGGAAGAAATGAGCAAGCAGAGAGAGAGGGGAAGAGGAGGGAGCAGCAGCAAGAAACACAGGGGAGGGGGAGAGAGAAAAACCAAGAAGACAGAAAAAGTGGAGAAACAGACCCAGAAAACCAGAGGGGAGGAGGCAAGAGGCAGGCATGAGGGAAAACACAGGAGGCAGACAGCAAGAGAGGAGAGGGAGAGGGAGAGGGAGAATAGGAGCCATGCGCCCCCCAGCACACACACACAGACACAGACACACACACACACACACTCTCCTGTGGTTGGTTGTGTTTTGTGCATGTTCCTCTGAAGAGACCCTGGGAGCAGCCATCCCTGCAGCACCGCCCTCGTGCTCAGCCAGGGCGAAGGACATGCCTATCAGACAGGCGCTCTGTAAAGGAGCTAGTTCCCAAGGTAAAACTGATTTTATATGTTTGTTTGTTCTGACCTTGACTGTTCCCCATTGGGATGCCTCAGAAGCAGCATTGAATATAGGAGGAGATATGAATGTGTCTGTGCTGTGGCTGGATCAGGGCAGCTCCAGGCAGGAAATGCCACAGGCTCTGAGCCAGCAGGTGGACCTGTGAGCCTCACCGTCCAAGGGGCAGAGTTGGCTCAAAGGACCACAGGCTGTGATGCACCTGGGGCTACCAGAGTCATGAGGCATGTTTGAGGCCAGGAATGTCGACCCAAGGAGAAGAGAATGCGCATCAGAAAAGATGGAAGAGAAATGGAAAAACCAACATGGCTAAGAGGCTGATCCCAGAGGTGCAATAACCTAGGGAATCTGGCTAACAGTGCTTCATCATGATCATGATCATGATCATCATCATCTCTCTACTTTAACCTCCTTTTTTCTTTTATTTTGGTGAGGTCTTGCTCTGTTTCCTAGGCTGTAGTGTGGTGGCATGATCTCGGCTTACTGCAACCTCTGCCTCCCAGGTTCAAGCAATTCTCCTGCCTCAGCCTCCCAAGTAGCTGGGATTACAGGTGCGCACAACCACTCCTACCTATTTTTTGTATTTTTAGTAAAGACGGGTTTCCACCCTGTTGGCTGGTCTCAAACTCCTGACCTCAAATGATCCACCCACCTTGGCTTTCCAGGGTGCTGGGATTACAGGTGTGAGCCACCATGCCTGGCCTATTTTAAACCCTTAAAAAATGTAATTTTTTTTTTTATAGATAAGGTCTCACTCTGTTGCCCAGGCTAAAGTGCATGATCTGTTTAGCCCAGGCTAAAGTGCATAATCTCACTCTGTTGCCCAGGCTAAAGGCATGATCACAGCTCACTGAAACCCCAAACTCCTGGGCTTAAGTAATCCTCCAATCTCAGCCTCCTGAGTAGCTGAGAAAACAGGTGCCCACCATCATGCCTGGCTAATTTTTAAATTTTTTGTAGAGACAGTGGTCTCACTAAGTTGCCCAGGTTGGTCTCCAACTATTTTGCCTCTTAATGCTAGACACCGTACTAAATATTTTACATCATTTAACCCATACATCAATGATATGAGGTTGCACAGATGTTATCCCCATTCTCCAGGTGAGAAAACTGAGGCTCAGGAAGCCTTCTCCCAAGGTCCCCAAACTAGTAAATAATACCATGGATCTTGAACTCAAATCTTCCTGATGCCTATGCCTATCCTTGCAACAGCTCTCCCTCGGCTCTCTCAGATTCCCAAATATCCAGTCAGGGGCAGCAAAGTTCCATCCACGCAGCAGAATTTGGGTCAGATGTCATGGGCATCCAAGGCTGCCTGGGTAGGGGTGGTGAGGCCAGGCTGAAAAGATTCTCAAATCCCCTCAGGAGTGCAGAGGGGATGTAGTTCGGGTGGTCTGTTTATTCCCAGAGGACTCCAGTCTGTGGTTTTCGAATAGTCCTGGGGGCAGGGCTGAAGTCTGTAGGGAGGAGATGGTTCCTTTCAGGCAAGTGTCAGGGCACAGGCAAGGAGAGCCAGGAGGGAAAGAGAGGCACACATTTAACTGTACAGAAGTGGCAGAGAGGTAGACAGAGGCCATGCCCCAGGGTACTCAGAGGCTGTTAGGCTCACATGCAGGCAGCTCTGTGGCAGCAAGACTTCATCTAGTAGCCTGTCTCCAAATGGGATCCACCTGCCTGGTCAGATGGGCTCAGGAGCTGGGCAGGGCCAGGCCTGCAGAAGGTCTTGGGGACTGAAGCTGGCAGAGGCCAGGGAAGGGCAGAGCAAAGAGACCAGAGTCAGTCAACCCATATGGGAAATGGCTCCTCTTTGTCCAACATCAAAACCTCTAAGGACATAACTCCCTTGTACAGTAACAATCATATTTAAGTAAGTCATAATCTAATATATTAAGAACCATATGAGATGGCCTTGCTGAGAGCTGAGGAGACTCAGGGGAAGGAACTCATGCCTGAGGAACTGAAAGAAGTCTTTCAATAGCTGGGAAGAGAAGAAGGAAGGCACCCAAGACAGGGAGCTCACGGAGGCCTAAACGGATGTTGTATTTTCAGGGAAGTTGGGTGTAGCTACACCTCTTGGGAGAAGGAAGGGTTAGAGGGGGAAGTAAGGAAGGAGAAAACCAGAAACGTGGGTTGGGCATAGATTGTGAAGATCCACTTATACTGTGAGTGGTGTCTTGAGGGCTTATGTGAAATGCACAGTGCTCACGAAAAGACGAACACACATAAGCACTTGGCATGCAGCATTCCATAATCTAGGTAGCATTCTTACCCTCTGTTGACCAAGGGAATTGCCACGATATTCACTCAAGGAGATAATGACAACATTTAAAGAATAGGGATTTATCTGTCCCTTAAATTCATCTCTTTGTTTTATAATCTCAAGTCACACCTTCCATGTGAGAAATAAAAATACAATTCTAAGCTCCCCAACCAACTGAACAGAAATCCCCTTGGCCAATGGGATACCAGCAAAGCCTTAAAAACTGAGTTCCAAGGCAGAGTGTGGTGTCTCATGCCTGTAATTCTAGCAATTTGGGAGGCCGAGGCAGGAGGATTACTTAAGGCCAGGAGTTTGAGAACAGCCTGGACAACATAGCAAGACCCCATCTCTACACAAAAATAAAATACATTAACCAGGCTGGTAGCATGCACTTATAGTCCCAACTACTGGAGAGGCCTAGGTGGGAGGATCACTCGAGCCCAGGAGTTGGAAGCTGCAATGATCCATGATTGCACCACTGCATTCCAGCTGGGCACACAGAAAGACACTGTCTCTGAAAAGAAAAAGAAAAATGGATTTTCTATCTACAATGAGATGGGAAGTTGGAGTTAGACATGCCTCAATTTACCCCCTCCCTCACTAACTGCCATTAGGATTTCTTTCCTAAGAGTAAAACAAAAACCAGCCCCTTTGAAAGACTTGTTCCACTGCTGATTTACACAGCAACTGACCAGCATTCCTTCCTGAGAAGAGACCACCATGGGCTGGTTCTAATTTACAGAGCCTGCACACAGGATACCGCTGTGTTCTCTGTTTCACCTTTTGACAAATAAAGCCTAAGTTTAATGTATTTAAATGTTAAATCTCCACTTCAACATGAACAAGGGACTTATGTAATGGGTATGTTTGCTTACTATGGATTGGTGCACACACCCTCATCACGAATGTTCATAGCCTCTCCAATAACCTCTTAAATATATATGCTTAGCCAACCCATTTGGCATAAATTTCTGTTGCAGTCTTTTCTCCTTCAAAGTGCTGGCCTTGGTTTCTACCAGAGGCTATGCTTCCCAGTGTGCGGAATGGCCACCATGCAGGCTGTAACCCTTTATCAGAAATAAAACCCTCCTCCCCAAATTTATGAACCTCATGGTTCTTCAGTTGACACATGTTGATTTATAATTTAGGTTACCCCTGTATCTAACATTCTTTAAACATTCCACATTTATCCCATTTATAGGTCCAAATGGAAGCAGGATTTAGAAGCAATATACTAGGAATAGCACCTATAATATTGAAGCTTAGAGATACTTTTAAAAGGATTTTGGAAACCTTTCTCCTTCATGCATCAATGTATCCATGGAGCCAAAGATGAGATATTTAGGATGGTGGAGGGCAAGAGAGGAAAGGACATCACCTTTTACATTAGGAAAATAGCCAGACTCCTACTGGAATTAGGTAGCCCAGATATGAGGGGAGGCCTTTGAGAGATTTCAGGGTGTTTTCTGAATACACAAGGATAAAAAGCAGATGTTTAGAGAATTCTTAATCTTGTTGATGCAAACGTTATTTCACTGATGATCTCAAAAACATTGGAAATTGTATGGAAGGAGAAAAGGAAGGCATTAGAGACATCTCTCACCTCATGGTCTCTCAGGGAACATGAATTTGAGGCAGCAGATCTAATCTGAAGAAATGCACAAACTAGATAGAGATAAATAGCAAGTCTGGATGGCATTGCCTAAGTGTTTTGAAAGAACTCAAGGTTGAAATTGGGGACGTGTTGGCCAAAATGTGGAATGGATCTTTACAAATGGCTGCTCTGATGAGAATTGGAGCAGGCACTGGCCTGAGCTGCCCAAGACGACACGTGGGAGCCCTAGGTCAGTGAAAGAAGTCTTGTTTCCCTGCAGGTCATATCAGCCCTCTAGGGCAGAGAGAGAAATCAATGGAACAGTTCTGCCATTATAAACTGCATCATTACAGGGTTATACCCTTCTGATTCCTCCAAGGGCATTCTAGCCTGGTTCATTCAATCACGTGAAGTGAGTTGTTCAAAGGATAGTTGACTTAACTCCCTCACCAAAGACTCTTAGGTCAAGAGAAACTAGTTTGGAGATTGAAGGGAAAGGTTTAACCAGGACTTCAGATGGGCTACAGATTTTTTTTAAGTCCTTATGCTTTTATTTCTACAAATGGGAATGTTGCTTTTAAATTAATTGTAAACACGGGAATCCCTGCAGTCAACTTGCAGACTCTATGACAGTTTGCCTTTGCTTCCTTTTGGTCACCTTCCCCCAAGCTTCAGGACTCTCTTGCAGGCACTTCACTGTCCCAGATCTGGACATTTTAACAGGAGCCCTTCACTCGCGGGTTGTTCAAAGCACCGACTAAAAGAAGCCCTCCTGCAGTGGCGTTCATTTCAAGGGTTTCTCAGAATTTCTTTATTTGATCCCAATTTTCTTCCTATTAAAATTTACTTCTCTTCTACCACTCCTTCTCAATGAGGATCTCTCAGCCAACTATCTACTCATTTGCATCAGGCCACTGCTGAAATATGTATGTTTGGATGCACCTTCTAACATGGAGCCTTCACAAAACTGGATCTTCCAAAAGGGGACAACAAAGGTGGAGAAGCATTGAAAGCCATGGGAAATTGAGAGAATCAGAAATGTTTGGCAGAGGTAAAAGAGAATGAGATCTCTCTTTGCAGAAGAGACAGTTTGAAAATGGGGCAAATGAGAGGAGCCTAAATTTAACATTCATTCAAAGTTTTATTGAACACCTACTATGAGGCAACATCCTTCAAGGTATTAGAGAGACAACAGTGAATAAGACAAAAAGGACCTTAGTCTCAAGGACATTGCATTCTAGTGAAGAAAAAAAGAGAAAAATAAACAAATGAAAATTACATATATATATATATAAAATAAAATAAAATAGAGCAATGTGATCAAAAGTGCAAGGTGGGAGGTAATTTACATTGGCTGATTGATGAAGACTTGGAGTATCACTTTATGAAGAACCAAACTCTTCAGTGAATTAATTGTAGACAGGAGTAGGTTCCTGAGACTTCAGATGCA
Organism: Homo sapiens; assembly: GCF_000001405.40. Taxonomy (NCBI): domain Eukaryota; kingdom Metazoa; phylum Chordata; class Mammalia; order Primates; family Hominidae; genus Homo; species Homo sapiens. The sequence continues at coordinate 26,630,027 of NC_000016.10, forward strand.
TAAAATATTTAAAAGTAGGAGTTTGGCCAAAAAGATGTCCTGAAGTTTAGTGCATTAATGAATGACTTAAGCATCAGCACATCTAAGAGAGGCCTAGAAGGAAATGCAGTCTTCATCCAGTTACAAAACCATGGTCAGTGAAAAACTAGAGAGATATAGTCATGGTATCTTTTGGGAATATATCCCATGTCAGCTTAGAAGTTAAGGAGAGCACTGTTTAACAATTTTCTTCTTTATAGGAAATAATTGATATTAACAATTGAGATTATTACTTCTTGTTCTTAAGCAATCTATGCTGATATCTCTGTTTCACTTCCAAATATAGGCTGCATATCTAACAAAGAAAAGAAAATTAAATCATCTCTCTAACTCCTATTGAGTTCTTTTGTTGTATGTGTTTCAACCAGACTCTCCAAACTGTTCTGTGAAAGAATAATTACAAACAAACCCTACGTATTTGAAAGAAATAAAGATGTAATTGCATGCCAGCATGATCCCATAATTTCTGCACTGAGAAAAGCAAATAAAGGGTATCTGCTCACTCTTTTGGTATGGTCAATATTGCTCAGTCAGTCAGGCTCAGCTGGGGGTCTCGGGTTATTCTGCTAACATTTGCTCCATCAAGCAAATAAGTAACAGAGTCTAGGACTGGCCATATAGTTAAAGAACCTACCGTCAAGCAGTAGTAGTGTTAGAAATTGCTTGATGGTTTTATTAGTCTGTTTTCATGCTGTGATACAGACACACCCAAGACTGGGTAATTTATAAAGAAAAAGAGGTTTGATTGACTCACAGTTCCACATGGCTGGGGAGGCCTCAAAATCATGGTGGAAGGCTAAAGGACATCTTACATGGTAGCAGACAAGAGAGAATCAGGACCAAGCAAAAAGAGTTTCCCCTTGTAAAGCTATCAGATCTTGTGAGACTTATTCACTACCACGAGAACAGTATGAGGGAAATTGCCCCCATGATTTAATTATTTCTTACCAACTCCCTCCCACTTATGGGAGCTACAATTCAAGATGAAATTTGGATGGGGACACAGCCAACCATATCATTCTGCCCCTGGCCCCTCCCAAATCTCATGTCCTCACATTTGAAACCAATAATGTCTCTTCCCAACAGTCCCCCAAAGTCTTAACTCATTTCAGCATTAACTCAAAAGTCCACAGTCCAAAGTCTCATCTGAGACAAGGCAAGGCCCTTCTGCCTATGAGCCTGTAAAATCAAAAGCAAATTAGTTCCTTCCTAGATACAGTGGGGGTAAAGGTGTTGGATAAATACAGCTGTTCCAAATGGGAGAAATTAGCCAAAAGAAAGGGGCAACAGGCTCCATGCAAGTCTGAAATCCAATAGGGCAGTCATTAAACTTTGAAGTTTTGAAATGATCCCTTTGACTCCATCTCTCATATCCAGGGCATGCTGATGCAAGAGGTGGGCTCCCATGGCCTTGGGCAGCTCTGCCCCTGTGGCTTTACAGGGTACAGTCCTACTCCTGTCTGCTTTCATGGGCTGGTGTTGAGTGTCTGTGACTTTTCCAGGTGCACAGTGCAGGCTGTCAGTGAATCTACCATTCTGGGGTCTGGAAGGCCATGGTCCTCTTCTCACAGCTCCATTAGGCAGTGCTCCAGTGGGAACTCTGTGTGGGAACTCACACCCCACATTTCCTTTCTGCACTGCCCTAGCAGAGGTTCTCCATGAAGGCCCCACCCCTGCAGCAAACTTCTGCCTGGACATCCAGGCATTTTTATACATCCTCTGAAATCTAGGCAGAGGTTCCCAAACCTCAGTTCTTGACTTCTGTGCACCCACAGGCTCAACATCACATGGAAGCTGCCAAGGCTTGAGGCTTGCACCCTCTGAAGCCATGGCCGAAGCTGAACCTTGGCCCCTTTTAGACATGGCTAGAACGGAGGGACACAGGGCACCAAGTCCCTAGGCTGCACACAGCGGGGGTTTCCTGGGCCCAGCCCATTAAACCATTTTTAACTCCTAAGCCTCTGGGTCTGTAATGGAAGGGGCTGCTACAAAGGTCTCTGACATGCCTTGGAGACATTTTCCCCATTGTCTTGGTGATTAACATTTGGCTCCTCATTACGTTTGCAAATTTTTGCAGCAGACTTGAATTTCTCATCGGAAAATTGGGTTTTTCTTTTCTATCACGTCGTCAGGCTGCAAATTTTCCAAACTTTTATGCTCTGTTTCCCTTTTAAAACTAAATGCTTTTAACAGCACCCAAGTCACTCTTGAATGCTTTGCTGCTTAGAAATTTCTTCTGCCCGATAACCTAAATTATCTCCCTTAAGTTCAAAACTCCACAAATCTCTCGGGCGGGAGCAAAATGACATCAGTGTCTTTGTTAAAACACAGCAAGAGTCACCTTTTAGTCAAGTTCCCAACAAGTTCCTCATCTCCATCTGAGAGCACCTCAGGCTGGATTTCATTGTCCATATCATTATCAGCATTTTGGTTAAAGTCATTCGACCAGTCTCTACAAAGTTCTAAACTTTCCCACATCTTCCTGTCTTCTGAGCCCGCCAAGTTTCTAGGAAGTTCCAAACTTTCCCACATTTTCCTATCTTCTTCTGAGCCTTCCAAGCCGTTCCAACATTTGCCTGTTACCCAGCTCCGAAGCCACTTCCCCATTTTCAGGTATCTTTACAGCAGCGCCCCACTCTCTCATTACCAATTTACTGCATTAGTCCATGTTCATGCTGTTGAAAAAGATATACCTGAGACTGGGTCATTTATAAATAAAAATAAGTTTAATTGACTCACAGTTCCACGTGGCTGGGGAGGCCTCATAATCATGGTAGAAGGCAAAAGTCATGTCTTACATGGCAGCAGACAAGAAAGAATCAGGACCAAGTGAAAGGGGTTTCCCTTTATAAAACTATCAGATCTCGTGAGACCCATTCAATACCATGAGAACAGCATGAGGGAAACTTCCCCCATGATTTAATTATCTCATACTGGGTCCCTCCCACAACATGTTGGAATTATGGGAGCTATAATTCAAGATGAGGTTTGGGTGGGGACACAGCCATCCATATCAACAGTGCAGATGGTAAAGAAAAAAGGTAGAATTGAACCCTTTGACAAGTCTCTGTCTCTTAATGACCTGTAATTTCCATTTTACCATCATTCAAAATAATACAGCTATGGTCTGGTATAGATGAACAAGAAATCACAAATTTGATAGACTCTAAAGTAAGACAAGAGACAGGCTCAGTGACAATTTTACCAATAAAACACCCAAAGTGAGATGAACTTTTAAAAATTCTCCCATTGTCCTTAACACCACATGAGGCAAAAATTTACAAATGGAATGTAATTAAAACCGCATCTTCTTTGACCAATTTCAAGAAAATATTCTCCAAGGCATGCTGGAATTATGGAACATTGAGCAAGACTGTCTGGGTGCCAGAAGCTGTTATTGGAAATATAGAATAAACTTGAGGGTAACAGGCAGTTGCAGGAACCCCCAAACATTAATTTTAGTCACAGTTGGCTGCATCGTATCAACCTATAAACACCTCTCCACTTTCAATTAACATTGCTCTGTCTCCTGTCTCGCTGAATATTATATTTAACTAATTTAAGAGGATTGGTAAAGACAGTTTTCACACTTCACAGGAAAACATAATGAAATAATTATACCTCTACCTACAAAAGGCATGAGAACATTACATAAGCAGCTTCAAGGCTTTCCAACTAAAACCTCTTTCCTGTGTCTTCTGTTTGAGATTTAGTGTCTGAGCTTTCACTTAGATATACTCCATTTTTACATCCTTGTGCATGCACGTTGCAAAACGTTTGATTACTTCTGGGGATTGCTCTTCTGGCATCTTCTTTGGTTACTCAGTATATTGGCCATGATACATCAGGTGGGGTTAGACACATGGCAGGCTGGGACCCCAGCCACATGTGTTGGTGGAGAAGAATGAAATCTGGGATTTGGGACTGGGAAAAGAAATTCATTAGACTGTTCTCAACATAGGTGTGACCTGTGGGACAAGGTATAATGTTAGCATTCTTGTCTAGTGTATCAGTCAGCTATTGACACAACAATGCTGCATAACCAACCATCTTAAAACTTGTGTGCTACAAACACAGCATTTATTCTCATGCTTATGGGTTTTATAGACCAATGGTGGCTCAAAGGAATCTGTCAAGTGGCAGGTTGCCTGAGCTTGCATCCAAGCCATCAACTGGGTTCAGGTCTGATCCATGTTCTCAGGCCTGGGCTGAAAGGGCAGGGAGTGCTCAGTAGATGGGTATCACAAAAACTGCAGAGCCAAGCCAAACCATGCCAGCATATTTAAGGCCTCTACTTACATTGTGTCTGTCAATATTCCTTTGGCCAAAGAAGTCACATGGCCAGGCCAAAAATCTAGGGAAAGAGGAGCATGTATCATTCTCAGTGGGAGCTATAAGGTAGTACATATTTGCAGAATAATCAATAATCCTATCCATCAGAGTCATGAAAGGACAATCCAATGGGGAGGGTTAGCAGTGAGTAAAGAGATAAAGAGTATTCAAAATCAAGCCAAGCTCTGGGAGAAAGGTCATGTATCACCAAAATAGAGTGCCATGGCCCCAGCCATCCAGAGGGGAGTTTAACATTGACTTGGGAGATGGAGCATCAGGAAAACAGGAAGAAACCCAGACTTCAAGGTGCAACGTAATGAGCAGAAAGCCAAGTTCACAACAAAATTAATGTACAACCCATGTTGGGTTGAGCTGAGCTGATGAGGTGTTCCCTGACCTGGCAGCACTACCTCAGGCTCTAGCCAGGGGGATTCTGCAAAGGAGGCCTCACTGGTACCACCTGAGTGGAGTTTGGGAAGCTGGTAGATATTTAGTACAACATACTCCATATCTATGGCACCCTCGGAAAGCCTACATGGGATGCAGCAAGATGTTAAGATGGGATTGTTTAGTTTTGTTTTGTTTTGCTTTGTGCTTTGAACTGGGTTCCTCAAGCATTTAAATCATTGTTCAGAATGCAGAAATCACAAAAAGCTACAAGAGTAACATGAGCAGCCAGAGAAGAGGTCAGATCCCATACAAGCCTGGTTATGGAAAGCCAAAAGTTTCTAGTTAAAAAACGTTTAAAACCTAATCTACCACATTTTCTTAATCCAGTCTATCATTGTTGGACATTTGGGTTGGTTCCAAGTCTTTGCTATTGTGAATAGTGCCACAATAAACATACGTGTGCATGTGTCTTTATAGCAGCATGATTTACAGTCCTTTGGGTATATACCCAGTAATGGGATACTATGCAGCCATAAAAAATGATAAGTTCATGTCCTTTGTAGGGACATGGATGAAATTGGAAATCATCATTCTCAGTAAACTATCACAAGAACAAAAAACCAAACACCACATATTCTCACTCATAGGTGGGAACTGAACAATGGGAACACATGGACATAGGAGGGGAAACATCACACTCTAGGGACTGTTGTGGGGTGGGGGGAGGGGGGAGGGATAGCATTGGGAGATATATCTAATGCTAGATGACGAGTTAGTGGGTGCAGCGCACCAGAATGTCACATGTATACGTAGGTAACTAACCTGCACATTGTGCACATGTACCCTAAAACTTATAGTATAATAATAATAAAAAAAAAAAACCTAATCTGCATTACCATTGCTGAGGGTAATGCAGCAGGCATAATGGCTGCTTACCATTGCAGCAGGCATAATGACTGCCCCCCAGCAAGTAAGGGACTCTTCTCGCCTCTATGTTGCACAGAAGATAATGTGGCCAACGATTCTGATTCTGTAAATCAGTGCTCAGGATAAGAGGCATCAAAGAATAAAATAGAGCTAAACAATGATTTACAAACATCCAAGAAAGTTTTGACATAATTACAGTTAACGTAGAGAGATAAGGCTATGAAATCAAAGTGTTTATAGTCGAGTATTATGTAAATAGTAGGGCAAAAATAATCCAGTGTTAAGAAAATTGATGTTCCTTCAGTAGAGAAGCCAATAAACACAAAAGGAAAAAGAAACACAAATATATTAGAAGAAAAATATCTGAGTCTATTTTGTGTTGCTATAAAAGAATACCTGAGTCTGGGTAATTTATAAAGGAAAGATGTTATTTTGGTTCACAGTTCCATAGGCTGTACAAGAAGCACAGTGCCTGCATTTGCTTGGTCTCTGGTGAGGACCTCAGGCTGCTTCCAATCATGGCAGAAGCTGGCAGGGAGCTGCCATGTGCAGAAATCACATGTCGAGAGAGGAAGCAAGAGAGAAGGAAGCAAGAGAGAAGGAAGCAAGGTACCAGGCTTTTTAAAACAACCAGCTGTCTTGGGAACAGAGTGAGAACTCACTCACCCCTGAGGAATGGAATTAATCTCTTCATGAGAGTCCCATGACTCAAACACCTCCTATTATGCCTCACTTCCAACACTGGGGATTAAATTTCAACATGAGATTTGGAAGAGATGAGCATCTAAACCATAGCAAAGAATTTCTCAAAATCAGAATTAAAAAAAAAATCTACAGAATGAAAGCACATTTTATCTTCCAGGAAGAGTTAGTACAGAGCAGAAAAGGCACAGTACAGTAAACGCACTTGAAAAATACAGAAAAATTTTACCCTATAGGCAACAGAAGGCAAGTCATGTATAAGAAGAAAAGTCAAGGTGGCTTCAGACTTTTCCATCACAGCATTAAACATCCAGGAGAAAATGCAGCAATAATCACACAAATCTGAGGTGAAGGAACTAAAATTCTAAAACATTCTATCATGCCATTCAGCATAAAAACAACGTGGCAAACATTCTCAAAGATGAAATAAATCAGAGCTAATAGCACACCTGAGCTTATCTAGAGCAGTTATATAATAATACATCTTGCCAGCTACAAAAAAAAAAAAAAAAAAAAAGAACTGAGGGAATGAAGAACTTTGGCAAACAGCCTTAAAGTAGAGTCCATTTAATTATAGATTCTGGATTCGGTAACTAGGGTTTCAGTGTTCCAAGAACAAAGCATAAGTTACTAAATGGTGATGAAGTAAAAGTGAAGATATAATCCACACATCAAGAGGGTTGGGGATATTAGGTTGGATATGGGAGCGTGAATATCTTTTCATGCATCATTCATACTGTCCAAAATTAAAATATGAAGTTAAAAAAATTAACTTCTACCTCTGCCAAATTTTTTTTCTTAACCTTAGAGGGCTCTTATAAAGAATAATACAATTTGTGGTAAAGAATTACATTTTAGCAAGTTCTTCTGTTTTACTTCAATTGCTTTTTCTTCCATTTAGTTCAGGAAAATTTAATTTAATAACTTTTATTGAAACAGCAAATATATTATAATTATATTTGTTGCCACACCTCTCCCTGTCTGTCTTTCTGTGTATATACTAAAAAGCTGTTTGGAATAATATACACTCCATGTTGACAATGGCTATTTTTAGTTTGTAAGATTTTCAAGGCGATTTATTTTACTTCTTCCTACTTGAGTACCATTTGAATTACTTATAATGAGCAGGTATCGTTTTAAACATACAGTCATTATTTTAAAAATCAAAGAATCCAAACCAACATCTTTATATAAAGTGCTTTTTCTGGGAAAACAGAGAAAGCAAAACTGGGTAAGCAGAATTATTTATCTAATGTCAACACTCCAAGACTGATTTCTGCCCAGATGTGTTATGTGTTTTAGGACAGCAGGGCAGGGAGCTCTGGAAAGAAAAATGAGAGCTCTGAGCCTCCTAGAAAAGAAAAGACTTTCACAAGGAAATGAGGAAGAAATTAAAAGCAATAAAATGCTAAAATATATTGAGTATTTCTATGAACCAGATACTGTGCTAAGAACTATACATTGATTTTCTAACTTAATTATAACCATAATCCTGCTAAATAGGCACTGTTATTACTCATAATATTCTGCATAAGGAGATTGAGACTATGCATTAGGAGACTGCCCAAGGCCACCCCACAGGTGGCAGAGCTGATACTCTGACTTCAAATCCGAGTTTTTAACCTTTCTAAAAACTCAATTTCTAAAACCCAATTTCTAAAAGAAAGCACAGAATCTAGGACTTGAGCTGCCTGAGCTTCCTGAAGGCTGTTAATCTCATACAAATGGTCACAGAACTTACCCTACACTGAACCAAGGTCATGTCTGCTCATAAATGTGTTTCCCAATGGGATGATTTCCAGACACAGCCATCAAAAGTTGGCCAGTGCTTAGCCGGGCGTGTTGGTGGGTGCCTGTGGTCCCAGCTACTCGGAGGCTGAGGCAGGAGAATGGCGTGAACCCGGGAGGCGGAGCTTGCAGTGAGCCAAGATTGTGCCACTGCACTCCAGCCTGGGCGACAGAGCGAGACTCCGTCTCAAAAAAAAAAAAAAAAAAGTTGGCCAATGCTCAGACAACTTCAACTTTAGAGTGCATGATTATCTCAGAATAAAAAAAAATAACCACCCCTCCTGATCACTGTGTGCTGCCATGGTGCTTTCATTGTCAGGAGGCCTTGCTTTAGGTTCTAAAGTTCTCTGTGTGTAGAAGTCTGGAGCTCGGTTGTCCCCTCATCCCCAGAAGCAGCTATGCAAAGCCTATGCAAAGCTTCCATGAGTAAGCAGCAATCTGCCGTTCAGAAATCTGGGGTGCAATCTTTCCAGCAGCAGCATGGACCAACAGAACTGCCCACCAAGCCCAGATAATCAGGCCTTCTGGGAAATTCTCTGTAGTGGGTTAAATGGTAACCACACCCCCAACTGCAACAAAAGAAAGATATGTCCACCTGGAACAGTGAAATATGATCTTATTTGGGAAAAGAGACTTTGCAGATGTAATTAAGCTAAGGTTCTCAACATGAGATCATCCTGGATTATGGTGAGCTCTAAATCTAATGGCAAGTGGCCTTAGAAGAGAATGGATGAAGACACACATTGGAGAAAGTGATGTGAAGACTGAGGGGGAAATTGGTGTGATGAGTCTGCAAACCAAGGAATGCCAAAGATCGCCGGCAGCCACCTGAGGCTAGAAGAGAGAGGCAGGGGAAAGATTCTCCCTCAGAACCTCCGGAAGAAACCAACCCTGACATCATCTTGATTCTGGACTTCTGACTTCCTGAACTATGAGGGCATACCTTTCTGGTGATTTAAGCTGTCAAGTTTGTGGTTAAAATTTGTGATGGCAGCCACAGGAAACACATACATTCCCATGCTATCTAAACTCCAAATATCCACTCCTCCATGTCCAACATCATTCATGTATGAATTATATTAATCCATGAATTCACACCTCAGTTCAGTCTGTGCCAATAGTAAGGCTCAGAACTCTACCTACCTGATTTTGGCGTGGAATGTAAGCTCCTGGACATGGTGTGCACTGCACAGAATGGGTGCTCAATGAACATTTGTCACATGAATGATTTGGGTGGGGGGTGAGATAACAGCCATTTAAGACTTACTCCATAGGATATGATAAATAGGCATGAGTTGAGAGAATATAAATGGCATCCTAGTGTCAGCTTCATTTCTTGCTTTGCTGAATGATCTTAGGAAAGTCACCAGTAGGTTCAGAGCTTCTGATTCCTCATCTATGGGATGGATGTACTAAAACCTGCTCTAATTATTTCAGGGACTGTTGTGAAGATTAAATTAGAGAATAGATATCAAAGTTTCAAACTGTTAAGATTCATAAGCCTTTGTTTTTAGTGTTATTTCTAGAACAAAGAATCCCATATTTTTTAAAAAAAAAAAAAAGAATGTTTAAAGCTACTCAAATAATTTGTTTGTTTAGGGGTCTAAGACAAGTACCATAAAGTCCGGTATAAAGAGAAGGGACAGAATGCTGCCTGGGCCTTGTCTTCCTGGAACCCAGGATTCACTGTGGAATTAGCACACAAGCCTGGAGCTCCATGTAATGTGGAGATCTGTCTTCATCAGGGGTAGAAAGGAGACTCTGAAAGCTGCTGTTTTATATCTGCACTTAGAAGTGAATTTTCTCTTCCTATTGATCTTTTTCAACATTTATTGAGACATTATTATGTGTCAGGCATCAAAAAGCATTTTACAGGCATAAGCTCCTTTCATCATCCCCATTTTACAGATGAGAAAAGTCAGATGCAGACACATAAATGGTGGAGCTCAGGTTTTAGTGGTGCGTCCAGAGCCTGAACTCCTAACCTCTGTGCGTTGCTGCTCTCTCAGCTATCTACTGAGCACCTTTTCTTGGAGTGCCTCATGAAGGGCTTAGAAAGCAGAAGCAGTCCCTCCTTCAAGAAAGTCATAGATTGACGGGGAAGGTAGACATGTGAACAATTTACCGTACAATGTGTTGTTATCTAACAGCAAATAATTGTGCCTAGTCCTGCAAGGAAGGAGGAATTATGGGCTGAAGGATAAAGGAAGGATTCACAAAGAAAGTGACTTTGAGCTGGGTCTTGCAGTGTGAACAGCAGTTCGCCATCTTACCTAGAGGAAAAAGAAGCTCAGAGGCATGAAAGTGGTTGATGGACCTGAGAAACAGCAGTTTGCTGTAGCTGAAACAGGGGTGTGTGTTTGGAGAGATGGGCGGCGGAGGCAGATGAAGCTGGGAGGATAAGTTTGTGCAGATGATGAGATACCAGAAGTGCTTTGGTCAAGAGATGAGATTTTATCCTCTACACCAGAACTTGCAAGCTGGTGGTCCCAGAGGCCCAGATTTGGCCCACAGACAAGTTTTGTTTGGCCCATTTGTGTTTAAAATTATTTTTTTAATTTGTGTTTAAAATTAATTGGTCTAAGTTAAGATATCAGGACTGTATCATGATGTCAACAAAATTTTGTTCCAACTCAATCTGATTTCCTCTGATTGAAGTCTAGTGACAATTTGTAGCAATTTGTCATCCCTCAATTATTAGAAAAGGGAAAGAAGAAAACACAAGAAAGGTAGGGAGGGAGGTGAAGATGTAAAAGAGAATAAAGACTGGATATATTCCTCCCCCTCCCCATCTACCTACCCATGAAAAATTATTTTAATTAACTACCAATATTTGTAAGTGACAAGAACCTTACATAACCATCTGAATGTCAGTTCTCATTTGAAAAATTCAAAATCTGGCAGCACCGGGCCCTTATTTATTCACTGCTACTGACTGGGGCTGCAGAACGTGTGTCCTTTTAGACCCATCTTGCATTCTTCTGTTGACACAGCCCCCACTCTGCCCACTGCACCCACTTTTCACTTCTGGCCTAGTGCCTGTGGACATCTGAGTTCTTACCCCCTTTGGATGGGTCCATCTTGGAGGTTAGGCAGATGAGTAATGTGCTCAGGTCTGAATGGGTCCAGGCTATTTTGGCTGGAGTGCAGAGGACAGAACAAAAGGAGAAGAACCAGACACAGAGAAACCAGTTTCAAGACTGTCCAGGTAATGTGACTAGAGATGCAAGGGTAATGAATATGGGTGTGGGCATCTTCACAAGGTTTGTTTCCTTAACGTTGCAATCTCTCCTTCTTAGTAAAGCCTTCTTTACTGCCCTATTTAAAGTTACACCCCCATCCTCCATCTCCCTCCCCTGCCTCATTCTTCTGCATTATACGAATCCTTCCCCAACATTCTGGATGCTTTACATATTCATCTTTTCATTATCTGTCTCCTCCAACTAGAACGGAAGCTCCAGGTGGCCAGGAATTTTGTTTGTTTGATGCCCTGCTGTATTCCCAGTGCCCAGCACAGAATGTTTTTAACAAAGAAATGTTTGTTTTAGGTTTAAAAATGATGTTTTAAGTTATTTTTAAATATATACCATCTCAATACAGGAGGAAGATGGGCTATGTTTTTCTAGCCCGCCAGCACAGCCCAGAGGACCTCCAGGACTGTTCCGATCCCAGTCTAAGAAATTCGTCTCGGCCAAGCGCAGTGGCTCATGCCTGTCATCCCAGCACTTTGAGAGGCTGAGGCGGGAGGATTGCTTGAGCCCAGGAGTTCAAAACCAGCCTGGGTAACATAATGAGACTTCTTCTCTACAAAATCATAAAAATAAAAATAAATTAACCAGGCATAGTGGTGCGCACCTGCAGCCCCAGCTACTCAGTAGATTGAGGTGGGAGGATCGCTTGAGCCTGAGAGGTTGAGGCTGCAGTGAGCTATGATTGCGCTGCTGCACTGCAGCCTGGGCAACCAAGCAAGACCTTGTCTCAAAAACAAACAAACCAAAACAGGAAGTTCATGTCCACACTAGCCATGCAGTGGCAGGGGTAGACATGCCACCTCTTGGAAGCCAAGTCCCCCAAGGCTGGGGTATGTCCAGGACTTGCTCACACCTCCACATCCACAGCTCTCTGGACATGGACACTAGACCCTCCGGAGCCCCAGCACCCTGGGACCCATACAGCCTTTGAAAGGAGGGCTCAGATTAAGTGTCCTTTATCTCCATTGTGATTTCTCCCCTGTTTTTCTCTGAACAAGTGGCAAGGCTCTCAGAGCCTCCCTTTGATGCTTAATTGCTTAATTATCAGCTTACTCCACTAACTCTAAAAAAGGGAATTGAACCACTTTAAAAAGGGAGGTGGGGTTGGAGGCTGCCCAGGGAGTGCGGCTCCCCTCTGTGTCTGCAACAGTTAACTCCAGAGAGGGTAGGAGGGCTTCTTACAACTTGGGTTCAGGGGCCTGTCCCCTCCTGCCACTACTATCATCACCCTTTCTGTCCCTCTTCATCAAGATGAATGCTTGGAGATGAGTGTGAGGATATCTGAGCCCCCAGGGCCACTATCCAGCTTACCCTTTTTTTTATTTTTATTTTTTATTTTTTTATTTTTTTTGAGACAGGGTCTCTCTCTCTCTCTGCCACCCAGGCTGGAGTGCAGTGGCACAATCTTGGCTCACTGCAGCCTCAACCTCCCCAGGCTCAGGTGATCCTCCCACCTCAGCCTCCTGAGTAGCTGGGACTGCAGGCACACACCACCACACCTGGCTAACACATTTTTTGTAGAGACAGGGTCTCACCACGCTGTCCAGGCTGGTCTTAAACTGGGCTTAAGCGATCTGCCCACTTTGACCTCCCAAAGTGCTTTTTCCTCTGAAAGCATCTAAATCTTTTCAAATTTCAATTATTTTTATGCTGCTGACATTTGTTCCTCCATTCTATCTTCCTTTCATTTATTCATTGACACAGTTTACATGCCAGGGTCAAATGAGGCACTCAGGACCAAAGAATAAAAAGATGGATCTGAAAACAGCTGCCATTCAAATGCCCTGATAGTCTGGGCAGGATGTGGGGAGGGGTTAATCCTACTGAGCTGAGAGTGGGGATCTGTGTTTGGGGGATCAGAACCACCTTCAGGAGGAAGTGACATTTCATAGGTCCAAGAAGCATAGGTGGGTGCTCAAGATGTCAGCAGATTTCACCTTCTCTTCTCTTTCATCTCTTCCCTGCCCCTCCTCTCTTTCCTTCTATCCTCCTCCTCCTCTTCTTCCCTCCACCCTCTGCTGCTCTTTCACTCTCTTAGACACACATACACACACACACACACACACACACATCTTCCTCAATTTGTGAATAAAATAGTTTCACAAACACACAGACGATCTCACTATACCCACCTCTGCTGTCTCCAGTTGGTGTCTCAGAAGCAGACTCTGAGTCAAGTTCTTGAGTGCAGGCAGTTTATTTGGGAGATGATCCCAGGAAGCCTGATGAGGGAGTGGAGAAGTGAGTCAGGGAAGAGAAAAGCCAACAGAGTGTGTGCTAATAAGTGCACTGTTGCTGTGGGCAGCTGAAGCTTAGTGCTGCTGGGATCCTCTGAGACAGTGTGGGACGTGCTTCAGAATTGTCCCAAGGAGGGAGAAGAAGGCTGCAGCGTTTATGCACCAATTCCAGGGTGGAGGATCCCTCCTGTGGGCTTACCCTGTTGGTGCTTCTGGTCTGACCCCACATATGCATGAAAACCCCCTCAGGGAAATGGCTAAGGGAGAGATGTGCTGGGCACCAGGGACTGCTACAGGGAGGAACTCTGTGCAGGTTACAGTCTAGGGTGGGCTGAGGGACTGTGCTGGGAGAACTAGCAATATCTGCTTCATGTACACATTCCATATTCTTCTCCCTTCCTCCCTCCTTCTCCCTTTCTCTCTCGCTGTCATACACACTTACACACATGCACACAAGCACACGCTAAGGTGATCAGTCACATAGATATAAAATAACACAGAAGCTCCCAGAGAAGATGGGTGGTCCCATCTCAGAGACCTTTGTCTTCTACCAGCTTACTTGACTGTAATTCCTCCCATCTTTAGGATACTGGTATAGTGGATCCAGTTTCTCAGCACACAAATGTGCTCATACACATTCTATCTCGACCTAGTTCAACAGGGCTTTGTTTTTTCTTTTTATTAAAAAGAATTACCCCTGAGATGAGGTCCAGAAAGGAGCTACATCCCACACAGATGCAGAAGAGACCTACAAGAATTTCCCTCCCAGTGCAGCAGAGTCGAGGCTCAGATGGGTTCCTCTCACTCCCATCCCCCTTGGGCTACAGGGAGCAAGGCCTGTACACAGAACATAGCATGCAGGCCTCTCTATAACCCACAGATTTTTCTTTCTTTCTCAGGTCCCACAAGATCAACAAAATCTAAAAAGATCCAATAAACAAATACTTTCAATGGCATTATCATTATTATTATTATTGTTTATTTTTTTGAGACAGAGTCTCACTCTGTTGGCCAGGCTGGAGTGCAGTGGCGTGATCTCAGCTCACTGCAACCTCCATTTCCCAGGCTCAGGCAGTTCTCCTGCCTCAGCCTCCCAACTAGCTTGGATTACAGGCATGTGCCACCACACCTGGCTAATTTTTGTGTTTTTAATACAGACGGGGTTTCACCATGCTGGCCAGACGGGTCTCAAACTTATGACCTCAGGTAACCCACCCGCCTCGGCCTCCCAAAGTGCTGGGATTACAGGCGTGAACCACCGCGCCTGGCCTAATGGCATTATTTTTAATGGCAAAAAACCACAATTACTTTTGCACCAATCTCGTAAATGTTTCTACCAGTCACCCTACCAGAGCATTTACTGCAGTATCTCGAACCACTTGGTAGGGGTCCCACTGAGAATGACTTGACTGGCCACTACCATGCTGCCCTAGGTAGTTTGCTACAGTAAGGACCCCAGCGCATCATGCATCCATTACTCTGTGTGTGCCTCTCCTCATTGACTCTGGGCTTGGCTTTGTGACTTGCTTTGGCCAATGGTACATGTACAAACCTGGTGCCAGCAGAAGTGTAATGAGTACTTGTGCACTGAGGCTTCCTCTCTGAGACCACTGATGAGGGAGCTGGTCTACAGTAAACCACGTGAGAGGCCACATGCAGAACCAAGATGCCTCAGCCAACAGCTGACACCAGCTGCCAGACATGTGACTGGCAAATTCAAAGCCTTTGAATTCATGAAAGAGGAAGATTTTTCTCGTACAATCTTAGGAGGTAGGGAAAGTGCCCAGCAGAGAGCTCCTTCAACACGGAAAACAGGTAGCCCTGGCCACGTGGAGCTGGAGAGGGGAGATGCAGACAGAGCTAGGAGTGGCCAGAAGCCAGAAAAAGTTGAGTCTGGCAAATCTCTCGGCCACCTTGACTAGAGTTCTGGAGTTCATATGGAAACATGGATATTTTATAGAGTCATGTATTTTCCTTGTTTATTTCCCCAGCTTCTCACACATTTTCAGCGATGCTCTTTGTGGAAATGTCAGCCTCTCAGCTCTGCTCAAGAAAACCCAGGAACAGAGAGAGCCGGCTCAGATCTGCGCCAAGTGTTTGAGAGGCAGCAGCGCCCCCAAGGGGCCAGCAAGGTGGGGCAGCGGCGGGAGTGCTGAGCTCCGGAGGGGAGCTCTCCTTTCTTCAACAGGCATTTATTGAGCACCTGCTGTATGTGGTCCAGGCAGCAGCGGGAGAAGGGGAAAGTGGAAAACCAGACAAGGCCGTATAATGAGGGACTTAGGACTTCTGGAATTTTAATGAGCTGGTTTGCCCCTTTATTTCCTTTCAGACTTCCTGTTGATTCAAGTCATCAAAATGAAAGA
Source organism: Homo sapiens (assembly GCF_000001405.40). NCBI lineage: Eukaryota > Metazoa > Chordata > Mammalia > Primates > Hominidae > Homo > Homo sapiens. The sequence goes on from NC_000016.10 coordinate 26,646,056, forward strand.
ATGCCAGCGTCCAAACACACATCTGGAAACAGAGCAATAAGGTTTTTAATATTTTGTTTCCTAATACAGAAACTCCTTTGAGATGCTATCAAATAAGGTGGGCATAACACATTCATTTGATTTCTTTTCCCTGCAAACGGGATCATTAAGGCATCCAAATTAACTGGGTGTAATCATGAATTAAATCGAGCTCTTTTATTAGGGAAACTTAGAGGCATCTTTCATCTTAATATCCTGACAGGATTCTCCTGACTTGAAGGTATGATTAGGGGAAAGGTGGCAAAAAAAAAGGAAAATAAAATAAAATAAAGAAGAAAAAACCCTCTGCAGCTCAACCATGAGTGGAATTGGTAATAAAACACTAGTTCCCCAGTGAACTCACCACCTTTCCACTCCTCCTCAACTGGGTTCATTATTTTATTTCTCTACTTGATAGGTTGAAAAATTGCCTGCAAACTGGTTAATTAGGACTAACAGTGCTTAGTAACTGGGGAGACAATTGCAGTTTGAGAAATTAATGCTCATGATTCATCTATTAAAGTGCATCTAGACACATGGTTTGCCTCATGGTAGTGTCAATCCAGCCATCTGTGCCTGTGGCCAGGGTAACTGAGCACTTCTCAGTCTGAGTTTGGGTGTAGTGGTGGTAAGAAACAGAATCCACTTTGCAAAAAAAGGGGGGGAGTTTCTTATAAGGACACAAAGGTAATTCCATATGGGACATCTGGGGATGGAATATGCTATGGACTGAATGTTTGTGACTGCCCCCTGCCAGCCCTCCACTAAGTTCACGTGTTCAAGCCTAACCTCTAATGTGATGGTATTAGGTTGGTGCAAAAGTAATAGCGGTTTTTGCCATTACCTTTAATGGCAAATTAAATGGCCATTGCTTTTAATGGCAAAAACTCCAATTACATTTGAACCAATCTAATATTAGGAGGTGGGGCCTTTGGGATGTAATTAGGATTAAATGCAGTCACGAAGATGGAACCCTCATGAAGAGGAGCAGTGGCCTTATAGAAGGGAATCCAGCGACCCCCACCCCCCGCCTTGCTTCGTCCCCCATGTAAGGACACAACAACAAAAAACCCAGCCAAATATGAACCAGGAAGCAGGCTGTCACCAGACACCAAACCTGTCAATGCTTTGATCTTGGATTTCCCAGCCTCCAGGACTGTGAGAAATACATTTCTGTTGTTTGTAAGCCAACCAGTCTATGGTATTTCATTATGGCAACTCAAACAGACTAAGACAGTATAAAACTAAGAAAGGGAGACGCTATGGGAGTTTCTTTATCACTCCTTTCCTCCCTCCCCTCTCTCCTTCGCTAGCCTCCCTATATGACCATGGTTTTCTAATTTCTGTTTTGCCCTGGGTACCAGCTCCATTTCCTTCTCTGCATAAAACCATCCTCCACTTAGTAATGGTGATGTGGACTACTCACCACACATTCATTCTTCTTCCAGATGTTTGGGGATCCTCTCCTTCCCTTTTGTCAGTTCATATGATTTGGTTAAAGTCCCATTGACCTACAGTTAATAAGATGCAGAGAGGCTTTTGCTGGGGTATTTTGGAAAGCCTCGCTTTACTAAGGAGATTTCAAGATAAGGGAGATAGGTCTGGGGGCTGCTGGAGTCATCTTCCAATGACCAAGACAAATCCTGTTTGAGAATAAAGCCAGCACATGGAGTAGGACAGGGAAATAGATTGCACGACATCATTTGAGCCCCTGTATCAAGTGACACCTGATGCTTACATTAGCCTGGATTTTACAGTTGCCTGAGCCAGTAAATCCCCTTTTTTGTGTATAAGCTAATTTGTTTTTAATTTTCTGTCACTTACGGTAGAAAGAATTCCTACTGAAACCCATGACTTCCTTTTGAATTGCAAAGTCCCCAGGTCTGAACTGACTCCGTATGGCCTTCCAGTCCAAGCACCACCACCTGATTATAGTTTCTGTATATATTACTTCATAGTCTCCAGAGGGACCCTCATTCAATCATCCCAGTCAAGGATTAAATCTCATGATTCACCAGTGCTCTAATCAGCTACAGCCAGGAGGATGAGGTGACAGAGTATAAACACAGTCGTGGTCCAGCAGGAACTGCAGGAGAAGGACAATACAAAAGAAGAGTCCAAATTGTGACCACTACATCCTTATTGGGTCCACTCAGCCCACTGAACGGGCACATGGAAATCCCTCTGAAATTCACAGCATCCAGGTATCTCAGCTGCTATGGCCCATTAGGTTGCATTAGCAACACTTAGTGTTTGCCAGGACTTGAGTTGGTGCCATGGAGCTCCCACTATGCAAAGAGGAGGCATCTTTGATTCTGCTTAGAGACTTTCATGTATCTGAAGAAACTATCACCCATTAGCATCTTTCTGTCTGATGCTGAAAAATGTCAACTCTAGGAAATGGCTGGCTAGCACACAAATTCCAGTCATTGCCCATGAAACTCTGGCTAGGGATTAGCAAGAAGAACAACCTAAAGTTCCCATTCACATCTGTGCATGGAGACAAGGAAGCACTGGTTCATTAATATGTGTACTTAGCAGATGTTTTCTGGGTCCTGGCATCTAAGACATAATTTAAAAAAAAAAACAACTGGGATGTTTTTAAGTGTCTTGATTTAGCAGGACTTGGGTGTTCAAAAGCAAGTGACATAAGATCTCTGAGCTTTAACTCTTCATCTTGAAAAGGGGAGGTGGTAATCCCTCCTTTATCTGCCTCAAAATGATGCTCATGCTCGTTTCCAGGAAGACTGGGCTGCCACAGCTCTCTTTGTTATCAGAAGGTGGATTCTGAGGACGGTGCCTCTAGCATCAGCAGCAGAAGCACACAGATCCCATGCCAATGTGAGCTGCAGTGGATTTATTGACCCCACCCAGAGGAGGTGCTATCTATGCCCCTCTTTGTGTGCCGTCTGCCTCCTGGGGTCCCCAGCTGTTAAGCAGGCCAACAACTGCCCACCTCAGTCTCCAGTAGAAAACATGAAGACTCCCCTCTCCTCTGGTAGTGTCAATCTAGCCATAAGCATTTAGGCTTATGCCTTATGCTGTATTAGGCTTATGCCTAGCCTTCTGCACCATCCACCATAGGACTTGCTATAGCACAAACAGGAGGTGTAAACAACAGGAGTGGTTGAAAGGAGTCAGTAGACAGTAGACAGTGGCCCAGCCTTCTCAAGCCCCATTGGTGTGATGCTGAGGTAGTTCTTCAGAGACACCCCAGCAGGATTGAACCCCAAGTGCTTGCAGCAGTGACCTGCTCATGAATGGCAACACTTATTGGATTTCCTTCCTTCCCTGTCTCACCTTCACCATTCCCCAACTTGGGCTCCCTGGGATCACCTTGTGGAAAAACTACCTACATCCAAGTCCTGGTCTCAGGGTGTATGCTAGAGGAACCCAAACCAAACCACCTGCCCAGCCCTGACTCCTTTCACAAGCATCTTGTCTACAGTCCAGACTCATTTTTTGGAGTGTAATTCATTCCTGGAATTAAACAAGTGTGATCTGAATTTTTGGGTATCCTTCCAGGGATATTTTAAGCATTTACAAGCAAATGTGGATATAAAATTCATACACAAGCAAGATTCTGTCTTTTATACCAAGACTTTGGATTTCTTCCTGTATTCTTCCATGCTTCTCCTCCATTCCCACAATCTAACTTTCTATCGGGTCTTACCTAACTGCAGTGAAAAGGTGCTATGAAGCAGGAGATGCCAGGTGCAACACGAAACAAGGGCAATTAACCCACACAGGGGAAAGGAGAAGTCAGAGAAGGCTTCCTACAGGATGTGCTATTTGTTTTGAAACCTGAGGATTAAGTGGAAGCTAATCAGGTAAACCACACAGTATATGCAATGGCCTGGAAGCCTAAAAAAGATTGGCTTGTTCAAAGAATTGCAAGTGATCTGTTCAAAAGCAGCCAGGGGCCAGGCACGGTGGTTCATGCCTATAATCCCAGCACTTCGGGAGGCCGAGGTGGGCAGATCACAAGGTCAAGAGATCGAGACCATCCTGGCCAACATGGTGAAACCCCATCTCTACTAAAAATACAAAAAAAAAAAAAAAAAAATTAGCCAGGCCTGGGGGCATGTGCCTTCAGTCCCAGCTACTTGGGAGGCTGAGGCAGGAGAATCACTTGAACCAGGAGGCAGAGGTTGCAGTGAGCTGAGATCATGCCACCGCACTCCAGCCTGGTGACAGAACAAGATTCTGCCTCAAAAAAAAAAAATAAAATAAAATTAAGCGGGCGTAGTGGCACACACCCGTAGTCCCAGCTACTTGGGAGGCTGAGGCAGGAGAATCGCTTGAACCTGGGAGGCAGAGGTTCCAGTGAGCCCAAATCATGCCACTGCACTCCAGCCTGGGCAACAGACCAAGATTGTGTCTCAAAAAAAGAAAAAAAAAAAAGAAAAAAAAAGCAGGCTAGAATGTAAGGATAGGAATGGGAACAGCCAAGACTGAGAGACAGCCCAAACCTTTTCATTCTTTCCCACTCTGGCCTGTTTTTCTCTCCAGCCACATCTTCTACTCCAGGACATGTGTTGGAATGCATTGTTTGTTTGTTTGGACGTGTGTTGGAATGCATTGTTTGTTTGTTTATTTGTTTGTTTGTTTGTTTTGAGATAGAGTCTCACTCTGTTGCCCAGGTTGGAGTGCAGTGGTGTGATCTCGGCTTACTGCAACCTCTGCCTCCTGGGTTCAAGCAATTCTCCTGTCTCAGCCTCCCGAGTAGCTGGGACTACAGGAGCCTGCCACCACAACTGACTAATTTTTACTAGGGACAGAGTATCGCCATGGTGGCCAGGCTGGTCTCAAACTTCTGATCTCAGGTGATCCACCTGCCTTGGCCTCCCAAAGTGCTGGGATTACAGGCATGAGCCACCGCACCCAGCCCCTTCTTACATGTTGATCCCCATTTCTCCTAAAACCCAACCAAGTTTACTTGGGAAATCCTTCCAAGTCTGGCATAAATGGTGCCCACCATGAGAATCTTCCTGGTCTTCAAAGAAGTTGTGGTTTGAATGCATCCTCCATCCCTGCATCAATCAGCTTAGGTGTATCACCCTGTCAGAGCTCCTTAAGAGCCAAGGGCACATAGTAGATACTGAATAAAAATGTTGACTTATACATCACAAATATCTCTACTATCTAACATTCTGTTGGTTGGATTTTTTTTACTTAAAAATAAATGATAAATTCACAGGAAGTTGCAAAAATCATATAGGAAGTCCCTGTGTACCTTTTACCTACCTTTTACCCATTTCCCCCCAATGGTTATGTTGCTGAAATACCAAGGGTTTGGTCCAGGTCCTGCTGCTCACTGCACAGAAAGCCAATCACTGAGACAATGAGTATTGCCAGGGAAGAAGACTTTATTTAGGTGATGCAGCTGAGGAGATGGGAGATCAGTCTCAAATCTGTTTCTTCAAGCAACTAAAATTAGGGGTTTATATAGCAGGGAAGAAATGTAACTATTGGTGGGAAAATGAGAATTAGAGAGGGGTAAGGAAGAGGAGCTGGTCAACAGGAGGCAGGTGGTTGGTTAGGCAACCATGACGAGTGAGGGGTCTGATGTCTCATTGTCTAGATGCTGTGATCTGGTGAGTTTCAGTTCCTTAGTACTATTTGGGATGCCTGATGGTTGGTTTCTTGACAACGGAATCAGAAAAGACAAATGTAACTTTCTCAAGTTTTGAGACTGGGAGGGTCAGTTTCTATGTTTATTCAAAAGAAACCATAACATCACTTCTATGGGACAATTTGGCTACTTTCAGTTACATCTTCCATACTTATCATACCATTTCAAAGCTAGTGACTTGTCATTGGTACAATCTGTGTGTGTAGGTTTATGTTATTTTATCATGAGTATATATTCCTGCAACTACCACAGTCAACATAGAGAATAATTCCATCACCACAAATGTCTACCTCCTGCCACTCCTTTAGAGTGATACCTCCACCATCCCTTCCACCTCCACTTCTGCAATTGCCCTAATGCTAGGTAATCGTTAATCTGTTTTCCAACTTGAAATGTTGTCATTTCAAGAATGTCATACAATGGAATCACACAGTATGTGATCTTTTGAGATTGGCTTTATTCACACAGCATAATGCCCTTGAGATCCATCTAAATTATTGAGTCTATCAGTAATTCACTCCTTTTTATTGCTGTGTAGTTGTATTAGTCTGTTCTCACATCACTATAAAGTAATACCTGAAACTTGGTAATTTATAAAGAAAATAGGTTTAATTGGCTCGTGGTTCTGCAGGTTGTACAGGAAGCATGATGCTGGCATCTGCTTCCAGGAAGCCCCAGGAAACTTACAACCATAGGCAAAGGAGAAGGGGAAGCAGGCATGTCTAACATGGCTGGAGCAGGAGGAAAAGAGAGCTGGGAGGTGCCACACACTTTTAAACAACTGGATCTGGTGAGAACTCTATCATGAGATAGCACTGGGGAATGGTGCTAACCCATCAGAAACCTCCCTCATCACCTCCCACCAGGCCCCAACTCCAATATTGGTGATTACAATTCTACATGAGATTTGGGCGGGGACACAGATCTAAACTGTATCAGTAGTATTCTATAGCATGGGTGTAGCAGTTTATTTAACCATTCCTGTATACAGGGCATTTTATGTGCTTCCAGTTTTTGGCTATTACAAATATAGTCGCTACAAACAGTCATGTACAGGTTTTGTGTGGACATACGTTTTTAGTTCTTTCAGAAAATGGCCAGAAGTACAATTCCTGGATCATATGGTAAGTGTATGTTTAGTTTTTTTTAAAAAGCTATTTACCAAAGTGGCTAGATAATTGCACATTCCCACCAGCAATGTATACGTGATCCAGTTTATCCACATCCTCCCCATAATCTGCTATTTGTCACTATTTTTTAAACTTAGTATTACAGCAGGTGTGTAGTGATATAGCTCATTGTGATTTTAATTTGCATTTCCCTAAGTCCCAGTGATGTCAAACATCTTTTCATTTGCTTTTGTGCCATCTTGCATATCTTCAGTGAGATGTCTATTCTTGTCTTTTGTCCATATTCTTTTTGTTTGTTTGTTTGTTTTTTGTTTTTTTTTTTTTTGAGACAGAGTCTCGCTCTGTCGCCCAGGCTGGAGTGCAGTGGCGCGATCTCGGCTCACTGCAAGCTCTGCCTCCCAGGTTCATGCCATTCTCCTGCCTCAGCCTCCCGAGTAGCTGGGACAACAGGCGCCCGCCATCACACCCGGTTAATTTCTTTTATTTTTAGTAGAGACGGGGTTTCACCATGTTAGCCAGGATGGTCTTGATCTCCTGACCTCATGATCCGCCCGCCTCGGCCTCCCAAAGTGCTGGGATTACAGGTGTGAGCCACCGCACCCGGCCCTTTTGTCCATATTCTAATTGCATTATTGTTTGTTTTTTCAACTGCTGAGTTTTGACAAGTTTTAAAATATATTCTCGATATTACTACTTAGTCACATATGTAGTTTACAAATATAACTCCCAATCTGTAGCCTGTCTTTTCATACTCTTAACAGGATCTTTTAGAGAGCAAAGATTTTTACTTTGGATGAAGTTTAGTTCATTTATTTTTTTTAAATGGCTTATGCTTTTGGTGTCACATCTAAGAACTCTTCACCAAACCTTAGGTTCAGAAAATTTTATCCTGTGTTATTTTCAAATATTGTATAGTTTTATATTTTGCATTAGAATCCACGAAAAATTCTGTGTTAGTTTTTGTATAAGGTAAGAGGTTTAAATCAAAGTTCCTTTTTTGCCTATGAGTGTCTAGTGTTCCAGGACCACTTGTAGACTATCTTTCCTCCACTGAATTACTTTTGCACCTTTGTCAAAACTAGGTTGACCATATTTGCGTGATGCTACTATTTTAGGTTCTTTTTTTTTTTTGAGACGGAGTCTCGCTCCGTAGCCCAGGCTGGAGTGCCGTGGCGCAATCTCGGCTCCCTGCAAACTCTGCCTCCCGGGTTCACGCCATTCTCCTGGCTCAGCCTCCCAAGTAGCTGGGATTACAGGCGCCCGCTACCACGCCTGGCTAATTTTTTTTTTCTTTTTTTTTTTTGAATTTTTAGTAGAGACGGGGTTTCACCGTGTTAGCCAGGATAGTCTCTATCTCCTGACCTTATGATCCGCCCGCCTCAGCTTCCCAAAGTGCTGGGATTACCGGCGTGAGCCACTGTGCCCGGCCTATTTTAGGTTATTTATTCTATTCCATTGAGTTATATTTCTATCCCTTTGCCAATATCACAAAGTCTTGTTCATTATAGTTTTATATAATTAATCTTGCAACTGGATAGAGTAATTCCTTTTATTTTACTCTTACTTTTCAGAATCGTTCTAACTATCCCTATTCTTTTGTTTTTCCAAATAAACTTCAGAAAATTCTTTCTATATATTCAAAATATTTTATGGGGATTTTAATACGAATTGCACTAAACCTATATATAAATTTGGGGAGAATTCAAAATCTCCCAATCCATAGGCATCTCTCCATTTATTTGGATCTCCTTTCTTCAATTACCATCTGATAGTTTTCAGCATATAAATTCTGTGCATGTTTTTGTCAGGTTTATACCAAAGTAGTCAGAGTTTTAGAGCGACTCTAAGTGGTATTATATTCTTAGCTTTTGTTGTCATGTGTTTGTTGCTCGTATATACAAATACAATTGATCTGGGTATGTTGATCTTGCATCCTGAAGCCTTGCTAAGCTCACTTTAAAAAATTTGTTTGGATTCCTTGAGATTTTCTGGATAGACAATTATTTCATCTACAAACAGGGATAGCTTTATTTTTCCCTTCTGATCTATACGTCTCTTATTTCCTTTTCTTACCTTATTGCCCTGGCTAGAACTTCTAGCACAGTGTTAAATAGTAACATTGAGAGTGAACATCCTTATGTCATTCCTGATCTAGAGAGAAAAGTATTCATGCACTCACCGCAAAGTATGATGTTAGCTTCCTTAATTTGATAGAGACTATTTATTTTAAAATTTTTTGTATGAATGGTCTCTATCAAATTAAGGAAGTCCCCCTCATTCTTATTTTCCTGAGAGTTCTTATAATAAATGGGTATTGAATTTCATCAAATGATTTTTCCACATTAATTGAGATAACAATGTGATATTTTTCTTCTTTAGCTTATTAATATGATGAGTTACACTGATTTTAAAAATTTGAACTAGTCTTCCATTCCTGGAATAAGAAGGATTACTAATAAAATAATTACATACATATTACTGATTTCTACTTACTAATATTTTGTTAATAATTTTTAATCTATTTTCATGAGGAATATTCCTCTGTAATGTTTGTTTATTTGTTACCTTCTTTGTCTGAGGTTAGTAGGATGGTAATGTTGGCTTCATAAAATGAATTGAAAATGTCCCCTTCTCTTCTATTTTCTGGAAGATGTTGTGTAGAGTCAATGTTAACTCTTCTTTAATCATTTAGTAGAATTCTCCAGCAAAACCATCAGTGCCTGAAGATTACTTTTTTGGGGGTTTTAATTTACTAATTTAATTTCCTTAATACTTCCAGGGCTCTTTGAATTAACTACTTCATATTTAGTGGTTGTTTGTGTATTTTGTGAAATTGGTTCGTTTCATTTAAGTTATCAAATTTATTTGTGTAGAGTGGTTTGTAGTGTTTTTTAATTATTCTTTAGATGACTGCAGGGTCTGTAATGATCTATCCTATTTTATTTCTAATATTTGAAGTTTTTGTCTTCCTTTTTCTTTGTCAGTCTTGCCAGAGTTTTATCTATTACATTGATCTTTTCAAAGAACAAGCTTTGTTTCATTGATTTTTTTATTGTTTTCCTGTTTTTAATTCCATTGATTTCTGCTTGTACATTATTCCCTTTCTTCTACTTGCATTGGTTTATTTTGCTCTTTTGCTTTTCCTAGTTTCTTGAGGGGAGAACTTAAATTATTGATTTGAAACTATTCTAATTACATAGATGCCATAAATTTCACTCTTAACATCCTTTTAGCTGTCTCACAAATTTTGATATGTTGTATTTTTATTTTCTTTCAGTGAAATGTATTTTTAAATATCCCTTGAGACTTGCTTTTTTGGCCCACGGATCATTTAGGAATGTAGTGTTCAGCTTCCAGGTGTTTGGAGATTTTTCTGTTATCTTTCTGTTATTGATTTCTAGTTGTATTCTGTTGTGGGAAGACAACACATTCTGCTTGATTTAAATGTTTTAGATTTTCTGAGGTTTATCTTAACTCTCAGGATATAGTCTATCTTGGCATATCCATGTACAATTGAAAAGAATGTGTATTGTGCTTTTGTTGGGTGGGCTGTTCTATAAATGTGAGTGAGATCCTGTTTGTTGATAACATTGTTGAATTTTCCTATATCCTTGCTGATTTTCTGTCTAGTTGTTTGATAAATTATTGATAGAAGGGTGTTGTTTCCAATATTAATTACAGATTTGTCTATTTCTCTTTTCAGTTCTATCAACTTTGCTTCACATATTTTAAGCTCCTTTGTTTTGTGCATACACATTTAGGATTGCTGTGTTCCTGCTGGAATGACCCTTTTATGATTATGTAATGGCCCTTGCTTTCACTGGTAATTTTCATCAGCCTGAATATTTTTATCTGATATTAATATAGCCACTACTGCTTTCTTTTGATTATTTTCTGCATGGTATATCTTTTTTCATCATTTTCCTTTCAATCTACCTATGTATTGAAGTCAATTTCTTATAGACACTATGTAATTGGTCTTTTTAAAAACCCTTTGTAGCAATTTGTGTTTTAATAAGTCTATTTAGACCATTTACATTTAATGTAATTACTGATATACTAGGGCTTAGGTCTATCATTTACATTTTGTTTTCCGTTTGTTTTCTCTGTTTTTAGTTTCTTTGTTTTCTCTTTCCTACCTCTTCTTTGGGTTGCTTACACTTTTAAAATAATTCCTCTTTGATTTATCTACTATTTTCAAGTGTATAGGTTTCTAAATGGTTGCTCTAGTTATTACATTATATATACATTCCTTGGTATAATAAGTGATATGTTGTTAATACCTGGTCATTTTAGATATTATGTTAAAACTCGGGATCTTATTTAAATCTTGTGCTTTAGGAAACCTCCTCAGACACTGCTTCTGTAGGGAACAGGGGGACTCCACCTTGTTATTGCCACATGGCAGTGGAATTTCAGGTTTTCCATTTGGCCTTCATTGATACCCAGTGGGGAAAGAGCTCCCTGTTACTCCTGAGCATGGATGGGAGTTCAGGATCCCTACTAGGTATCTACTATAACCACCCTGCCTGGGAAGGGGAAGTAAGCCATGTTTCTGCTCCCTATGTGGCCTCCACTGACATCACAAAGTGTGACCTCATTACTGCTGAGCAAAGGTAAAAGTTCTGACACTCCATTAAGCCTCTACAGATGTTCTCCCTGTTAGGAAGTGGATAGATACCTAATATCACTGAGTGGGAAGGGAAATCCAGGCTACCCATATGGCCTCCACTGACACCACTGAAGCAGAGGAGTTTGTGTACCTCATTACAGCCTGAGGAGGGTAGAAATTTAGGCTCTCCCTTCCATCTTGCTGATGGAAATGGGAATGAAGTGACAATTTTTTTTCTATGGTTTATGGCTAGAGTACAGCAGTTATTGTCTACAAGTTTTTATCTTGCCAAGCTGTCCCCTTGTTGGTCCTTTGGCTACAGACCATAGTCTTTTCTTGGAACTTTATCTGCATCAATTGGCATTTCTGGGTTTACGATTTCTCCAATCCATAGTCTTGGATGTATGAACCCTAGGGAACTCACCATCAAGCAATTCTTCAGGTTTTGAGGTTCTTAGCCAGTCTGCCTTCTTCTCTCCATCTTCCAGTTTTTTGTGTTCATTTTATACACAATTCCCAGGTGTTTTCAGTGTACATACTGGGAGGAATGAGGAAAAGTGTGTCCATTCCACCTTATCAGAAGTGGAAGTCCCATGATTAAATTATTTTTAATATTTATGCATTTATTGATCAGTAGGTCTGTTCATGTGGCTCAAAATTAAAGACACAGAAGAAAGTATAATAAAAATTCAATGCTCACCTCTATTACCCCAGTTACTCAGTTTCTGTTCCTAGAGTTAAACAGATGGTATTAGCTTCCTGTGTACCCTTTCAGAGGTAGTTTATTCATATACATAGAAGTTCATATATAAAACTTTCTGTTTATTTTACATAAATAGTAAAATCCTAAACACACTGATTTGGTGCTTAATTTTTTTCGACTGAATGAAAAAGGTGATCATTAGGCACTTTCTTTTACCTTTTTATTTTTAAATAATTGTAAATTCACAGAAACGTGAAAAGAAATTTACAGGTAATTCCCATGCACCATTCTCCACTCTTTCACAACGTTAACATTTTTTACAACTACAGTACAACACCAAAACCAAGAAGTCCACATGGGTACAATCCACAGACCTCCACAGGCTTTATTCAGATTGCACAGTTACATATGCACTCATGGGAAGGTGGGGTGCATGTGTTATTACCTGCAATGATGTCACATCTCTACCCTTGTGTAACCATCACCACATCAAGTTACCCAATTGCATCATTGTAAGACTCCCTCATGTTATCCCTCTATAGCCACGTGCATCCTTTCACCCCATCCCTAACCATCTCTATAATTAGATTATTTCATGCATGTTACATAAATGGAATCATTCCTTTCGACATACTTTTAAGACTTAGCATGATTTCCTTGAGGTCCATCTAAGTTGTTGAGTGCATTAAGCAGCCCAATTCTCCTGTTAGAGCCCATTATTAAAAAGTTCTTAAGATGCACTAAGTTCTCTCTTGTGCCTTCTACCACTTGCTCTCATCACTAGTTCATTTCTACCAGTAGTTCATGCCTTTGTATTAACTATTTGTATTCTGTAGTATGAACATTCCACAGTTTGTTTAACAATTTATCCATTAAAGGACATGTGAGACGTTTCCACCTTGAGGCTATTATGAATAAAGCTTCCATGAATATTCATGTCCAAGTTCCTGAATGAGCCTTCATTTCTTTCAGATATACACCCAAGGGTGGAGTTGTTGGTTCATATGGTAAGTTCCTGTCTAGCTTTGAAAAGAAGCACCAAACGAGGTTTCAGAGTGGCTGCCTCATTTACATTCCCAATAGCAATGCATGAGTGATTTATTAATAGTGTCTCTACATCTTTATTCACTAATTTATATCTAATTTTTTTAATTGATGTAATTCACATACTTAAAATTCACCTTATTAAAGTAGACAACTCGGTGGTTTTTCGTGTACTCACAAAGTTGTACAACCATTGCCACTATCTCATTCTAGAACATTTTCATCATCTCAAAAAGAAACCCCATACCTATTAACAGCCATTTTCCATTCTATCCTTCTCCCAGCCTATAGTGACCATTACTTATTAAACACTTTCCCCTCAGTCCTTCAGTTTTGAAATAAAATATCTAAATTATTTTTCCTACTTCAAAATATATAAAATTTAATTGGATATGAATATACCCACACCCAATAGAATGGAAGCTTCATGTGGCCAAGGGTTTTATTTAGTCAATTTTGTTCATTGATGAACTTTTTGGTGCCCAGAACAGATTCTGGCATATGGTAGTTCCTTCATATTCAGCTCTCTGAGTATAAGAAAATGAAATAAGAAATTCATGAATGAATGAAAAAATTGCTGAGGGCCATTGTATTAAATTCCACACTGATCATGGACAAAAGTTTCTATTATTGTTGAACATCAGAAAAACCTGAGAAGCTTGTCAAAGATATATATTCTTAGGCTCCAGTCCAGAGATCTTCTGAATCCAAGCCTCCAGGTATGGGGCCTGAGATTATTCATTTTTTTAATTTTTATTTTTTTTTATTTTTGAGACAGAGTTTCACTCTTATTGCCCAGGCTGGAGTGCAATGGGGCGATCTCAGCTCACTGCAACCTCCGCCTCGCAGGTTCAAGCGATTCTCCTGTCTCGGCCTCCCAAGTAGCTGGGATTACAGGCATGCGCCACCACACCCAGCCAATTTTGTATTTTTAGTAGAGACGGGGTTTCTCCATGTTGGTCAGGCTGGTCTCAAACTCCCAACATCAGGTGATCCGCCCATCTCGGCCTCCCAAAGTGCTGGGATTACAGGCCTGAGCCACCACACCCGGCCGAGATTATTCATTTTTAATCAACACTCCTGGTGGTGCATGTATAACTAGTTCCACCCCAGTGCACAGGCTAGAGTTTCTAAATCATCAAGGTGGCTAGTATGGTGGAATAGATGCTGAGTACACAACCTGAGCCTTGCTAGCAGGTGGTGGATTTATGTATCCTTCTTTCTCAGAGGAATGCGAATGGAGAAAAATAATTCTATCAAAAGGATGTCTCTTTGCGGGAGGCAGTGTAATATATTAGGAAGAGGGGGTACTTTGAAACTGAAGAAATAGAAGTTTGAATTCAGACTCAGTTACTCACTAGCTGAGTTGGGCACATTGTTTGGCCTCTCTGGCAAGTTCCATTTTCTGTTAAAAAGGCTAAATAATGTTACCCAATCCAGATTGCTGCCCTGAGGATTAAGTGAGCTGACACATACAACACACAAACGTGTGTACATGTGTACACACACCCACCACCACCACCACGACCACACCATACATTAACTTTCAGTCTTCCAGTGATGGAATCAGAACACAAGAATTTCATCATTAAAATGTTCCTTAAAACTATCACCTCCTCTGACTCTTATAATAGATATCTCTTCTTCAGCTATTTCAACAGATGATCACACAGTCTCTACTTGAATGCCTCCAATGCCAGGTGCCTCACTACTTGATAAAGCAGCCTAATTCTCCTGTTAGATCTCGTTATTAGAAAGTTCTTTTTAGGATGGACCAGGTTCTTCCTGCTTGTGGTTTCTACCACTTGTTCTCATTTCTGTCCTGGAGCCCTGAAGAATGAGAAAATCCCTTTCCACCTCACAATCTTTCTTGTTAACCAGACTTGCACTGGATAATCATAGCTTGGCAGTATATTATCTGCAGGGTGGTGTATCACACGATTGGATTCTTTCATGTGGACATTCTGCTTTGCTCCTAGATTTGGAACAGTATAGAAAAGTCATACATATAAGTACCTTTAGAAGTCAGCCAGATAATAGAAAAAACTGAGATCAGCTAACTAAGCTCAATGGCAAAATGAAGATTCAATGACCCCCTAAAAAGAAACAGCTTCCACTCCATTTTAACTCCTCTTTCTCCAGTTGAAATCTGGCCTACTATTGTTAGATATGGATTTTTTAAGAGGTACCCAAATTTCATAATTTTACTTTAAAATAAGACCTAAGTGGAAGAAATTTCCCTTGAGTCTCAGATGAGATTTTGGAATTTGGACTTTATATTGGAATGGGTTAAGACTCTGGGGGACTATTGAGAAGAGATGATTTTGCAATGTGAAAAGGACATTCCATCTGGGGGTCCAGGGATGGAACAATATGGTTTGGATATTTGTCCCTTCCAAATCTCATGTTGGAATGTGTATTCCTTTTTTTTCTTGTAGATTTGTTTAAGTTCTTTATCAATGCTGTTTATTAGACCATTGTCAGATGTATCGTTTGCAAATATTTTTTTCCCATTCTGTAGGTTGTCTGTTTACTCTGTTGATAGTTTCTTTTGCTGTGCAGAAGCTCTTTTGTTTAATTAGATTTCATTTGCCAATTTTGGGATTTTTTCTATTGCTTTTGGTTTCTTTGTCATGAAATCTTTGTCCATTCCTATGTCCAGAATGGTATTGCCTAGATTGTCTTCCAGAGTTTTTATAGTTTGGGGTTTTATACTTAAGTCTTTGACCCATCTTGAGTTGATTTTTGTATATAGTGTAAGGAAGGGATCCAGCTTCCATCTTCTGCATATGGCTAGCCAGTTATCCCAGAAACCATTTATGGAATAAGGAGTCCTTTTCCCATTGCTTCTTTTTGTCAGCTTTGTTGAAGACCAGATGGTTGTGGGCATGTGGCCTTATTTCTGGGTTTTCTATTCTGTTCCCTTGGTCTATGTGTCTGTTTTGTGTCAACACCATGGGGTTTTGGTTACTGTAGCCCTGTAGTGTAGTTTGAAGTCAGATAGTGTGAGGTTTGCTCTTTTTGTTTAGGATTGCCTTGGCTCTTCAGGCTCTTTTTTGGTTTCACATGAATTTTTAAATGGTTTTTTTTCTGGTTCTTTGAAGACTGTCATTGGTAGTTTTTTTTGTTTCTTTCTTTTTTCTTTTTTTTTTTTTTTTTTTGAGACGGAATCTTGCTCTGTCACCCAGGCTGGAATGCAGTGGCATGATCTCGGCTCACTGCAAGCTCCACCTCCTGGGTTCATGGCATTCTCCTGCTTCAGCCTGCCGAGTAGCTGGGACTACAGGTGCCCACCACCATGCCAAGCTAATTTTTTAATATTTTTTAGTAGAGACAGGGTTTCACCATGTTAGCCAGGATGGTCTTGATCTCCTGACCTCGTGATCCGCCCACCTCAGCCTCCCAAAGTACTGGGATTACAGGCATGAGCCACCACGCCTGGCCTGTCATTGGTAATTTAATAGAAATACCATTAAATCTATAAATTGTTTTGGGCAGTATGGCAGTTTTAATAATATTGAGTCTTCCTATTCATGAGCATGAAATGCTTTTCCATTTGTTTGGGTCATCTCTGATTTCTTGGAGAAGTGTTTTGTAATTCTCATTGTAGAAATCTTTCACCTCCTTGCTTAGCTGTATTCATAGGTATTTTATTTTTGTGGCAATTGTGAATAGAATTGTATTCCTGATTTGGGTCTCACAAAACAGACTAATACAGATGTCTTCCGCAACCATCTGATGGAGAGGACTGGTTGGATGCCGAAGACCAACAGATGGGCACCTTCTTCTTCTGCAGTTCAGACAGCCTGGAAGCTCCAGGCTAAAAGGACTACAAGGTCTCTCCACGTAAGGGCTGGCATCTCCTCAAATAAAAGACCCATGGAAATCAGCCCTGACTGGTCTCTCTTCCCCTGATCCTGCCATATTTCCTTAGCCTGCTCTTCCCTGTGTTGTGCTGAAAGGAATGGGGAAGAGCAGATTAAGCAGGTGGCTGACTTGAATTTTTCTCCTGGCCTGAAATTCTTGGCAGAGGCCAAGAAGAAAGTGACAGGTGAAAGTAGAAGTGAGTGAACCAGAGGCCTCAGCACATGCACATCTGTCCTGTTCATACCAAAGCCTGAGTCTCTGAAGGAGAGCAGGAAGAAAAAACTTGGCTAGGAGGTGTCTGCTTTGAGAATGTATTGGGTGGGGGTTGGAGGTGGCGACCCACATCATGTGAGCTATGGCACTTCACTCCAGTGAGGCCAACAGGCTTTGGTGGATACACATCAGGAGACAACCATAGCATTTGGAAAAGCTCCTTCTGTGTATGTCAGGACCAACGTGGGGGCCATTAAACAACTGCTTAAGAGGAAGGAAAGAAGAAAAGGGGAACTGGAAGGAAGGAGGGAAGGAAGGAAGGAAGGAAAGAAGGAAGGAAAAATGGGATGGAGGGACGGAGGAATGAAGATGGGGAGGGAGGGAAGGGAGAAGAAGGGAAGAATTCAGACACAGAGACAAACTTTCACCCCACAAATATTATTTAAATGCCTCCTATGGACCAAGTACTGTGTTAGGCATCAGGGACAGAGATGCTTACACTGAAGGCAGAGAAAGAGAACAATAAAATCCACAACTTTTCAGGTTGTGAAAAGTTCTTGGAAGTAAAAAAAAAAAAAAAAAAAAAAGAAAAAAAAAAGCAAGGTGCTGTGCTTTTGTGCTTTCATCGGATGGTTAGGAAGGACATTTCTCAGTGGGTGACATTGCAGGCTGGATGTGAACAAAGGGAGCGAGCCAGCTAAGCAAAGATCCCGGGATGGAGATTTCCAGGAGATGAGTGGCTTGTTCCAGGAACAGCCCAGGAACAGCAAAAGAGTTGGTGGCTGGGGAAGAAGTACAAGAAGCAGCAGGAAGCAAGATTATAAGATTTCCTGTGGCCTGAGCATGAGGAGGAGGCGGTGGAAGGTTCAGAACAGAGGAGGGACGTGATTTGATGGTACATTTTCAACAGGATCCCTCTGGCTGCCAGGTTGAGCAGAGGTGCAGCTGGACACACATGAAGCCCAGGGCTGTTAGGATGCCACTGCCCTCATCCAGATGGACACACACCAGCACCACCACTCATCAGCTCCTCACACTGAGCAAGACACTGTTTGGTTTGGTTTGGTTTGGCTAAGGACAGGGTCTCACCCTGTCACCCAGGCTGGAGTCCAGTGGTGCAATCATAGCGCACTGCAGCTTTGAACTCCTAGACTCAAGGGATCCTCCAGCCTCAGCCTCCTGAGTAGCTGGGACTACAGGTGCGTGCCACCATGCCCAGCTAATTTTTGTATTTTTAGTAGAGATGGGATTTCACCATGTTGGCCACGATGGTCTCGAACTCTTGACTCTGCCCCCTCTCGGCCTCCCAAAGTCCTGAGATTACAGGCGTGAGCCACCGCGCCTGGTCAAAACGTATATATTTTTTAAGAGACAGGTCTCGCTCAATCATCCAGGCTGGAGTACTGTGGCATAATTATAGTTCACTGCAGCCTCGAATTCCTGAGCTCAAGCGATCCTCCCACTTCAGCCTTCCAAAGTGCTGGGATTACAGGCGTGAGCCACCATGTCTGGCCATCAAGGCACAAGTTGATGGCATCTGAGAGATGTAGCAGCAACATGGTCAGCACTTGTGACCATGGACTTGGGTTTATCCTAGCGCTGTCTCCTCCAGCTAGACTGTGCTCCATGAGAACAGGGATCACATCTGTTTTTCTTGACAGATGTGCCCTCAGTATCCAGAAGAGCATCTGGCATAAAAATATGACCATGATTATGTAAAATGGTAGCATTAGCGGAAACTGGGTAATAAGTGTGTGGGAACTCTAATTATTTACATTATCTTGTAACTTTTCTTTCAAATAAAAACAATTAACAATAATGCTGGCAGACAAAAAAAAAAAAAAGTCAAAGTGGGTTCTAAAAAATGCAAACCTGGCTTGTTGCTTCTGTCATTCCTGAGCTTCACCCAAAGCTCCAGACCATATATCTGAGCTCTGCAATAAACATCTGCCATGTCTAAGTCGAGATAATGCCTCGCACCCGGCTTATGGAGAACTCCCTGACGTCACCCAACCTCCCTTGTTGGGTGCACCTGCCTGGGCAAGGCAATTGAAGGATTTTATTATAATAGCACTTTGCAGAGCTCACTCGACCCGTCAAAATAATTGTTTGACTTAATGTGAAATCTGAGCTCCACAGCTGCGTGAGTCTGTCCTCCCGGGGAACTCAGGCTGGCTGCTGCTGGTGCACATTTTAGCATCTCAAATTAACAGCAGTTTGGAAGTCTCCCTAATTAGTTACAGCACTGCTCGAGGTGTCATTTTATTTTTTTTTATTTTTATTTTTTATGAGCCCAATAACATATTGCCATTTAAGTTTCTGGAAGACAGGGAGCTATAAATAAATAAAATTATAATTTGCTTGAAGTCTATCACACAGATATACTAAGTTCAGAAGTAAGTTTTAATTTGACTAATGAGATGAAACTTTTCTCTGCAGAGTGTGGGCTGTGGGTATGACTGTTGCTCAGAGGGTGGCATGCCTCAAAACGCCTGGGAGACAGCGCAGCCCAGAGACAAAGAAGAAAGCTGATCTACTCCACGGAATTCACGCCTGGGGTCTCATAACCAGGACTCACATTCAGATCTTGGTTCTGCTGCTTCTTAGCCAGAAGTCCACAGGCCTATCCCCTCCTCTTCTTCAGCTTCAGTCTCCTCTTATATCCAAGGAGGAGGAAAGTGCCTATGCTTCTCTCAGAGGTTTGTGTGAACATCTTACATATGTGAAAACAGCCCATACCAGAAATCCAGTGGTGTGGTACAGTGGTTAAGGAATTCTACATAGAAGCCAGACTGCTTGAGTTCAAATCCTGCCCTATTTATTACCTAGCTGTGTCAATTCAGGCAAATTACTTAGTCTCTCTATGTCTCACTTCCTTCACCTCTTAAAAACTATATAAGCCACCAGGCACAGTTGCTCACACCTGTAATCCCAGCACTTTGGGAGGCCAAGGCAGGTGGATTGCGAGGTCAGGAGTTCGAGACCAGCCTGGCCAACATGGTGAAACCCTGTCTCTATTAAAAATACCAAAATTAGCCGGGTATGGTGGCTCACGCCTGTAATCCCAGCTACTCGGGAGGCTGAGGTAGGAGAATTGCTTGACCCCGGGAAGCAGAGGTTGCAGTGAGCCGAGATGGTGCCACTGCACTCCAGCCTGGGCGACAGAGCGACACTCCATCTCAAAAACAAACAAACAAAACTACATAAGCTTCTTGAGTAAATTAATGAATATATCCAAATTGCATAGAATTTACAAAGACCTCCTAACAAACTCTATAATTCTTATCTACAGCATGTATGTTCGACAGGGAGCAAAGAAACCTCAGATATTACAGTGGTTTTTGTGCCCCAGATATTACAATGGTGTGTGGGCCTCCAAAAAGCCACATTATACAAACAGTGTTTTGGGAGTGTTAAAATCTAACAGGAAGGAGGCTGTTAGGGGAAAGGTTGAGAGTCACTAAAGCAGTAATCTGTAGTCATCACTATAATTTTAACTGTGTAAAGTGCATCACGAATGTCCCTTGTCTGATTTCAACTGCTGTGATATAAGGCTCTGGGGTCAGATGGGCCTACATTTAAATCCACCCTTCTCCTTACTAGCTGTGTGATCCTGGCTAGTCACTACACTTCTCTGTTCCTGAGTTTTTGTATCCGTAAAATGGAGCTAATAAAGTTGTCGTAAGGATGAAAAAAAATAATGCACGCTAAGTGCTTAGGACAATGCCTGCCAACCTATAAGCACTCAATATAAGCGGCTATTATTAAGATTATTTTCATCATTATTTTATCAAGCACTTAGCACACACTGGGCACGGGATAAATGATGGCTCAGGAGTGCTTCCAAACAGACTCCTGGCTGGCAGGTTCTCAGGCTCTTCCTCGCTTTCTCTAATGATTGCAGGGAAATGCTGCTGTTTGCTATGCAAATATTTTACTGTGACTCTGTAATCATAATATCACACTACCAAGTGGACTGCGACAAGACCAACACTCCGATGTGGGAACTTTGCAGTTGCTTGTTGATTCCTGGCAGATCCGTGGGAGCTGCAGGAGCAGCCAGCCGGCTTCTTGCTGCCCGGGCACATTTCAGGAGACGATGTCTTATTAGCACTGCCCTGCACGGGGGCTTCCTCTTACACAGTCAATTACTGCTCAGCTGTGATGCCGTAAAGAAAGGGCCCACTTTTAAATAATCAATATGGAATTAAAGTGATTGAAAAGTGCATCTCTCCACTCCAGGGTTCCCACAGAGCAGAAGGAATTCTCAATTTGTGCTCAGCGGGGAGCCATTGAAGAATCGAGCGCAGCCGAGACCTACCCCTCCGCATCCAGAGGCCAAGACCCGTGTCCTGACCCCTGCCACCTACAGGGCCATCTTGGCTGCTTGCAAACTCTTCAGGGTTCATCTGGGATGTTCCTTTTTCCTGCTCAAAATGGCTTCTCCAGATCAAATCTAAATCCCTTGTGTTGCCGATGAAATCCTTTTTTTTAAATTTTTTTTGTTTTTGTTTTTTAGAGATGGAATCTCACTCTGTCACCCAGGCTGGAGGGTAAGGGTGCAGTTATAGCTCACTGCAGCTTCGACCGCCTGGGCTCAAGTGATCCTCCCACCTTTGCTTCCTGAGTACCTGGGGCTACAAGTAGACACCACCATGTAGCTGGCCTAAGTCCAGCTGCTCACTGCTCAGAGGCTGAAAATATGAGAAACCAGGTACAGTGAAAAGAAAGCAACATTATTAATCAAATGCCAGCAGATGGGAGATAACCAGACTTCTACCTCAAAGAAGACATCTCAGTCTTTTGGGCTGAGTGAAGGGGTTTAACAAGGAAAAGGCGTGGGAAACCCATCAGAGTGGTACAAGAGGGCGGAGGTCTACATGTCTTGTTTCCACGTGTTATCTTGAGGAATCAACCATCTGGAGGTCTGGTTTGCATTATCCTGACTCCAACCCGGAAGTCGTGGGCTAACTTTAACTCCCCATAAGAGGGAGAATTCTGCAGCGGGGTCTCTCTGCCTCCTTTGT